>NC_000006.12:24605454-24908484 GCF_000001405.40 Homo sapiens
GCTGCTTGCCTTTTGCCCACCTCACTGTAGTTTTCTGTCTTCATTAAAAGGGAAGAAAATATTTAAAGAATTTACATAGAAAGCCTGTCAAGCTCTTTAACAATTTTGATCAAAGGTAAAGTTTAATCGAGTGACAAAATAGAACTTTTAAAATAAGCCTTCACAAGTTCAAAATGTTATAAATAGTACAAGCCCATATATCCTTCCATAAACTCTGCATGGATCAATTGTATACATGTAAAGATCTGAAAGGAAATGTCCCCCCATGGTGAAAACTGGTGAGAATAATATATGCTTTTTTTCTTTTCCTTTTTTGCTTCTTTTCTGATCTGTATTTTCTATTTTTTTCTAAACTGAACACATCTTACCTTTGTATTAATAAAATACACTTATAGATTTCATTTTTATAGAAGACAGTTATTTTAACATGGTCATTCTGACATAGGTTTTTAAACAAAATTACTGAGAGATGTTGGAATGGATGTTTCTTTTTTTTTTTGAGACAGAGTCTCACTCTATCACCAGGCTGAAGTGGAGTGGTGCAATCTCGGCTCACTGCAACCTCCGCCTCCCGGGGTTCAAGCGATTTCCTGCCTCAGCCTCCCAAGTAGCTGGGACGACAGGTGCCTGCCACCATGCCTGGCTAACTTTTGTACTTTTTTAGTAGAGACAGGATTTCACCATGTTGACCAGGGTGGCCTCAAACTCCTGACCTCAAGTGATCTGCCCACCTTGGCCTCCCAAAGTGTTGGGATTATAGGCGTGAGTTACTGCGCCTGGCCGGAATGGGTATTTCTGACTCCTCATATTTCTGGCCATATCCTGTTCCTCAATCTCATTCCTTCTCTAGGCTTCCGATCATGCATGACCCCTAGGCCATCTGAGAAGCCTCACCCCAGCTGAATTCTTTCCCTTCTTTGGGTGACGGTGATGACATCACTGATTCAGAGATGGGGTAAGGCTCGGGACTGGTGTCAGAGAATGAATGAGATGTGGGAATGAGGTGAGCCCAGAGATGGGGCCAGAAATGGGCAAAGCACAGAAGGGTATTCAACAAGTACTGATGGATCACTTCCTGTGCCAGGACATGGACAAGGGAGGGATGAAGGTCTAGGATGCAGAGAATGAGGCTCAAGGATAAGATGAAGGTGACTGTGGCAAAGATTGCCTGTTCAGTGAACATTCTCCATTTATTCCTTAGTAATAAAACTCACATAATTATCTGGGGCCCCAGAATACCCAGCTAACAGACTACATTTCCCAACCTCCCCTCACCCTTTGCAGCTTAGTGTGGTCATGTGATTATACACTGGTCAAAGAGACAGAAAAGGAACTATTGAATAAAACTTCTGAGGGAAGCTCTTTTTGTCCTCCTCATCTTTTCTTCTTCCTGCTGCCTAGAACAGAAAACAAGGTCTGCTGCCACAGCAGCCATCTAGGACTACACAGAGGCCTTGAGAAAGCAAGCCAGTGCTGGGAAGATGGAAGGAGCTGGGTCCTTGAAGACATGGGACTGCCTACCAGCCCTGGACAGCCAACCTTTGAATTCTTGAGGAAAAAATAAACTTTTCTCTCATTTAAGCCACTGCTTCTCTTGAACATTTGTTTCTAAGAAGCCAGGCCAGGTGCGGTGGCTCATGCCTGTAATCCCAGCACTTTGGGAGGCCGAGGCAGGTGGATCACCTGAGGTCAGGAATTTGAGACCAGCCTGACCAACATGGTGAAACCCTATCTCTACTCAAAATACAAAAATTAGCTGGGCATGGTGGCACATGCCTGTAATCCCAGCTACTTGAGAGGCTGAGGTGGGAGAATCACTTGAATCCGGGAGGTGGAGGTTGCAGTGAGCCGAGATCGTGCCATTGCACTCCAGCCTGGGCAACAAAAGCTAGACTCCATCTCAAAAAAAGAAAAGAAAAAGAAAAGAAAGAAAGCCAGACCTAATTTTATCTGATAAGTGACACTATTTGTTTTTCGGTTTTTTTTTTTCCAGTTTATGGGTTATAAAATACTTTGGTTCAGGTAAGATCAAAGCAGACACCTACAGTGAGTAATGGCTGCTTTATGGACAATGCAAATACTATAAAGCCAAATGACAGTCTAATAATTTTTAAAATGGCAGATATACCCTTGTATTCTGGAATCACTTATATGGTAACTAACATATGCTTCCTTATAGAAGCAATTAATTTTTTAGGTTTATGTATATTTTCTCTTCAACTAAATTGTAAACTTCCTGAGGAAAGCGACTAATTTAAAACATAAGCTGATACATTTATACTTCCAGGTTTTACTTATTTCTCATCTACTAATAGTAACAATTTTAGTTAAAAAATGAATGCTTAAGTATGCATTTTAAATAAAAATATGTTCCTTTAGTTAAAAACATTTTTTAAAATGCCATGATTTCAAAATTGCTGCTCTCCATGCCAAATAACTTTGCAGTCCCCAACTGTGAACGAACTAATTGGCAGCATACTAGAAAAAAGATGCTTAAATGCCAATTTAAGTCTCAAGGAGAAAACAATTTAAAAAATAAACAGAAGATTAAATTATATCCACATCGCTTCAAATTCTAACAATTAACAACAACTAGGTAGAAGATGTAACAGAAGACTATAGCAATAAAAAATACAGAAAACATAATAGAGGACTATAGCAACAGCAACAGACAAAAAATAGAAGACCTAAGGCTGACTTTAACAAGGTATTTGCACATCTATTTTAAGACAACTTTAAAATGCTACTGAGGAAAAAATAAATAAATAAATAAATAAAATGCTACTGAGGAACACAAAAAAACCTTAAATAGATGGAGAAAAATCTTAAATAAATGGAGGAAACCATGAATAAATGTTCTTGGACAAATAGTCTCAATATCATAAATATATCAGTGTTTCCTAAATTAATTAAAATGGTGCTGGCAGAATTTTTATTTGGGTGAATGAAAAACTAGAAAAAATGAATTTTAAAGTGCACATGGGAAAATTAACAAGAAAAAAGGCCAAAATTTTTTGAAAAATGAGATAATTGAGGGAAAACTGGTCCTACCATATAATGAAATATATTATTTTTAAAAATCATTAAAAGAGGATGGTACAGGTGCAAAAATGGATCACTGAATGGTACAGATATTCAATAAATGGATCCAAATACTTCCAAGACCAAAAGACATGATTAAAAATCGCATGTCAGGCCAGGCGCGGTGGCTCACGCCTGTAATCCCAGCACTTTGGGAGGCCGAGGCGGGCGGATCACGAGGTCAGGAGATCGAGACCATCCTGGCTAACACGGTGAAACCCCGTCTCTACTAAAAATACAAAAAAATTAGTCGGGCATGGTGGCAGGCACCTGTAGTCCCAGCTACTTGGGAGGCTGAGGCAGGAGAATGGCGTGAACCCGGGAGGCAGAGCTTGCAATGAGCCAAGATCATGTCACTGCACTCCAGCCTGGGCGACAGAGGGAGACTCCGTCTCAAAAAAAAAAAAAAAAAAAAAAAAAAAGGCATGTCAAATCAGTGGAGAAGGCCAGGTGCAGGGGCTCACGCCTGTGAGCCAACCGCTCACAGTTTGGGAGGCTGAGGCAGGTGGATTGCTTGAGCTCAGGAGTTAGAAACCAGCTTGGGCAATATTTCAAAACCCCGTCTCTACTAAAACTACAAAAATTAGCTGAGTGTGGTGACAGCCACCAATAATCCCAGCTACTCAGGAGGCTGAGGCACGAGAATTGCTTGAACTTGGAAGGTAGAGGGTGCAGTGAGCCGAGATTATGCCATTGCACTCCAGCCTGGGTGACAGAGCCAGACCCTGTCTCAAAAACAAAAAAAAAAAAAAAAGAAAAAAAAAAAAAGAAAGTCCGGGCGCAGTGGAATCCCAGCACTTTGGGAGCCCGAGGCAGGCAGATCACGAGGTCAGGAGATTGAGACCATCCTGGCCAACATGATGAAACCCCGTCTGTACTAAAAATACAAAAATTAGCCAGGCATGGTGGCACATGCCTGTAATCCCAGCTAATCAGGAGGCTGAGGCAGAAGAATTGCTTGAACCCGGGAGAGGAGGTTGCAGTGACCCAAGATCACGCCACTGCACTCCAGCCTGGGCAACCAGAGCGAGATTCTGTCTCAAAACCAACAAACAAACAAACAAACAAAAATCAGTGGAGAAAAGGTAGGTTATTAAATAAATTGTATTGGAGAAACAGGTAGCAACTGAAAAAAATGCTAAGCTGTATCCCTGAACCAGATAAATTTATCTTTTTTTTTTTAGCTTTTACTTTTACAAGTGTTGAAATAAATTTCTGATGAAAAGCACAGGCCCATAAAAGCACTACAAGAAACTATGAGCCTGACTTTTGACAAGGGTTCCAGGACAATTCAATGGGGAAAGAATAGTCTTTTCAACAAATGATGCCACAACAAACAGATACCAACATGCAAAAGAATAAAATTTTACCCCTACCACACAACATATACAAAAATCAACTCAAAATGGATCGAGACCCAAATATCAGAGCCAAAACTACAAAACTATTAGAAGAAAACATGGGTGTAAATCTTCATGAACTTTGATTATGCAATGGTTTCTTAAATATGACACCAAAAGGACAAATGATAAAAGAAAAAATAGATAAAATAGACATCACCAAAATGAAAAACTTTTGTGCTTTTAAGGACACCATCAAGAAAGTGAAAAGACAGCCCACAGAATGGGATGAAATTTTTGCAAATCAAAAATCTAATAAGGGATTTGTATCTAAAATATACAAATAAGTATTATAATTCAATAATAAAAAGACAAATCATTTTAAATATGAACAAGAACCTGAATAGACAGTTCTCCAAAAAAAGATACATAAATTGCTAATAAGCTCATGAAAATATGCTCAATATCATTAGCAATCAGGGAAATGCAAGTCAGAGAGACAATGAGATACCACCTCATACCCACTAGCATGGCTATAATAAAAAAGACAATTAAAAACGTTGTCAAGCATGTGAGAAATTGGAATCCTCATACATTGTTGGTGTGAATGTAAAATTGTGCAGCCACTTAGAAAATAATTTGGTAGCTCTTCAAACAGTTAAACAGAGTTACTATATAACCCAGCAATTCTACTCCTATGTATATACTCAAGAGAAATGAAAACATATAGCCACAAAACAATGTGTACATGATAAGGGAGTTAGGCCTGGCAGGGTGGCTCATTCCTGTAATCCCAGCACTTTGGGAGGCTGAGCGGGGAGGATCGCTTGAGCCCACGAGTTTGTGACAAGCCTGGGCAACATAGGCTGAGCCTATGGTTTTTTTGAGCCAAGCCTCCCTCAAAACAAAAAAAAAATTGTACATGAATGTTCATAATAGCCAAAAAGTAGAAACAACCCAAACATTCATCAACTGAAAAACGGATAAAAATAATGTGGTATATCCATGTAAAGGCATAGTAATAGGCAATATAAAGGAATGAAGTACTAATACATGCTAGAGCATGATAAACTTTGAAAATATACTAACAAACAAACAAACAAACAAAAAAACCCAAAACATTATGCTAAGTGAAAGAAGCCAGAAGCCAGTCAGGAAGAACCACATATTATTTGATTCCATTTATATGAAATATGCAGGATGGTCAACTCCACATAGACAAAAAGTAGATTAGTAGTTGTTCAGGGTTGGGAGATTGGAAGAAAATGGGGAGTAAATTATAAGATGTACAGTTTTTGCTTTTTTTTTTTTTTTGAAGTAATGAAAACATTCTAGGCCAGGGGCAGTGGCTCACGCCTGTAATCCCAGCACCCAGCACTTTGGGAGGCCAAGGTGGGCAGATCACCTGAGGTCAGGAGTTCAAGACCAGCCTGGCCAACAGGCTGAAACCCTGTCTGTACTAAAAATACAAAAATTAGACAGGCATAGTGGCGGGCGCCTGTAGTCCCAGCTACTCAGGAGGCTGAGGGATGAGAATCGCCTGAATCCGGGAGGTGGAGGTTGCAGTAAGCTGAGATCGTGCCACTGCACTCTAGCCCGGGCGACAGAGAAAGACTCTGTCTCAAAAAAAGAAAAGAAAAATATGGCTAAATTGTATCCACTAATAAAATATATGGTTGTCTTAAATGTTCATGGAAAATCACCATAAGCACAGTAGAAGTGTCAACAACAAATTGGGAAAATATTTGCAACTCACATTGCAGACAAAGGATAATTTCCCTAATACATAAGAGAACTTTCAAATTAATAAAAATTCAATAGAAAAAGTCTGTCAACAGACAGAACATAGAAAAGAAAATATAAGCGCATTTGAAATACATTAAAAGATGTTCAGGCCCGGGGGCACAGTTGCTCACCCCTGTAATCCCAGCACTTTGGGAGGCTGAGGCAGGTGGATCACTTGAGCCTAGCATTTCAAGACCAGCCTGGACAACACAGGGAGAACCTATCCCTTAAAAAAAAATAATTAGTGTGGCATAGTGATATGGACCTGTAGTCCCAGCTACTCAGAAGGCTGAGGCAAGAGGATCACTTGAGCCCAGGAAGCAGAGGTTGCAGAAAGCTGAGATCACACTGCACTCCAGCCTGGGTGATAGAGTGAGACTTTGTTTCAAAAAAAAAAAAAAGAAAAGAAGAAAAAGATGCTCAAATTTACTCACAAAAAGAAAAATGCAAATTAAAACAGTGAGATGCCATTTTTTACCTAAGAGATTGTCACATATGGAAAAAGTCTGGGCCAGGCATGGTGGCTCACACCTGTCATCCCAATACTCTCAGAGGCCCAGGCGGGAGGATCACTTGAGTCCAGGAGTTCGAGGCAGGCCTGGAAAACACAGCGAGACCTCATCTCCACAAAAAATAAAAGAATTAGCCAAGCATAGTGGCACCACCTGTAATGCCAGCTACTCGGGAGGCTGAGGTAAGAGACTCACTTGAGCCTGGGAGGTCAAGGCTGCAGTGTGCCCAGATTGTGCCACTGCACTCCAGCCTGGGTGACAGAGTGAGACCCTGTCTACAAAATAAAGAAAAAGAAAAGATGGAAAAAAGAAAGAAAAACTAGAAACAACCAAATGTGTGTCAGCAGAAAACCAATTAAATAAACTATGGTCTGGTCATAAAATGAAATACTTTGCATTAGTAAAGAAGCTCTTCATGTACTGTTATATACCAGCACCTTTTGTTAAGTGAAGAAAGAAAGTGCAGAATGGTATATACAGTACTCACCTCTTGTGGGAAAGCGAATGGGGTGGGAAAAATATAAATATAAATTTGCTAGAAAATGTATAAAATATCTCTGGAAGAATTCACAAAAAATTTTTAACATCTGTGCTGATGAGGGGAGAGAGGGCTCAGGGAGAATTTTTTTGTTGTTGTTGTTTTTGAGACTGAGTCTCACTCTGTCGCCCAGGCTGGAGTGCAGTGGCACGATCTCCGCTCAATGCAAGCTCCGCCTCCCCGGTTCACGCCATTCTCCTGCCTCAGCCTCCCAAGTAGCTGGGACTACAGGCGCCCGCCACCACGCCCGACTAATTTTTTTGTATTTTTAGTAGAGACGGGGTTTCACCACGTTAGCCAGGATGGTCTCGATCTCCTGACCTGGTGATCCGCCCGCCTCGGCTGAGAATTTTTTTTAAAAACAAATCGCCTTTTGTATTTTGTGAATTATGTGAATGTTTTTAATATTTAAAAAAATAAATTTAACATTCCTGCCTTTACTTTTGGTCGCTGAGAGCTTACATCTACTCGGCATTAAGAGCTTCGAGTGAGTAACACCAGAGAGCAGTAAGAAAAGACCTGGGTTAAATGCAGGAAGGGAATCTGCGCGTAACACAGAGAGGGGTGGAGGATGAACAGGGTGGGCAGACTTAGCAAATGAAAATACAGTGCAGGATTCCCAGGTAATAATTGAATTTCAGGTGAATAATTTTTTTTTTATTCTGCAATATTTGGGACATTATTATAGTGTTTTGTCTGGCAACTCTAACTATGAGAAAATGCCCATGTGCCCTGGGCAGCCCATTTAGAACTACAGCTCATGTATTTCTCTCCCCAGAAGATCTACAAACACAACACTATGAAGAGAAAGAGCTGACATTTACACTTCACTCCTAGAAGCAAAAGCTCAACCCAGATTTCAGTCCATATCCTGAATCCCCACTGATTTCTGAAATCACTTAATGTAAGCACAAACAACTGGTTAACAAGAGAAAGAACACAAGGAGGAACAGGCAGATCATTTGAGGGAAAAAAAAAAAACAAAATGAGGGAAAGACCTAGAAAACAAACCACTGAACAAAAGGAATGGATTTTAATTTTAATTTTCAATTTTTTTGCATTGAGCAACCTTTATTTCAAAGAGATGGAATTACCATGCTGCTCTGAGACAAATTATTTTTCAGAGCCGGCTAACAGCTTTCATCTCAGCTGGGGCTGAGTGTATGAAAAAAAATCCTGTATGTGACAGCCAGGATTCAACATATCCAGAATCTGATATTTATTTCTTAACTGCCTTGTTTTTTTGGTAAGGCTTGCCCAAAACTATCCTGTGGATAATAGGAGGAAATATATTATTCATAGATTTCTCTTTCCATTTCACCGCAGTTGAGTTTGCTTTTGATTTCAGAAAAGTAGCTGTGACCAATAAACGCAGGTCAACTAAAAACAACCCCAAGATACCCCGTGGCAGGTTTCCTAAGACTGTGATGAATTGCGAGCATGTTTCACAGATTGATTCAAATGTTGGAAGGAGCCAGCCTTAGCAATTCCTGACATATGCCAGGACAGACGCCTTGGGAGAGGAAGCAAATGCTCCCAACTGTGTCTCCATGCCCTTCTCTTCGCCTCCCGGTCTTCTTTCTATCACCTCCCAGTCGCCCAGTGCTCTCTCCCATACCCTGGAAATATCCAGCTCAAAAGCCAGTTATCTATGCAGCCTTCCTCAGCTTCTCAAACACAGCCTCCAAGCTGAGGTCATTGTTCCCTCCTCTAGACAAGTCCCAAGGCTAGATTATCACCACAAGTGCAACTATGTATAAAAATTGTAATTCACATTTGTAAAAACTACCATTCATTCCATAATGTTCCTGGCATTTTACGTCCATTAGTTTTAATCCTTCGGGAAAAAAAAACAATTAAATATTACTGTCCCCACTTTATAGATGATGAAACTGAAGCTCAGAAAGGCTAAGGTATCCAAGAATTAGATCCAATCTGGGTATGTCTGACATCATAGAATATGTTCTTTCCCTATGCTATGCTGCATATGTGTCTCTCTCCTTCACTTAAAAAAAATCAATTGGGTTTTCTTCTAATTTACAAAAGCAATAAATATTTATTATAGAGAATCCAAGCAGTTAGGTGTAGCAGAGTGAATGGCATTGTTTTACCAGCCAGCCCCTCGCTGTCATTATCCTCTCTGCCAAGTGACCTCACTATGTCATCATCACTCAGCATCTCGTTGCCTGGTTCCCATACATCCCATTGTAAGCCACAGGGCAGGGGCTCTGTCTGGTTGCAACTATATCCCCAGGAACTATAGGAGGGGTTGGTACATAGTAAGAGCTCAAAATTTATTCAATAAATGTATGAATGAATAAATGATTGATAAATCTCCTGAATAATTAAAAGTGAACTGTAATATACAGTATTTAGAGTTAATTGTAATGAATTTTTAAACAATTACATTAATTTACATTATACAGCTTTTTTACTTTGGTCTTTACTTATTTGCATCCATCTGAAGTTACAAATGTACATTATAGCATTATGAATAATAATAAAAGACTGGAAACAACCTAACGTCAATTGACAGGAGACTGCTTTAACAAATTATGATATAGCCAGGTAATGAAATTCTATGCAGCTCTATATACACATTGGTATTATTGAAATCTCTAGATATTAAGTAAAAAATGCAAGGAAAGTCAGTGACTATAGTAAGCTACCTTTATGAAGAAGAAAGGAGGATATTTATTTCTGTATATCCTATTTGCTTGTATTTGCAAAAAAAAAAATACAGAAGAATATAAAACAAACTAAGAGAAGTGATTATGTGTGGAGGGGAAGAAAAGGGAAATTAGTCAGGTGAGACACAAGGGTGGGAAAGAGACCTCCCACAGAGTATGTTTTTACTCTAGATAATGTGATATGCCCTATAAATATTTTAAGTTAATCACTTTTAAAGGCAAACAGTGTTACAAAACAGCAGTTCCATGCCTATTCTCTCCAGCCCCAAGACCTACTCTGAAGATATAACCACCTTTAACACTTACAGCTCTTCTTTCTGTTACTTGCCTCCACCTTTTAAAAAATAATTTATATCACTATTTCTTGAGCTTTCCATTTCAAACATTCTCTTTTGCATCTTACTATGAAAGATGAAGACTTAGTCACCTCCTACCATGCTGCACACAGACACATACACACATCACCCCTTCTCTACTTCTCTCTCACGGTTCTATTATTGTTTAATTCCATCTATAGTCAGTATATCAAAGAGGGAGTCCCTCTTAAGAAAAAATATTATCAGAAATATGAGTTTCTCTGGTAAGCAAGATGAACATCTATCTTTTAAACAAGGCAGTGCTTTCTAGAACTGAAAGTCCAATAAGACAATTGTCAAAGTGAATAATTTTTCCAGACCCTTCCACAGAAGACATTGTTTGTAGGTATTAAAGACTCTGTTGTATGTTGTTTTAATACTCCTTGGAAATATTGCTTAAATACAAGGCTTTACAAAAATTACTGGTATGAAAATTGAGGATATTTTTAAAACCCAATTAATAATGTAAAACATCCAGTATGATCCTCTTGAGGTATCCTTAAAATTCATATATTCAAATACCATACAAGTCTAATTTATCTTGATGTTCTTAAGATGAGTAATTTACTTAAGTTTCTTACTGGAGTATGATTTTTAATAAGGTTATTATATATTTTTTTGAGACGGAGTCTCGCTCTGTTGCCAGGCTGGAGTGCAGTGGCGCCATCTCGGCTCACTGAAACCTCCGCCTCCCGGGTTCAAGCGATTCTCCTGCCTCAGCCTCCCGAGTGGCTGGGACCATGCACGACACCACACCCAGCTAATTTTTGTATTTTTAGTAGAGACGGGGTTTCACCATGTTGGCCAGGATGGTCTCGATTTCTTGACCTCGTGATCTGCCCACCTCGGTCTCCCAAAGTGCTGGGATTACAGGCATGAGCCACCGTGCTCGGCCTGGTTATTTTTGACAGCTTATTTTCTAAAAACCCATATGAATGCAGTATAGACTTTTAAAACAACTTTTATTTTCTACAGGGTTTACTTTATTATAACTATGTGAATATTCTCACTAATGAACCACATATCTATCTTTCTCTTAAAAACTTTTGTCTTACCTCTAGTTAATAAATTTCTCATTTGGTTGCTTTCTTAGTTTTCTATATATCTATCACTATTCTTTTCCAAATATAACAATAAAACTATAAAATGTTTTTCAGTAAGTCAAACTCATCGCTCATATTATAAAGAAATAATGATGTTGAATTAAATTAATAATAAAATGCTGAATTCAAAAAGGACTTTAAAAATTGGGGGATGTTAAAGGGATGGTCAAGTAAAGATATTTAAGCAAATTTAAAAACCTTACTACCAATATTTCATTTAAAAGTTGATATTTAATATCATAAAAGTAGGAAGGATATAATCTCATAATAAGGAACAACCATTTACATTTAATAAATGTAGTCATAATAACTAAAAAAATACTAATAATAATAAAATGGAACCTCAAATGTCCAATATTAGGATATGATTAAACATTATTGAATTACAATGAAGGCATTTAAGTGATCTAGTAGCAGAGCACTTAATGGTAGGATACAATGTCTATGATACAGTATTATATGAAAAATACAGCTTATAAACAGAAAACACAGTATTATCCATGAGTGGAAAAAGTCTGGATTTCTGTATCTAGTAAAACAGCAATGCGGCAAAATCTTGAGATTGCTGGGGAAAATATAATAAATATGCTTTTAAATACCTAGCTGTACTCACAAGAGAATAAAGGATATCCCCAAAGGCCCAAAACAAAGAGGGAGCTAGAAAGCAGAGCGGAAAGCTGATGGTGAAGCTGAAGCTGCCAGATACAGCACTGATTTATACAATAGAGAGATGTGAGTTTCATGGATGCACAGAGGACAGAAGTCAGAGCCTTGAGCTCACTCAAGGTGGGGAGTAGGAGCAAAAATGCCTCATAAAGCCAGGAACCCTAAAGAAGTAGAACCTTGGCGGGGCGTGGTGGCTCATGCCTATAATCCCAGCACTTTGGGAGGCTGATGCGGGTGGATCACCTGAGGTCAGGAGTTCAAGACCAGCCTGGCCAACATGCTGAAATCCCATCTCTACTAAAAATACAAAAATTAGCCAGATGTGGTGGCGCACACCTATAATCTCAGCTACTTGGATGGCTGAGGCAGGAGAATCTCTTGAACCCAGGAGGCGGAGGTTGCAGTGAGCCGAGATTGCGCCATTGCACTCCAGCCTGGGTGACAGAGTGAGACTCTGTCTCAAAGGAAAATGAAAATAAAAATAATAAAAATAAATATAAGAAATAGAACCTCGTTCATGAAGGGTAGACCAGAAAAAAAATTTGGCCACTGGGCTCTGTATGCAGATAAACTTCTCCTTCAAGAATTGGCAACCATAGGTTTGCTTAACATAAGTTTGGGCTTGGCTTTTCATTACTAGTTTGGCTTAATAAACCCCAGGGGGAGAAATTAACTTAAAGTTGTCCTGAGTTGTCAGTGCCACAGGTACTTGGCAGAGGCAATTATAAATTCCTTCTGGAAGAAGTTTTCTCAACCCCAGAGAGAACCTAGACAAACCAGAACGTACAATTCAAAATTACAGGCCAAGTAGAATGACTCACAGTTATAACCCCAACACTTTGGGAGGCCAAGGGAAGAGGACTGCTTGAGCCCAGGAGTTTGAGACCAGCCTAGGCAACATAGTGAGATGTCATCTCTATTAAAACTTAAAAAAAAAAATTAGCCAGGCATGGTGGTGTGCACTTGTAGTCCCTGCTACTCAGGAGGCTGAGGTGGGAGAGTTGCCTGAGTTGAGGCTGCAATGAGCCATGATCACACCACTGCACTCCAGCCTGGGCAACAGAGCAAGACCCTGTCTCAAAAGAACAAAACACCCCCAAACAACAACAACAACAAAAACACACAAAAAGTACAAAACACACAGGCAACACAAAGAAAAGCAACAGAAAAGAAAGACAAGAGTATTAGGTCCCAAAGATTTCAGATAATGGAATTCTGGCATATAAATATAAAATGAAATGTTTAAAAAAAAAAAGTAGTAGCAAGGTACAAGACTAAAAGAAAAAAAAAGATCCTGGCAGATTTGAAAAATAACCAAGCACAACTTCTAAAAACAAAAAGATTTTTGCTATTAAAAGCTCAATGGATGGGCTAAATAGCAGATTAGACACTGCTGAAGAGAGAATTTTTGAACTTAGAAGGTCACATTTGAGCAAAGACTTAGGAGAGATGAGGGAGTGAATCATGTGGACAGCTGAGAGGAAAGAGTTCCCAGGCAGAGGGAAAAAGAAACACAAAGGCTTGAGGCGGGGAATGTGCCTGTGTATTGCAGGAACAGCAAGAGGGTCAGCATCGCTAGAAAAGGGAAAGCACTAGAAGGTCAGGGTGGGGGACAATGGGAGGCTGTATTATAGGTTAGTATGAAGGATCTTTGGCTTTCACCATGAAACTGGAAATGTTTCAGGATTAGCTCCCTCGGGCTTCTGCGTTGAAAAGAGAGTATAGCAATCAAAGGCAGAAATGGAGAGACAAGTTAGCAGCTTCGGCAATAATCCAGGTGAGAGGACGGTGTCTTGCACCAAGGTGATAGTAGTGAAGGCCCTGAGGAGTCAGAGCCTTGATTTATTTTAAGGTAGAGCATATAGGATTTGCTGATGGATAAGATGTAAGGTGTGACACAAAAACAAGAGTCCTAGATGACTCTGAGCAACTGGAAGAATGGGGTTGTCATTCTCCAAATGCAAGAGATATCTAAGTGGAGCTGCTGAATAGGCCACAGGATAAATACGTCCAGGGTTCATGGGAGAGAGGGCTGGAGACATACACTGGGAGGCATCATTGTGTAGCTGGTATTCAAAGCCACAAGACTGGTTAACACCACCAAGAGAGTGAGTGACAATGGAAAAGGAATGTTCATGCTTGAGGGATGAACTTGAGTAGAAAGAGTGAAAATGCACGAGGGGGGAAATGGCCTATTTTCAAAATATTCCATGAATATGTCTCACCTAGTCACATGCATCTGCAGAGAGACCTTAAGGTGCAAGGGGGAGAAACTTAAAATAAAACAGTGCCTTCTGATCTTGAGAGTGCCATATTTTGCTGCAGCAGGCGTGCAAATCACACTATAGCAATTCCCTCGCTGCTTCAGCCAGAGCAAACCAAATATAGTTCCAGCCTGACTAAAAAGTGCCGACCATCTGAAATGACAATCACATGGATCCCATTCGCTGTTCATTCTAACACTGCTGGATTAATTGGCCTAAAATCCTGTTTTGTGTTTCCTTGGTCAATAATATGCTACTGAAAATAAGTTAGCAATTTATTTTCAATATATTTTGCCAATATTGGTCGGGAGTAGTGGAGTCAAGCTTCCTGAACTTGATATTCAGACATGAAAAAAGTATGCAAAACTGCTTCACAAATTTTTTTAAAAATCATTTTTGTCACCTGGACTGTGGCACTCCAGAACTTGGTTTTAATCTTAGCTAAGAAGATCCCAAACATGAGGCCTCTTCAATTTTTATATATAAAAAAAGGAAATGCTGACTATCCCTAGTTGTGTTTTTGTTTTTTGAGACGGAGTCTCACTCTGTCGCCCAGGCTGAAGTGCAGTGGCATGATCTCAGCTCACTGCAACCTCCACCTCCTGGATTCATGCAATTCTTCTGCCTCAGCCTCCCAACTAGCTGAGATTACAGGTATACACCACCACGTCCGGCTAATTTTTATATTTTTAGTAGAGACGGGGTTTCACCATGTTGGCCAGGCTGGTCTTGAACTCCTGACCTCAGGTGATTTGCCTGCCCCGGCCTCCCAAAATGCTGGGATTACAGGCATAAGCCACTGCTCCCGGCCCCATACTTGTGTTTTTGCTTTTTTTCTATCTTCAATCTTTCCCTAAAGACAACTGTATTAGTCTGCTCAAGCTTCCATAAAAAGAAAAAAGTACTATAGAGTCGGTGGCTTAAATAACGGAATTTATTTTCTCAAAGCTCTGGAGGCTTGAAGGGAGTATGCTAATTCTATTGGATAAAGGCCCCACCCTTATGACCTCATTTAAATTTAATTACCTCCAATAAAGTCTTTACCTCCAAATATAGTCACAGGGGTTGGAGCTTTTAACATATGAATTTTGGGAGACACAAACATTCATTCTATAATAGCACCTATGCGTATGCCTAGGAATGCAGCTGACTTCCTACTGCCAATTCAAAATAAGAAACAGAAACTATGTGGTATCAGCCAGGGTGGGCATGGAAGAAAACTGAGAAGCATACAGTCACACCTACTTCCCTTTTAGGGAGTCCCTGTCACATCCTGCTCATCCTCCCATCATCTCCCTTCCATTATGTTTCCACAAACCCAAGCTTCCAAATGAAGGTGTTGGCTGATATTACTTATTTAAGCCTCAAGGTCTTATTCTTTCTTAGGACGTTAGCATTTTCATCTGGAGATTCCTGAAGACAAAAAGGTATTTCAGGTACCTTTGACAGATGATGGTATGGGAGATATTTGGGAGATGGGCGAGTATCTTATGGTTCTCTACTCATAGTTCCTTAACACACTCACTTTATTATTGAAGCTTGAGAGAAGCAGGGTGTTGCAGCAACAGACCAAGCCCCCAAGTGTTCATTAAAAAGAGAATTGAGCTCTCTAAAGAGGCAGATCATGGAGACAAGAACCACCATTATTCCAGGGGACATCCAGAGACACAGCCCACACAAAAAATATATTCATATTAATCTATCTGGGAGGAAATTGGCATCATTAAGAAAATCTTGGAAAGCTCAAAATAAAAAAGAAAACTTTCTAGTTCAATATGGCAGATAGATGTATATCCAGCTCTCCTCTTTCCTGTGCATGGTCTTACTGGGGGGAAAAACTGTGAGGGGAGGCAAACAGGACATAAGAACAGACAAAAGAAAATAAACCATAACAACACAGGAAAATAAGAATGGACATCATTAATAGACCAATCATTTCAAAGAATTCCTGGAAGATAGAAAGCAGATGGCATGGCTCTGACTGGAAAGGAAGAGAGGAAACTCATTTCCTAGAAAAAGGAAGAACAGCACTTTTGGTGACAGCACTGGAGAAGCTCCAAGCCCTGAGCCAATGGATGCAAAGAGACAGAACCGGCCAAGGCACAATCGTTGGGGTGATCACCAAACGAAAAACAGATCTCAAGCTAAAGCCAGAGAACTGCTCTCTCAAGAGACGGAGATCTACCTCCATGGGGCCCTGGTGGCAGCACTGGGCCTGGGAGAAAAGGAGAGTCAACAGAGTCTGCGAATGCACAGCTCTGCCCTGGAATGAAATCTACTTTATTCTGAAGCACCACACCTCTAGGCAGAGCTCTCCTTCCAGTGGCTGCCTGGGGAGTGCTCACCCGTACACCCCAGAGGGAAACCTGACCAGACACCTCCCACTCATGCACTCAGATGCCACAGCAAGCCTCACATGAATCAATGAGTGGACAGCTACGTCAGAAAGCAGCCAAGTATCCTGATCAGTGGAGCCCCTCACAGATCAAAAGGAACAGGCAACCAAGGACTGCTAGACATTTGAGAAATTAAAAAAAAAAAAAAAAAAGAACATGAAAAAGAAAGGCTATGATAAACAAATAGAAGATTAAAGGAACAAAGAAAAACTTTAAACCACAATTAATATCAATAATTAAAATAGTAATTAGTATCTTTGGAAAAATTTGAAAGGATATTGCCTCCATAAAACAAAAATAGGCTGCTACAAATGAGGGGCAAAAATCAGAGAACAAGAAAAATTATTGGAAATTCAAAATAGGATTGTTAAAATTAAAACCTCAGTGAACAAGTGGAATAACTGTTGATAATGCTAGCAGCTAATATATATTAAGTACCTCCTATGTGTTAGGCCCAGGATCTGTTCTTCGCATTTTAAACATCCTAACATACCTAATAATCAAACTAACCCAGTGAGGCAGGTACTATTATTCTCCCCATCTCACAGGTGAGGAAACAGAGTTAAAGAGATTAATGGCTGGGCACGGTGGTTCACACCTGTAATTTTAGCACTCTGGGAGGCCGAGGCGAGAGGATCACTTGAGATCAGGAGTTCGAGACCAGCCTGGCCAACGAAACCCTGTCTCTACTAAAAATACAAAAATTAGTCGGACATGGTGGCAGGTGCCTGTAATCCCAGCTACTCGGGAGGCTGAGGCAGAAAAATTACTTGAACCCAGGAGATGGAGGTTGCAGTGAACAGAGATTGTGCCACTGCACTCTAGCCTGGGCAACAGAGTGAGGCTCCATCTCATTAAAAGAAAAAAAAAAGAGAGAGAGAGAGAGATTAAGTCACTTGCTCAGACAGCTAAAAATTAGCTAAGTCAGAATTCAAAGTCAAGCTATCTGGCTCCAGAACACCTGTTCTACGTGGCTGAAGGCAAGTTACAGATTTGAAAGGTAGATGTGAGGACATTCCCCTAGTGTGCACATGAACACAAACACACACATACACGCACACACACAAAGACAAAGGAAAAGAAAATATGGGGCAATGTTAGAAGGCATAGGGGAGAGTCCAGAATTTTCATCATCTAGCTAAGAGGCATTATAGGAAGAAAGAACAGAGACAATAGAGGGGAAGAAGTGAAGAAATAATAGAACAAAATTTCCTTTAAATGAAGAAAACCAGTCTTCAAATTAAAAGGGCCTACATAGTACAAGCAGGCAAGCAGGATATATGGCCTAGACATCTTGATAAAAGTTAAGAACTCCAAAAGTTCTTAAGGACATACCCTAAAATCTTCCAAAGAGAAAAAAAATAGGTTACCTTCAAAAGAACCAGAATCACAGAGCAGCATCATATTTCTCATAGGCATTAGTGGAACAACGAGGGCAATGGAGGAATTCAAAATTCTAAGGGGGATGAAGAGGATTGGTGAATGGGTACAAAATACAGTTAGAAGGAATAAGTTCCAGCGTTTGATAGCAAAGTAGGGTGACTATAGTTAACAATAATTTATTGTGCATTTCAAAATAGCTAAAAGAGAAGATCTGGAATGTTCCCAACATAAAGAAATGATAAATATTTGAGGTGAGAGGTGATGATATCCCAGTTATCCAAATTGATCATTATACATTGTATGCTTGTGTCAAAACATCACATGTACCCCATAAATGTGCACAATGATTATGTATCCACAAAAATCCATAAAAGTTAAAAACTTTAATATATACAATATAATACATCTTTAAATTCTAAAGAAAAATAATTTTGAATTTCTTTGTTTTCTTTTTTTTTTTTTTTTTTTTTTTTTTAGACAAGGTCTCACTCTATCACGCAGGCTGGAGTGCAGTGGTGCAATCTTGGCTCACTGCAGCCTCTGCCTCCTGGGTTCAAGCAATCCTTCCACCTCAGCCTCCTGAGTAACTGGGACAACAGGTGTACACCACCACACCTAGCTAATTTTTGGGGTTGTTTTTTTTTTTTTTTTTTTGTAGAGACAGGGTTTCATCATATTGCCCAGGCTGGTCTAGAACTTCTGGGCCCAAATGACCATCTACCTCGGCCTCCCAAAGTTTGGGATTACAGTTGTGAGCCGCCATGCCAGGCCTTGAATTTCTTTATTGCACAAACTATCTATCAAACATGTAAACAAAATCAACATATTTTTGAACATTTGAAAACTCAGAATATTATCACCTGCATACAAATAAAAATTTTTTTGGAGGAGGTATTCCAGCAAAATGAAAAATGAATCCAAGAAAGAATGATGAAATACATGATATATAAGAAACAATAGCAGCTAAGTGTAATGCAGAAGAAGGAAAACATTGAGGAAAAAATAGAAAATGATCTATTAGAAGATAATTGGAAGAACCTTGTGCTGGGACCTTGACACTCAGAATTCATCTGCACAGCTTCATATAGCCCCTACCCTCATCTCCTCTAGGGAAGGGGATGGAAAGGTGAAAATTACATTTCTCAACATCCCTGTACCTAAGGATCTGAATGTTATTCAGGTTCTGCCAATGAAATGCATTCAAGTGAGATTTGGAAGTCGGACGTGAAGCCCTGACTCCCATATTTCCTTCTACATGCAATGTAATGTGGGCTGAACAATGGAACCTGGAGTGCGGTGCCACATGATCCTGTCCTATTCAAGATTTCTGCCCAGCCTTAAGAGTTGTACAATATGGTTAGGCTCTTCAGCCTGTAATCCCACCTACTCAGGAGGCTGAGGGAGGAAGATGGCTTGAGTCCAGGAGTTCAAGGCTACAGTGAGCTATAGCTGCACCACTGCATGCCAGCATGGGCAACAGAATGAGCTCCCCTCTCTAAAAAACAGAAACAATAAATAAAAGAATTGTATAATACAGTACCCCATAACTTCTGTTTTTTTTATTTCTATAAAATTGTCTGCCAAATAGAACAAGAATAAAACTGGTGTTAGGAAAATTGCTTTTCAGATAAATGACAAAATTAGAATCCCAACTTCATACCATATACAGTATAAATTTACATGAATTAAAGGCCTAAATGTGAAATGCAAAGCTTTAAAACTATTAAAAGTAAATGTAGCAGAAATATCTTTCTAACCACTGATTAGGGATGGATTTATTAACAAGACCCAAAAAGCAAACATTATAAAGAATATATTTAAATATATATATGTGTATTCATTCTCAAATATTTATTGATACAACTTGATAAACAGAGTCTATGGAAATCCATAGCTAACATCATATATAATTGTGAAAGCCTGAAAAGCTTTGCCCCTAAGATCAGGAAGAAGACAAGGATTTTGCTCTCACCACTTCTATCCAACATTGTACTGGAGGTTCTAGCCAGGCCAATTAGGAGAGAAAGCAAATAAAAGCATCCAGATTGGAAAGGAATGTGTAAAACTATGTCTATTCACAGATAACATGATCTTATATACAGAAAATCCTAAGGAGTCCACAAAAATATGACTAGAGTTCAGCAAGGATGATATGAAAACAACATACTAAAGTCAATTGTATTTCTACACATTAGGAATGAATGAGCTGAAAACAAAATTAAGAAAAGAATTCTGTATACTAACATACTAACAGCATCACAAAGAGTAAGTACTTAGGAATAAATTTAACAAAAGAAGTATAAGTCTTGTACAGTGGAGACTGTAAAACATCATCAAAAGAAGTAAAGACAACCTAAATGAATGGAAATAACTCAAATGCCCATAGGCTTAAAATGGATAAACATATCATGGTATTATATATCTATCCGGTGGAATATTATTTGGCAATAAAAAAGGAACGGCATATCTACTACATCATGGATAAACCTTGACACCATTATGCTAAGTGAAAGAAATCAGACACAAGGACCACATTTTGTACCATTCTATTTACATGAAATGTCCAGAATACGCAAATCCATAGAGATAGAATGCAAATCAGTGGCTGCCAGTGGTGGGAAGGAATGGCATGTGACAGACTGTTTAAGCATCTGAGGATTTTTTAGAAGTGGTGAAAATGGGGCCGGGCTTGGTGGCTTGTGCCTGTCATCCCACAACTTTGGGAGGTCGAGATGAGAGAATCACTTGAGGGCAGGATTTTGAGACCAGCCTGGTCAACATAGCAAAATCCCGTCTCTACTAAAAATACAAAAATTAGCTGAGTGTGGTGGCACACACCTGTAATCCCAGCTACTCAGGAGGCTGAGGCACGAGAATCGCTTGAACCTGGCAGGTGAAGGTTGCAGTGAGCAGAGATCGTGCCACTGCACTCCAGCCTGGGCAACAGAGCAAGACTCGCTCTCAAAAAAAAAGGGGGTGAAACTGTTTTGAAATTGATGGTTGGATAACTGTGAATATACTAAAAGCTACTGAATTTTATACTTTACATGGGTAAATGTTCTGATATGGGAAATATATCTCAATGAAGCTAACATTTTAAAAAGAAAATGTATTGAACACCTATGTTTGCAGGGCACTATTCTAGTTTGTGAGGATATAGCAGTGAATAAAAAGGTTCCCTTTGGGAGTTTCCATTCCAGTGGAAGGGCCACATAAATTGTCCCAAGATACCCAAGGAATTTTGAGGTTTTATTGTGCAATTAGTTTTGGTAAACTGTGCAGAATAATGATGAAAAAGAGAATTTCCAGAAGCTAGGCGGCTTCTGGAACAAAAGTTCCAATTTGCAGGAAGGTAATAAGGTTATTTACAGAAATGGCAAGTTAAGACCTAGGTGCCAAACTCCAGCAACATTCTAGAGTGAGTTATTGAACAGATAATTCATGAGCACTTCACAAAGACATTAGTGACCAATTTATAAGTGCGGTCTTAAAAAAAGCAGGGCAGGCCAGCAGAACTCAATTGTTTTTCTTTCTACTTTTCTATATTTTCCAAATTTTCCATAATGATAACATGTAATATATCTTAGTAACAAAAGGGGACTTCACATACTTTTTAGATGGCTGTTGTTCCCATGTTGTTAGATCAACAGAATGCTGTAAGAATTATGGGCTGGCAGGCTCTCCCAAGACATCCTTATGTGTACAGTGCAGAAATGCGCTGGGGATGATGTTACAATTAGAGATCACTGTCAACAGGTGGTAATGTGCTACCTGATAACCTCCTGGTCAAAATTTCTGCTGAGGACTTAGTGCTCAGTCATAGCCATGGAAAGAATGAATTGGGAGGGAAGGTGATTAGGTCTTAGTGAGCATTTTCCCTCCCTCCCTTCCTTCTTTCCTTTTTTTCCTCCCTCCTTCCCTCCTTTCCTCTCTCCCTTCCTTCCTTGTTTTCTTCTGAAAGACATGATTATGGTCTGATAAACAGAGGTCAGAATTAGGGAACAAATGATACAGTGAGGAATTCACAGCAAGGGCCTACCTAGGTCATGAGCTGTGGCCCTAGCAGAATAAAGAAATGAACACGATGTGTAGCCTGAAAACTGGAATTTACCTCAAGCACCAAAGTAACCTTTCCTACTCCGTAAATGGGAAAAGAGGCCAGGACTTCCAGCAATCTTCTTACTGGTTTCAGTTCAGGGACTAACATTATGGTCTTAAAAGTACAGATAATTATCTAATGAACTGTTAATTAATCCACAGAAGACAATCTAGAAGAGGAATATTTGTGTGCATCATTTATAGTCACTATTCAAAAATTATTAAACTACTCAAATAACAGCATAAATGTTCACCAGAAGAATGCTGAAGACATGTCCTGAATGTAGGAGCCTCCTTCCAAATACTGCTTATTCTAGGGCAAAATGAACTGAGTAATTGTGCTAATGAAAAGTTAGACATTATTCATCATTGCTTCCAGGTTTTATATTATTTCAAGCACACGTAGTGCTGGAAAGCATGTCCTAATAATTACAGAACATGGGCAATAAAAACATCCTATAATGGCATTTAGCTTCCTAAATCACCATATTTTTAAAAATCTAAACTTCCTAAATAAGTAAATTTGTGGACTGTTGCTTTTATAGACCTTGTTTTAGAGTAAGTACTGGTTAGAAATGTCAGGTATTGTAATTTTCCCACCTTTTTAAGAATTTTTTTGCTTTCCGTTCAATAATTTTTCTAAGGAACCTTATGTTTTTCTGTTTTCTAGCCTGTAAGTTCTCTTTAAAGTGTTTTTATTTTAATATGTCACATTTGATTCTGAAAGAATTCATGAGACACACTTGTAAGTTTTAAAGTGCAACTGCCCTGTGGGTTTTTAAAAGATCTGACCAGGTCCAGAACACCTGTCCATTTCCGTTCCCCCATCAGGTTCTCACTGCAGTGCTTTTTTCTTTCTTTCTTTTTTTTTTTTAATACAACCCTTGCATTTACCATCTGAATTAGTTTCCTAGGGCTACTGTAACAAAGTACAGCAAACTAAGCACCGGAAAACAACAGAAATGTTTTGTAGTCTCCCACAGTTCTGGAAGCTGGAAGTTGGAAATCAACGCATCAGCTGGGCCATGTCCCTCTGAGAGTCTGATCAGAATCCTTCTTTGTCCCTTCCTAGCTTCTGATGGTGGCCGTCAATCCTCGGCGTTCCTTTGCTTGCAG
This sequence comes from Homo sapiens, assembly GCF_000001405.40. Classification (NCBI taxonomy): domain Eukaryota; kingdom Metazoa; phylum Chordata; class Mammalia; order Primates; family Hominidae; genus Homo; species Homo sapiens. The sequence goes on from NC_000006.12 coordinate 24,628,783, forward strand.
CTGCATCCCTCCAATCTGTCCCTCTATTGTCACATGGAGCTCTCCTTGTGTGCCTCTGGGTCAAAATTTTCCTCTTATAAGGGCACCAGTCGCAGTGGATAAAGGGCCCTCTCATAACCTCTTCTTGATACCATCCGCAGAAACCTTATTTTTACGTAAGGTCACATTCACAGGTATTGGGGGTTAGGACTGAAAGCATCTTTTGTGGGGACACCACGCAACCCATAACACCATTGTTTGTACTTTTCAAAAGAAAAGCTTCCTGAAATTTGCCTGTCCTGTCCCATTAGCGACTGCATGAAGTACCTAGAGCAGACAGTATTTTCTAAGTTTAAGGTGAAAAACGCCATCTACCTTATAGTGAGACAAAATAACAACTCGAGCCTTTACACACTAGGGGTTTTCTTTCATCTCTGACCAAAGGAAGTCAGCCAATGATGGAATCAATGACAGTCCAGCGTGGTGGCTCACGCCTGTAACCCCAGCACTTTGGGATGCCAAGGAGGGAGGATCACGAGGTCAGGAGATTGAGACCATCCTGGCTAACACGGTGAAACCCCATCTCTACTAAAAATACAAAAAATTAGCCAGGTGCGGTGGCAGGCGCCTGCAGTCCCAGCTACTTGGGAGGCTGAGGCAGGAGAATGGCATGAACCCGGGAAGCAGAGCTTGCAATGAGCCGAGATCGTGCCACTGCACTCCAGCCTGGGCAACAGAGTGAGACTCTGTCTCAAAAAAAAAAAAAAAAAGAAAGAAAACTCAGAATACATGAAACACTTATCCCAGCATAAGGTACTGTACAGCTAAAAGTGATGGGTGTGGAATGGTAAGGCTTTCTCATGGCTGCTACCTTTTTTAAAAATAAAAAGACAAAATGAGTTATGAAACAAACCTTGTGACTGAAACGTTGCTGTCCCCGTGGCTGCTGCTTTAGATCTGAGATAAAATTTTTAATGAAGGAGATTAGTGTGATTTTCAAAATTATATGTTACAGAACCTTGGAGAGGTACACCCCAGGAGAAATGTGCTTTTATTGGCTGCATCTCTCTGCCTGGGCTCTAGCACACTGTCTGAATGGAGGCTGAGTGAATGAAATAAATCCTTCTTTAAATAGCATGACAAGGCCGGGCCTGGTGGCTCATGCCTGTAATCTCAATACTTTAGGAGGCTGAGGTGGGAGGCTCACCTGAGGTCAGGACCAGCCTGGCCAACATGCCGAAACCCCATCTCTACTAAAAATACAAAAATTAGCCGGGCATGGTGGCGCATGCCTGTGATCCCAGCTACTCGGGAGGCTGAAGCAGGAGAATTGCTTGAACCTGGGAGGTGGAGGTTGCCGTGAGAAGAGATTGTACCACTGCACTCTAGCCTGGGTGACAGAGTGAGACTCTGTCTAAAAAAATAAAAATAATAATAGCGTGACAAAAACTTACATTAAAAAAATTGCTGGGTGCAGTGGCTCACACCTGTAATCCCAGCACTTTGGGAGGCTGAGGTGGGCAGATCACTTAAGGTCAGGAGTTCGAGGCCAGTCTGGCCAATATGGTGAAACCCTTTCTCTATTAAAAATAAAAAAATTAGCCAGGTATGGTGACATGCGCCTGTAATCCCAGCTACTTGGGAGGCTGAGGCAGGAGAATTGCTTGAACCCGGGAGGCGGAGGTTGCAGTGAGCTGAGATTGCACCACTGTACTCCAGTCTGGGTGACAGAGCAAGATTCTGTCTCAAAAAAAAAAAAAAAAAAAAAAAGAAAGAACGAAAGAAAAAAGAAAAAAATTACATTAAAAAATTAGTCATTATAAATTGTACATTCCTAGAAAAAAATTATAAATCGTGCCAACAAATGGCTGCTTTTCTTCTTTTAGATTCTCGTTCCATTTATTCAATTGTGTGTATATGTGTATATATATATATATATATACACATATACACACAAACTTTAGTACAGCTATCATCTTAGAGTTGTATAATACTTTCATTCAATATTTTATCACAAAAATTATCCTTCATTGTTATATTTTTTATAATTTGTTTGCAACATTCCATTGATTATTACAATTTACTTCATCATTTCTTTGTTTCCAACTTGGGATGTTTATAAATAATGCTGGAGTGAAATGCTTCTGCAGGCTCAGAAAAGGGCAAGCTGCAGCTTTTGTATCTGAAGGGAATGGAAACAGCCCAAAGAGGGCCTCTTTCAGAGATCCAAACAGATTGTCTGCATAGCATTGTCCTACAGGCTGTTAAGAACGAGCTGTATTTATAGGTTGTCCCATTTATGGTTTACTGAGTGAGGAAACTAAGCTGGCAAAGCCCTGCTTTTTAGAGCCAGTGAACTCACAAAAGATGCAGCCATAATATATTCCTAGTTCAATTTAGCCAGTGGGGCAGCTAGGGAAGTTCTCCTCTTTTATGATTCCTCTTTCCTTGCCGTATCAGCCACTACTTTGACAAAACCTGTCTTCGCCAAGGCAGCCTTCAGCTTCAGCGGTGAATGCAGGCCATGGGTCTACCTCCTGAGCACCTCTCCAGGAGTCACAGAAACAGTGCTAGAAAGGAAGGAGGGGATTTCCCACTCATTGGGAGGGTCAACTTGATAAAACAGATAAGAGAACAATTGAAAGGAGCAATAGGTGGCATGTAGTGAAGGAGTATACGTTGGGAGAAAGAAATGGTAAGAAACAAATATGCACCAATTGCTATGGTAAATTTTACCATCTTTTCCACAGTCTTAGATTAATGCACTGTCTTACAGCCCTTGTATTACAACATAACACCACAGTTTTTTACTCCTGGAAACACTGTCCCTACATTAGGAAAAACAATTTTAGAAGGTGAAACCTTGAGTGTACACCATGTGGCTTTAAATATTCTCCCTAATTATGGAAACAACTTAGCTTTCAAATGGCTCAGCACTTTTATTTCTCCCTAAATTCAATTCTTATCTAACGGGGTCACCACTGCTATCTAAGTAGGTGCTTTGCCTTGTGCTATAGTAAGTAAATTATCACCTTTAGAAAACATGCCCCAAGGAAGGCTAGAGAAAGTGCAGACACCCCCGCCAACGACTATGCAGCCCGCCCAGCCAGGGCTCCGTCCTCTCCAGGCCCAGAGGCTGGATGCTTTCTATGTCAGTGAAAATAAATCTGCTTTGTGCCAAATTCTGAAGACAGCTGGTGATTACTAACCTTTAGTATCAGGCAACTGTTCATAAACCTGAGATTGTCCCATCTTTCAATTCTTATCAGCAGACCTATGATCAGCTAGTAAAAAGTTTTCCTTTAGAATTTAACTTTCAGGCATTAAGTAAATAATTGTTTGCTTTTTCCCTATGAAGGAAGAGGAGCAAAATGGAAAGAAGGTAGAATATTGTCAATTAACAATCCATCCTATTAATAATCAGGAAATAAGTGGTTTATAATATTCATCATCGCCATTATCAAAATAATAGTCATTTATAATAGTTCTTTGTATCACAAGGCAATTTTACATATATCGCATTAGTTGAGCATCCCAATACCGCCAGAGGTAAGACAAATATTGTTATCTCCAACAGGTATATAGAATATTCTAGCTGAATCGGTTGAAGCTCTGTGGCTCACCATTCAGAAGTTAAGTTTCCAGTTTCTCCAAAACAATTTTCTAAGTATCAATGAGTAAGGAATATAAAAGATGAAAATGAGTCTGGTCTTTCTTAATTTCAGCACTTTCTCTCGCCAAAGCAGTTGATAAATCATTCATGAGGCACACTTCTCCACTCCTTACTGCCTGGGCCTGGGGAGTGGTACAGAAAAGAAAGCAGTTCTAAAAGTAACCTGCAGAGATGACTTGCCTAGCTGCTCCTGCACCTACAAAACGGTCTCAAACTGCAAAATCCTCATCAACAAAGAAAGAGATAGAGTGAAGGAAATAAGACAGCACATGCAGCTAGAGGCCAAGTCAACAAAGTAAAACTCTGGCAGTTTTTCAGTACTATTAGTCTATGCTCTGACTTTCTCCACTGAAAGTGGATAAACCTGTGCCAATCAACACAGAGGATTACTGATAAATATGCTGGCAACAGAGATAATGCTTTACAATTGTGGGATAAAATGACTCCCTATTAGGAGATCAAGTAGAATTAAGGGAAACATAATCCAGCATTGGTTTTTAAACACAAGAAGGGCATTCTTGAGGAACAGGGAGGAAGCAGATTCTGTGGGGCTCTAAAGGGAGGGCCAGGGACCAGCTGGGAGAAAATACAGGCAAGGAAGATATTCCAAACCCTCCTTTTTCAACTTCCTAGGAGTCAGATTATTGGGGAGCTGCTGGAAAGATAATACAAGATTTTTTTCATACTCAAACTCATCAAACTAATAAAAAAATCAGCATTGCAGTAACACTGTGAGGCTGGTGAAGGGTTAGCAAAGTTCTCAGAAGCAACAGTATCTCTGCATATGCAGACAAATATACAGGTAGAAGGTGCACTAATCAGGGAGATCCCATTCCCAGGCAGGACCAAAAGCATTCCCAATATGCAAGAGGACTTATGGCATGACAGAGAAGCTCTTTTTAAACATAATCATAAAACTGTACTGGGAAAGATAATTAAAGATATGAATAAAGGGAATGTGAAACCTCATTCAACTTGGGAGGACAATACATATTAAAGATAACAATATGTTACGTTAACAGAGAAACAAAGAGTGAATTAAGGGCCAGGCTCAGTGGCTCATGCCTGGAATCCCAGCACTTTGAGAGGCCAAGGCAGGAGGATCACTTGAGGCCAGGAGTTTGGGATCAGCCTGGCCAACATAGTGAGATGCTATTTCTATATTTAAAAAAAAAAATTAGAAGAATGAATTAAAACTCAACAGAATGCTTTAAAATACTTAATGAAATTTATTTGAAAACATAAACCAGCAAAAATATAAAAGGATATTTGGGAAATGAGAATAAAAGGTAATGATAAATTTAATACTTATTAGAACAAAAAATTATTAGATCAAAAAAATCTTCTAAAATGTAAAACCCCAAATGACTTTTTATTCGGACTTATTCTACAACAAACTAGGAATAATAAAACTACAGGATGAGAATTACTACTTAACAAATGCTGTCATGACAACTGTATACTACCACTAGAAAGAAAATTTACTTGGATGCTCAAAAGACAAACAAAAAATTAATGTGAATAGTAAAGAAAAAAGAGGGAGAAGGAGGGAAATACAATATTAGTTTCAAACACAGGAACAAAATTATTTTGGATCAATTAAGGAATTAGATATTATCAAAGGCAAGATAAATAAACACAAAAAAATAGTCAAGTTCCACAGAGTAAAAAGTAGCATTCTCCAAATAGCATTTATTTAACACCTGTCATGAAGGACTGAAAGCGCTAAATGTTAGGAATACAGAGATGAATAAAGCAGGTTTGACAGAACTTCTACCAGCCTGGCAGACTAACATATGGAGCCACCTTTCAACAAACACATGGCCAGGCAGAATAAAATACAAGCACACCTCGAAACACACACTACCTTGATTCAAGTGAGTTCTACAACATGTCTTATTTAATCTACTGTAGTCTCTTTTTCTGTCATGTATTCTATGTACTAGAGAAAAGTTTGACCCATAATGGGTGACAAAAGATGTACAAGTAATATTTCCAGATCTATCAAAACCAGAGAAAGAGCATCACAATGAATATTAAAATGTAAGTTTTAATGTGGCTCAAAGTGTGTATTTTCATGGGAAATAGTCAAGAAGCAAACAGTAAATATCAGCTGATATAAGAGGCAGAATTCCAAAATGGCCCCACAATTCTGACACCGTGTTAGTCCCATGATTACATTATAGTAGATAGCAAAAGGGATTTTGCAGATATAATTAAGGTTACTAAACAGTTGGCTTAAAGATAGGGAGATTGTCCAAATAGTCCTAACCGGTCATATGAGCTGTAAACCAAAAGGTATCTAATACAGGTCTCAATCAATTTAAAAGTTTATTTTGCCAAGGTTAAGGATATGCCTGGAAGAAAAAAGAACAAAATCACAGAAATAGTCTGTGGTCTGTGCCTTTCTCCGAAGATGATTTTGAGAGCTTCAATATTTAAAGGGGAAAACCTGGCTAGAGGGGAAAGAGGGAGGATATGGTAATCCACATGTTCCAAGGGAAAAGAAACATGTAAGGGAACAGTCAATTATGTATTTCTCTCAAGCTCTGCAAATCAGCACTTTACATAAGATAAGGTGAGCTTAGAGCAGCTACCTGTGGAGCTATTTAATTTTTTATCTGTAGCTATCTGCTTAGGAACAAAAGGAAAGGCAGTTTATTTTCTTTCTTTCTTTTTTTTTTTTTTGAAATGGAGTTTCACTATTGTTGCCCAGGCTAGAGTTCAATGGTGTGATCTTAGCTCACTGCAACCTCCACCTCCTGGGTTCACCTCCACCTCCGCCTCAGCCTCCTGAGTAGCTGGGATTAGAGGTGCACGCCACCACACCCAACTAATTTTTGTATTTTTAGTAGAGATGGGGTTTCACCATGTTGGAAGGCTGGTCTCAAGCTCCTGACCTCAGGTGACCCAATCGCCTTGGCCTCCCAAAGTGCTGGGATTACAGACATGAGCCACCACACCTGGCCAGGAAAGGCAGTTTCTTGTAGGACTCAGCTTTTGGCTTAATTTTTTTTTTATTTCAGCATAGTGAATTTCTGTCCTCAGTTTTTGTTTTCCTTTCAGAGAATGCTTTAAAAGCAGAGTGTTTTCTCCAGTTGATAATACAAGGAGAAGTCAGAGAGAAGATATTCAATATGAGAGAAATCTTCCATTCCTGGCTTTGAAGATGGAGGGGTCCATGTGGAAAGAACCCAAAAGCAGCTTACAGGAGCTGAGAGTAACCCTCAGTGGATATTCAGCAATAAATGGGGACATCAGTCCTACAACCCCAAGGAACTGGATTCTGCCAACAACCAAAATGAGCTTGGACACAGATTCCTCCCCAGAGCCTCCAGAGGAGACTGCTTTCAACTGAAAACTTGATTTGGCTCTAGTGAGACACAAATAAATGCTAATAAATGGGTGTTTTAAGCAACTAAGTTTGTGGCAAGTTGTTCCGTAGCAATAGCAAACTAATGCAACAGGCAAGTGGGTAGGCATCTTCTGACATTATGAAATATTATGAAAGAATAACAAACACCACTGCAGCCTAGAACGACTAATGAATCACGTAAATAAGGGCTAAAAGAAACCAGAGGCATGTCAATGAGAGACTAAAAACAAAGGGAAGAAAGATTGCCAAGATATGCCTCTTTATGGGGACTTTGCTTTAACAACCTGTGGAGTATTAATTTACAGCTTCCATTTCCAGGATAAATGGAACATATATACATGCAACCACAAAACACTTTGAATACATACCTACGCCCCAAAGAAAGGGAATCTCTAGGTGTCAGAGATCCAAGAAAAACCAAAGCCAAAACAGGTATCAACAGATGACATTGTGGGTTTCCCACAGGATTTTAGGATCTGAACATAGGCCCTAGCAGCAAGCACTGGGCATTCAATGACCACTTTGGAACGGGATATACAAGGGGTCTTCACAAAGTTCATGGAAAATGCAAATTATGAAAAAACTATGAAGAGATTTCAATTTTTTTGCACCAAAATAAACTTGTACTAGCTTGTTATAACTTGTTTGAACAGGATCTAGTTTGAGGCACTAAGAAGAATAAGACATCACTTTTAAAACAGCTCCTATTAGAGCAACATGAATTCTGTGAAAACTGAAGGAAGAACAAACATCAAATTTATGATGAAGCTTGAGTAGAAGAATAGTAAAATCACTGATACTTTACAAAAAAACTGTATGAGGACAATGACCCAAAGAAATCAACAGTTTACAAATGAATAACTCATTTTAAAAATGGATGAGATGATATTGAAGAAGCAGCCCACAGCAGCAGATCATCCACATCAATCTGCAAGGGAAAAGTTCATCTTGTTTATGCTCTTATTTATTTTCCTTTTTTAAAAATTTTTTTTCTTTTTTTTTTCTCAGAGATTATTGTTCTGATCATGCCCTAGTTGAAGAGAACAGATAATAAACAGCAGAAAAAATAGCTGACACCATACATTTCAACTGGTCCAGCTTATACATTTCTAACAGAAAAATTAAAGTTGAGCAAACTATCTACTCCATGGGTACCAAAACCAGAGTGCCCAGATAAGCTGCAGACAAAAGCAGAGCTTTCAATGGAAATTTTAAACAAGTAGGATCAACTTCCTGAAGCATTTCTTCAAAGCTTTGTAACAGAAGATGAAACATGGTTTTACCAGTATGGTCCTGAAGATGAAGCACAATCAAAGCAATGGCTACCAAGAGGTGGCAGTGGTCCAGTCAAAGCAAAAGCAGAGTGGTCAAAAGCAAAGGTCATGGCAACAGTTTTTTGAGATGCTCAAGGCACTTTTCCTATTGACTTTCTGGAGGACCAAAGATAACATCTGCTTATTATGAGAGTGTTTTGAGAAAGTTAGCCAAAGCTTTAGCAGAAAAATGCCTGGAAAAGCTTCACCCGAGAGCTCTGCTCATTCCTCTCAAAAAACAAGGGCGACTTTTCAAGAGTTTCAATGGTAAGTCATTAGGCATCCACCTTACAGTCCTGATGTAGATCCCTCTGTCTTCTTTTTGTTTTAGTCTTAAGTAATCTTTAAAGGGCACTCATTTTTCTTTAGTAATGTAAAAACAACTGCATTGATGTAGTAAATTTCTAGGACCCTCAGTTCTTTGGGGATGGACTAAGTGGCTGTTATCATCAGTTACAAAAGTGTCTTGAACTTAATGGAGCTTATGTTGAGAAATAAAGTTTATATTCGTAATGTTTTTTATTTCCATTTTTCTATGAACTTTCTGAAGTGCCCTCTTATGGCCTTAGGACACAGGGGCAGAAGAGTGGGACTGAGTTCAACTGATGAAGGTAAGAGCCTTGAAGAATTGGTCCAAGAAGGATCCCGCCTATCAGCTAAGAAAGGAAGGATGTTTGCCATTTATGCAGATCCTTCAGTTAAAAAAAAAAAAAATCTCTCAAGGGAAATCAGAACCCCAGGTCTGCTTGGTAGAATCCAAAGTCTACCTTCATAATGTGGGAGCACAGCTGAAGAAACTAATGAAAAAACTGGCTGAGCCCTAGGTAGAAGCATTGCAAAATCTGTCTAGAGGGATACTTCCCAACACAGAGCACATAGAACTCCACCAGAAAAGCAACTCCCACTGAAGACAAGTCACCTTTAAAATATGTAATACATACTAGGGAGCAAACCAATATAAAGGAGAGGTGGCAGATGAAACAAACAGAAGCAAGAACTGAAAGTAAAAGAGTATCAAAGAGACAGTAAAAAATAAGTATGTTTGAAGTGGTAAAAGAAATTAAAGTAGGGAGAGGAGACAAAAATCATAATAAAATAACAAGATAGTAAGATTTTTTAAGGGTATAGTTTAAAATACCTATATCAAAAGTTGTGTGATTAGAAATAAAGCTATTGAATTTTAAAATCCAGTGAACTCAAATGGGAGCAATATCTGTGGAAATAACCCAAAATGCAATTCAAGGAAATAAAAAATTGGAAAATGCAAACAAATAAGAGTTGTAAAGTAATAAATGGTCCAACAGACATCTCCTGATGGCTTCAAAAGGAAATAATAAAAAGAATTAGAAAGAGGCAGCCGGGCGTGGTGGCTCCAGCCTGTAATCCCAGCACTTTGGGAGGCTGAGGTGGGCAGATCACAAGGTCAGGAGATCGAGACCATCCTGGCTAACATGGTGAAAACCTGTCTCTACTAAAAATACAAAAAATTAACCAGGCGTGGTAGCGGGTGCCTGTAGTCCCAGCTACTCGGGAGGCTGAGACAGGAGAATGGTGTGAACCTGGGAGGCGGAGCTTGCAGTGAGCTGAGATTGCGCCACGGCACTCCAGCCTGGGCAACAGTGCCAGACTCCGTCTCAAAAAAAAAAAAAAGAATTAGAAAGAGGCAAGATGTGAAGGGATCAGTTGTAAGATGAATACATACTAGGGATCTAAGGTACAGCATGGTAATTATAGTTAACAATCCTGTATTGTATACTTGAAATTTGTTAAGAGAGTAGATCTTAAATATTCCTATCAAACACAAACAAACAAAGAAACAGTCAATAAATAAATAAATGAGGTGATGGATAGGTTCATTACCTGGTTTGTGGTAGTCATTTCACAATGTACACAAATATCAAAACATCACATCTTTCCTGGTAAATACAGCCAATTTTTATTTGTCAATTATACCTTCGTAAAGCTAGAGGGAAAAAATATGTAAAGAGATAATGGCAAACAATTTTCTAGAATTGATGAAAGAAAAAAAAATCCTTATATCCAGAGAGTACAAGAAGTTCTGAGCCGGATTAAAGTAAATCTATTCCTATGTTCACTGAAATCAAACTGTAGAACAACAAAGACAAAGAGTAGATCCTATAAGGAGCCAGAGACGAAAGACAGATAATCTTAAAAGGAACAATCATCAGACTGACAGCAATATTTTCATTGGTAAGAATAGATGCTAGGAAATAATGGAAATAAAATCTAGAAAGTATAGAGGAACAAAAACTGCCAATCTAGAACTTTATACTCACTGTTAGCACTCAAGAGTAATAATAAAATAAAGGTTCTTTTAAGATAAAGACTGAGTTTACTATGCATATATTCTTACTAAAAGAGTTACTATATGACATTTGGGGCTGGATGAAACTTTTAAAAAAAGAGTTATTATAAGAAAAGCTGGCTGGACGCGGTGGCTCACGCCTGTAATCCTAACACTTTGGGAGGCCAAGGCGGGCAGATCACGAGGTCAGGAGTTTCAAACCAGCCTGGCCAACATAGTGAAACCCCATTTCTACTAAAAATACAAAAATTAGCCAGGTGTGGTGGCACGTGCCTATAGTCCCAGCTACTCGGGAGGCTGAGGCAGGAGAATCGCTTAAACCTGGGAGGCGGAGTTGCAGTGAGCCGAGACCACACCATTTCACTCCAGTCTGGGTGACAGAGTGAGACTCCATCTTAAAAAAAAAAAAAAAAGTGCTGAACAGCAAGGATGAAAGAAGCATTGGTAAGTAAGAAACTGGCTAGCATGTTGGTAAATAATAATAAAATATTATTCAAACTAAAATGTCAAATAATAATGAAGTGAAAGATGACAGAGAGGGAAACTGACATTAAAGTATAGTAAGGTCATATACTTTTAGAGAACAAAAACATTTATTTAGATTTTTGTGAGGAGAAAGGCTGCAATTTTTTTTTATTGATACATAATAGTTGTATATATTTTGAGGGTATTTTGGTACATGCATACAATGTGTAATGTTACTAACTTTCAATTTTTTAAAGTAAATATGCATGTTAAAAATAAAACAGTCCCTTCTCTATAGAGGCTTCTACTATCCAGGAACAGGATAAGTGATGTTAAAAGGCATGCACAGTGAGCAAGAATGCCATCAGGGAAATAGAGATGAGATGAGGGCATTAGGGAAGCCTTCAACAACATGATGTTTAAGCTCTATCCTTAGAAATTAGCCATTTGTTGAAAAAATGCAATCCAGTCTGTGGGGACTGACTGTACATAAAAGGCATGGACTCTTGGAAGAGTTGGCATATTTTGAGTGGTTCCATATGGGTGTAATGTAGAATAGGTGTGGGTTATGATGAGATAAGAAGATGAAAAAAGGTAGACCAAGAAGAAATGTTAAAGAACTATATAGGTGACATTAAGAGATCTGCGCTTTATTTAGTAGGTGGTGGGGGCATATCGAAGATATTTTTTAAATTTTTTCATTGTGGTAAAATATATATAACATAACATTTACCATTTTAACCATTTTTATTTTTTGAGACAGGGTCTTGTTCTGTTGCCCAGGCTGGAATGCAGTGGTGCAATCATGGTTCACTGCAGCCTCAACCTCCTGGGCTCAAATGATCCTCCCACCTCAGCCTCCCGAATAGCTGGGATGACAGGCACATACCACCAAGCCCAGCTAATTTTTGTATTTTTTTGTGGAGACGAGGTTTCACCATGTTGCCCAGGCTGATCTCAACCTCCTGGGCTCAAGTCATCTGCCCGCCTCAGCCTCCCAAACCGCCGCAATTACAGGCATGAGACACTGCACCTGGCCCATTTTAACCATTTTTAAATATACAATTTAGCAGCAACCATCATCACTATCTATCTCCACAACTTTTTCATCATCTCAAACTGAAACTTTGTACCCATTAAACAATAACACCCCATTCCCACCTACTCCCAGTTCCTGGTAACCCTTATTCTTGTTTCTACGAATTTGACTACACTGAATAGTTCATGTAAGTAGGATCATACAATGTTGTTTGTGTCCAGCTTATTTCACTTAGCGTAATGCCTTCAAGGTTCATCCATGTTGCAGCATGTATCAAAATTTCCTTCCTTTTTAAGGCTGAGTAACATTCTATTGTGTATATTTAACATATTTTGTTTATCCACATATCCATCAATGGACATAACATTTAAAATTTATAACCAGGGGAGTAATGTGTTCATGTAACTGCTTTAGAAAGGTAACCCTAGAAGGAGATTAAAGGATACCACTTGCGAACCAAAAGATGAACCTGTTTCCAGAAAGTGCAAATGGTCAAACAGGTGGAAGAAGTCTAGTAAAATGAAGTCAGAAATGTCTCTAAGTTTGGGAAAAGCAGTTGTAGTATAGTAGGGGATAGGAAACATTGAAGACTAGTTAACCTAGTTAGCATGCTCAGAAACACATATCTGCATGGGAAGACCTTTCCTATACTACAATAAATTTTGAACATTTGGCACCTATGTTTAAGACAAAGAGGTTGAAGACACCAAATTAACAAAATATTTTAGCCTCTTAAGCAATACAAATATACTGAGAGAGATGGTAAAAACAGTTTTCTTGAAAATGAGACATCTTAGGCCTTGTATGGTGGCTGATGACTGTAATCCCAGCACTTTGGGAGGCGGAGGTGAGCAGGTCACTTGCGCCCAGGAGTTCAAAACCAGTCGGGGCAACATGGCAAGATCTTGTCTCTATAAAAACTATAACAATTAGTTGGGCTTGGTGGTATGCGCCTGTAGTCTCAGTTACTCAGGAGGCTGAGGTGGGAGGAGGCAGAGGCTGCAGTGAGCCAAGATCGTGGCACTGTACTTCAGCCTGGGTGACAGAGCAAGACCGTGTCAGAAAGAGAAGGGGAGGGGAGGGGAGAGAAAGGAAGGGGAGGGGAGGGGAGGGGAGGAAGGAGAGAGAGAAAGAAGAAAGGAAGGGAAGGGAAGGGAAAGAAGGAAGGAAGGAGTAGGGAGGGGAAGGGGAGGGAAGGAGGGAGGGAGGGAGGGAAGTAAGGGAAAGAAAGAAAGAGAGAAAGAAAGAGAAAGAAGGAAAGGAAGGAAGGAAAGAAAGAGAAAGAAAAAAAGAAAAGAAAGAAAGGGAAGGAAGGAAGGAGAGAGAGAAAGAAAGAAAGAAGAAAAGAAAAGAAAGACATTTTAAAGGGTTATTTTGAAAAAATTTTGAAGGTAACTCTGTTACAATGATTACAAGACAGTGCAGCTACACATCATGTACTTCATCTTAATGATGAAAACAAAAGATGGTAAGGTATGCTGACATAATCACAATCTTAGAATAACAGAACAGGATTGTGATCCTGGGAAGGGACAGCCCATACTTCCCCATCATCACATGAATAAACATCCTATCAACTGTAATGCTTAAAATGTATGGGTGTTATGGGTGGCAACGCTGGAGTTAATTTACCCTCCATGCTTATATTCTGATGCTTAATAGCATGGAATGACCCCAACTTTGAAAATTCATTTTTAGGCCTGAATTATCCTCTTATTCAAGCTACATTGCTTAAATTAAATAGATGCTTACTATAATCCTTTGCTGCATTTTTTTTTTTTTTGAATTAGAGTCTTGCTCTGTGGCCCAGGCTGGAGTGCAGTGAGGCAATCTGGGCTCACCGCAACCTCCGCCTCCCGGAGTTCAAGTGATTCGCCTGCCTCAGCTGGGATTACAGGCGCCCACCACTATGCCTGGCTAATTTTTGTATTTTTAGTAGAGATGGGGTTTCACCATGTTGGCCAGGCTGGTCTCGAACTCCTGACCTCAGGTGATCCGTCCATTTCGGACTCCCAAAGTGCTGGGATTATAGGCATGAGCCACCGCGTTCCCAGCCTCCTTTGCTTTTTTGAACTTAAGGAAAAGAATGACCAGCAAGTTGGCAGGCAGGATAATTCTACAATATTATTTAGAAGGAAAAATAACTAAAACTTGAACACTATTATCTTTACCTACTGGTGTCATTTAAGCAGCTCTACTTTAAAACTTAAACACCTACTGTTAAAAGACCCTGCAAAATGATGATGCCAGATGTTACTCTGGCTCAACCATTTTTATTGTTTAATACAAATAAATGAGAAAATATTTTCTTATTATTGAATTCACATGAATAGTGTCTAAAGGTACAGATTTTTAAAGACAAATAGAAAAATAACCTACACTATTCGGGTAATGGGTACACTAAAAGCCCAGACTTTGACACTACACAATATATCCACATAACAAAACTGCACTTGTACACTCTAAATCTATAAAAAAAATTTTAAAAACAAATAGAAAAATAACCTACCAATTATTCTAGGCCTACTAAAGCAAAGCTCCTTCCTTGGGGGTATTAAGCTACCAGAATATTAAATTGACATGATTTTATGATTTTGATTATTATATTTATTATTGTTGCTGTTATAAAGGTGCTGCAAGGAAAAATTTATGCATTTTATGATGATTTGATATCATAAATCAGAACAAGCTTTGGACATGTCAAAATAAATCTATTTTTTAGTACCAAATTATTTTTAAGGTATGAAAAATATTTCCTGAAAAAGAACACATCTCAAAAATAACAACACTTATTGAAGCGTTACTATTAAAACATGCCAGGCAATGAGCAAAGATCTCTTAAACATATTATTGTATTTAATTCTTACAGGAATTTCGTTAAGTAGGTCCCATTGTTATCTCTATTTTACAGGTGAGGAAACTGAGCCTTAGAGGGTTTAGAGAATTTGCCAAATGTGAGACAGCCACTAAGTGGCAGAGCCACGCCCAAACCCACACCCTCTGACCTGGCAATCTGCAGCACTCCGTTCCAGAAACGGGCATACCTGGCTCTACATACAGCAGTGCCTCAATAACATAGTTTCATTCAACGTTGGTGACAAAAAAATTCCTGGCCAGGGCCACTGTCTATGTGGAGTCTGCTCATTCTCCTCATGTCTGCGTGGGTTTTCTCTGGGCTTCGGTTTCCTTCACATCCCAAAGCTGTGCATATGTCTACATGGTCCCCGTCTGAGTGAGTGGGTGTGTCTGTGAAAGTGCACCCTGTGATGGGATAGCTTCCTGGACAGGGGAGAGGGGGGGGTTCCCACTCTGAACCAGGGAGACTCTGGCTACCCATGACCTTGAACTGTAATAATTGGGTAAATAATGATCTTGTTTTTACTAATCCTTCTTAACTGTATGTATAGATCCCATTTATTTCTATGTTTAATATTAGAAGTGTTGTGGTCTTTATTTAGAAGTTTGGTGATTTTTTTATGACCAGAAATATGCTGTAGGAACTTAACTCTTGTTTATATCAATTAGCCTGTGGTAAAATTGGTTTCCTTATACCTCGTTGTGCTTAAAGGTTCACAGTTTCCAAGAACGTATCAAGAATGTTAAGTGAGGACTTACTGTATTTATTTAAAGAGAATGCTTCCTATCTATTGGCTAGGGAAAAAAAAAAAGTCAAGAAAATTTAACAGCAACTCTATTCTTTTACATTCATACATTACCAAAGCTCTCTTTTGGCTATTTTTAATTCATAAAGATTTTGGCTGAATTATTTTCATTATTTCGAAACAAAAATTAAGTTCTTGCCTCGGCATTTTGCATTACAAATGCAAATGCATTACAAATGGTTAATACAAATAAATCAGAGTACTTAGGTAATATGTTTACATTTCCCTTTTTCAAATTACAGAGGAATTCACCTTTCTCTGTGACTCCTACGTCTATAACTGAACTGACACCTCCAGTTTTCCTCATCTGAATTAAAAATAATACTAAAAAAAGCACAAAATAAAAGTTTAGATTTGGCATAACTTTAGTAGTCTCTACAATTGTGGTCTTCTTATAATAAATTGAAGCATTTGGAAAGTGAGCATGTATTTCAGGAATAAAGAAATAAATACCAACATTTACTTCCAAAATTCTTGTGTGTGGGGGGGAACATTGTCTACAATTTATTTTTTCTGTTACTATCAAAAACATCATTCAACTTTTCAATTCAAGCAGTGGAAAAAATACTAACATTTCACCGACAAACAAAAATGTTTTGATGAACAAACCAGCAATAAAAGTGCACATGAGTATGTATATCATATTTTTCCTCCTTGTATTTAATTAACAAATGACCTTAAGATGATAACTCTCAAAATTTCAGGTTTATCCTCCCGATTAATTTGTGACATTCCTTGGAGGGAATTCAAAGGGAAGAAGAGAAAGATTTTAAGCTTCAGGTTATGGTAAGGAACAGAGACAAAATGCATTTAGCAAATAATAGGAAAGATCACATAAATAGTTCTGAATGAAGTTTAAAGAAAACGATTCCTTACTTCTAAAAAAATGCAATTCGTGAGGTTGGGAAAAGACACTCAAATTTCCCCGACTCCACCCTACTAGTCAACAATCAGTGCAGCAATCAAAAAATGCCCTTTCCTGAATGCCCAGAAGAATCTTAAGAAACTCACCTTCTGAACTCAGGGCGTCTCGATTCTACTTTTGTTGGGTATTGGCCTGCCTACTGGCTGCCCTCTTTCCTATTTCTCGGCCAGGCGCTCTGGGAAGTAGATACCGTACCTGTGGTCACTGCTGGCGACACTGAAGCTCGCCCCATGCGTTGCTGCTGGCCCTGAGCATCACTCGCCGTCCCACTTGTTCCTCCTCGTCGTCATCGCAGGTCTTACACACACACACACACACACACACACACACACACACACACACACACACGTTCACACCCTCGCGCGCGCACCTGCTGTTAAGAGGTACAGCCCCACCCCAGCAAAATCCTCGCTTCCTCTTCCCCGGGACGTAGCCCCAGAGGAGCGAATCTGGACCAAGCCCAAGACAGGCTGAAGCTACTGCTGCGCTCTCACCTCCGGCAGTGACAGCGAGCGCCGCCGCCGCTCTGCGCGGGGCCAGCCAGGCCCGCCGAGGGCAGCACAGGTGGAGCAAGGTTGCACCCCCGGGGGATCCCCGCCCACCGCCCGCGGCAGCTTCTGCAGGCTCGGGGAAAGCGCGCGCCAGTGATTCAGCGCCTTTCCGCCGCCGCGGTTACCACGGCGACGCGCGCGCACGCGCACACACGCCCTCAGGGATGTGGGGCGCGGCAGCCGCCCCTGCCCAGCTCCCCTGCTCAGCTCCCCTGCTCAGCTCCCCGGTTGCGCTCTAAGTACCCGCACCGGGGCGACACACTCCCACCCCGCAGGGGACCAAGCAAAAGTCTTTCGTGAACCTGAGCGGCCTTCATACCCTACCTGCTTTCCTTCACCAAGCCCTTCCCTGTCACCGTGGCCCTAAACAGTCTGGGGGATGAACACTCCTTCCAAATAAACACCCGGGCCAGGGTGGCTCAAGGGAGCCGTGGGTGCACTGCCTGGGTCAAACACCCTTCGCGAATGTGTCCCCCAGCTTGTCCCCAGCTTGTGTCACCCCAGCTACACAAGTTCCATTCTTCCAGTGGGAGTCTCTTTGGCCCCTACTCTGTAATTATCTTTCTATTTTGAGCAGGTGCTTTCTGACTGAGACTGGGAACCTGTGCTAGGAGGGGCTCCCATCACCTCCAGGCCTTGCAGGTTAACTGGATGCCCAGTATAGTTTGACATTTGCATCTTGAGGAACGTGATAATCTAAACCACAGAAAACTTGGGTGGAAGACTCTTGCATTTTTACTGTTTTAATAAAGATGCGAAAGCATCTAGGGATAATATCATGAGCAGAAAAGGTAGCCAGGGCATTCCTCGCACATCTCATTACTAGGAGGTATAAGTGCAGTGCTTAGGGCTGAGTCACACACTGTTGATGAATAAGCTTCTTGGCTACTCGTATTTACCGAAGAGCCTCAGACAAGTTACCTAATCTAGATAAACCTGTTTCCTCAATTATAAAATGAAGATAATAGCATTCATATAGGATGATTCTGGGAATCAAATAAGATAATGCACATTTAAAGAGTAAAAACCAGCTGGGTGCGGTGGCTCACGCCTGTAATCCTAGCACTTTGGCAGGCCGAGGCGGGCGGATCACGAGGTCAGGAGATCGAGACCATTCTGGCTAACACGGTGAAACCCCCGTCTCTACTAAAAATACAAAAAATTAACCGGGAGTGGTGGCCCGCGCCTGTAGTTCCAGCTACTTGAGAGGCTGAGGCAGGAGAATCGCTTGAATCCAGGAGGCGGAGGTTGCAGTGAGCCGAGATCGTGCCACTGCACTCCAGCCTGGGCGACAGAGCAAGACTCCGTCTCAAAATAAATAAATAAATAAATAAATAAATAAATAAATAAATAAATAAATAAATAAAAACTAAAGAGTAAAAACCTGTCCAGGACTCAAAGAGTGAAAATCAGCTTGGACTTGGAAAAGTTAGTACTGCCAATGATCAATGATCAGGCTGAGAGGACAAAGTCAGAAGCAAAATTAACAGGCAATGTTGTTTCCTCTGAAGTCACGCAGCAGGTACAAAACAACACAACTCCTTGTGTTCCATTTTTGAATGACTACTACTTTCTACCTTTGCTTTACTATTCCCATCCATAACTGGGGATACCCAATTGCTAAACTCCCTTCACCTCCTGACAGCACCCAATCCCTCATTAATCCCCCTTTCTCTCAATCTGCCTCAGAAACAGCAACCAACTGGATCCCAGCTCTGATTCCAAGACTCTCCCTGGAATCCTTTAATAGGAAGCCAAATCTTTACAAAAGACACTTCCTCCTTTCTGTGCTCACATGGCATTCCACAGGTACTCTTTCAATGCATCAAGCCAATGAATCTGATTTTGTCCCCAACGATCCTTGGCTGATTAGCCTTTAAAGAAACATATTTTTAGCACATACACACACACACAGGCTTAGCCCAGAATGTTTAACTATACCATCTTTTTAACTCAGAGACACTGTAATGAATATCTATTTTCATTTTTAATGAATATATCTATTTTGGTATTGTATGAAAATGTTAGTCTCCTTCTTTAGGACACAGATGTGAGGCTACTACCTTTCACTTCTTTTCAGCATTCAGTGGACATCCATTGAGCTCCTACTATATGCCAGACACTGCAAGAGGTAGTAAGGATAAAATGATGTATCCTTAGTATAATTAACTTTGTCTGCTCTTGCTTATGCTTTTGGTTGGGACATTTGTACAATAAAAGATAACTTATTTTGAGGGTGGGTAAAACTGAGGTTTAGGAAGGTTAAAGTACATTCCACATCAGTGGTAAAAATGGTGCTTAGCGTAATGACAGTGCTGCCTCATTGAAATACAAGACTTTAGGCCACGTACAGTGGCTCATGCCTATAATCCCAGCACTTTGTGGGCGAGGCAGGAGGATTGAGTGAGCCCCGGAGTTCGAGGCCAGCCTGGGCAACATAGCAAGATCCTCTCTGTACAAAAAACAAAAACAAATAAAAAGTAGCTGGGTGTGTGGTGCACACCTGTAATCCCAGCTACCCAAGAGTCTGAGGCTAGAGGATCACTTGTGCCCAGGAGGTTGAGACTGAAAAAAAAAAAAAAAAAAACCCAGAAGATTCTATGTTGGAATTTCACTAAGCAGGAAGGTAAGGCAAGCAAAGCTACTACACTGGAAAAACTTTGAAAAATTCCAAGTAAAAAACTCAAGATATAGCAAATTAGTAGGTTAATTCATTGATAACTATTGCTCATGAAAGCAGACTAAAAGTGGTTTTTTTTGAGACAGTCTTGCTCTGTCGCCCAGGCTGGAGTGCAGTGGCACGATCTCGGCTTACTGCAACCTCCGCCTCCCAGGGTCAAGTGATTCTCCTGCCTCAGCCTCCTGAGTAGCTTGGATTACAGGCACGTGTCACCACGCCTGGCTAATTTTTGTATTTTTAGTAGAGATGGGGTTTCACCATGTTGGCTAGACGAGTCTTGAACTTCTGACCTCAGGTGATCCACCTGCCTCGGCCTCCCAAAGTGCTGGGATTACAGGCATGAGCCACTGCACCCAGCCGATAATCCTTTATTTAATCTAGTATACTACACTGTATTTTTTTTTTAAGAATTTAGACTTTCACCCATCTATGTTTTGCAATGTGATCTGAAGTTCTAACTTAGCTCTTCTAAATGAAAGCAATTTATGCCAGAATAACCCTTTTCCCACAGAAATGTACTATTGTATTACCTCTATGATGTATGCTACTCTACTATTAACATCTATTCTCATTTTTTATTTTATTTTTGAGATGGAGTCTCACTCTGTTGCCCAGGCTGGAGTGCAGTGGCACGATCTTGGCTCACTGCAAGTTCTGCTTCCTGGGTTCGTGCCATTCTCCTGCCTCAGCCTCCTGAGTAGCTGGGACTACAAGCACTCGCCATCACGTCCGGCTAATTTTTTGTATTTTTAGTAGAGACAGGGTTTCACCGTGTTAGCCAGGATGGTCTCGATCTCCTGACCTCGTGATCCACCCGCCTCAGCCTCCCAAAGTGCTGGGATTACAGGTGTGAGCCACTGCACCCGGCCCTCATTTTTTATTTTTAATGATTAAAATTATGATTAACATTTAAACTTTTTCGTTGTCACTACAAAGGGAATATTATATATAAATATCTTTTTTTAGGTGTTTAAATTTTGGCACTCCTGATATAAATAAGATTCTATTACTTCTAATTATTCTCGCTGGCTTTTTTTCAGACAAAGGAAGCAGATATATTCTTGGTAATTCTTGGTGGAGTGAGAAGCAAATGGAAATCTGTTTTCTTCTACACAAAGAGGAAGAAGCAGCAGTAGAGCCAGAAGCAGGAAGCAGATAAAAAATTTAATCTCATCATGGACACAAAAACATACTAAAACAAACCATAAACAAATAAAATTCTTTATTTAAATTTCTCTTGTGGGGAAAATATTTTTCTTTAAAGCACACTTAAAAGTAATTTGCATTTACTTCCTGTAAAGCATTTCCATTTCACAATTAGCAAAACTAAAAGGCTATGTCTCTTCATGCATTTATTTTTGTTAGAAAAATGTCCCATGGTGCTATCAAACCGATTTTAACCATCATCAAGCTTAACTTTGCCTCTGTTGACAACATGACTACAAACATGAATCAAAAAGGAGTTAAGGAATTTTAAGCCATAAGGTTTCAATTATAGCTTACCAATTATGTAATTAGCTGACAAAAATCAAGTCTGATGTAGAATAGCTGTCATCTACTTAACTGCAGATAATCATGGCATTTTCATTTAAGATGATCTGAACTTATGAAATAAAGGATCCAGTCCCAAGAACTCAATAATCTCTTATGTTTTCTTTTGAAGACTTATTTCAAATATTAACTATTTCGGTGCCTGAATGGAAAAATATAAACATTAGCTCAGAGACAATGTGGTACCTGTTTGGAATCCAGCTGGCAGCTATAAGCACCGTTGAAAACTCTGACAGGCTTTGTGCCCTTTTTATTAAATGGCCTCACATCCTGAATGCAGGAATGTGTTCGTTTAAATAAACATTAATCTTTAATGTTGAATTCTGAAAACACAACCATAAATCATAGTTGGTTTTTCTGTGACAATGATCTAGTACATTATTTCCTCCACAGCAAACCTACCTTTCCAGAAGGTGGAAATTGTATTTGCAACAATCAGGGCAAAACCCACACTTGAAAAGCATTTTACAATATTATATCTAAGTTGCACAGAAGACCCCAGTGATCACTAGGAAATCTACCACAGTCCAGTTTTTCTAATCCAAGAAGGTCCAAACTTCGGGGAATAATGTGTCCCTCTTCTGCTGCTGCTCTGAAAAATATTCGATCAAAACGAAGTTTACAAGCAGCAGTTATTCCAAGATTAGAGTTCATTTGTGTATCCCATGTATACTGGCAATGTTTAGGTTTGCCCAAAAACTCCCAGACATCCACAATGTTGTTGGGTAAACCACCACATCTGGTAACCTGAAAAGAAGAAGAATACTCTCTAAGATACACATAGCCTTTTGCCCACTAACTTAAAAAAAAAAAAAAAAAGGTGTTTTTGCTATTACCGTGCAAGAAATTATTAATGCAGAAATGCAAAACAATGAGATACATTATAAAAAGTACTATGCTGCATAGTGGTATGTAATATAAAAATATCAAGACAGCCAGAGGGGTTTGGAATTTGCCCCTTCTCTTCTGCCATAAATAGGTTCCTAACTTTGGGTTTCAGATAAAACTTAGAAGGCTGAATATACATGGCCTGTTACTGCTGTTATCTGTTTTCAAAAACTGAACTCAAGTGAAAAGAAGGCAGAACTGCCACTCTACTTTAGTCTACAACTTCAGAAGTATAGCATTCATATGATCCAAAAATTTCAACTGCCTTCAGTTTTATTTGAAGTTTATTAATAATATTAATTCTGTTTGCTCATTCACACTCCAGGATTTAAAAAAATTGTTTGCGGTAAAATATACACAATACAAGATTTATCATTTTAACAATTTTTTTTTTTTTTGAGGTGGGAGTCTCACTCTGTTGCCCAGGATGGAGTGGTGCAATCTCGGTTCACTGCAACTTCCACCTCCCAGGTTCAAGCAATTCTAGTGCCTCAGCCTTCTGCATAGCTGGGATCACAGGCATGTGCCACAATGCCCGGCTAATTTCTGTATTTTTAGTAGAGATGGGGTTTCACCGTGCCGGCCAGGCTGGTCTCGAACTCCTGGCCTCAAGTGATCTGCCCACCTCGGCCTCCCAAAGTGCTGGGATTACAGGCATGAGCCACTGTGCCCAGCCATTTTAACAATTTTTAAGTGTACAGTGATGTAGCATTAAGTATATTCACATAGTTGTGCAACCATGACTACCATCCATCTCCAGAACCTTTTAATCTTCCCCAACTGAAACTCTGTACCCATTAAACACCAATTCACCATTCCCTTATACCCCCAGTCCCTGGCAAACACCATTCTACTTTCTGTCTCTATGAATTTGACCAGTTTAGGAAATTCATAAGAGGAATCATATAGTATCTTTTCCTTTTTGGATTGGCTTCATTCACTCAGCATAATGTCTTTAAGATTCGCCCATATTGTAGCATGTGTCAAAGTTTCTTCATTTTAAGGGTGAATAATATTCCACTGTATACATATAGCACATTTTGTTTATTCATCTGTCAGTGATATTTGGGCTGCTTCCACCTTTTAGCTACTGTGAATAACACAGCTGTGAACATCCATGGGTAGACAAAATACATTCAAATCCCTGCTTTCACTTCTTTTGGGTATTTACACCTAGAAGTGTAATTGATGCATCACATTAGTAATTCCATGTTTAATTTTTTAAGGTCCTGAAAAATCCCACTGTGTCTCAACTGAGCTATAGGCAGGGAGAAAGAGACTTTGTTTCAGACCTGGAGATCTGGACATGGTGGTGGCAGGAAAAGTGGGTAAAAAAGGCTAATAAAAGCCAAAAAAGAAAAAAGAAAAGGAAACCTCAGAAAAAAAGAGAGTCAGGAACAATTATCACGGTCCAATCTTTCCATTGTTCTCATATTGCACCTAGGAATACTGCAAAGAAACAACCTTTTCTAAACTCTTCTACAATCATTTTCTCTACCTTTCTTTCTAATCCTATATATATATATATACACACACACATATAGTTTAGTGTTGTCTATTTCTCATGCACATTTTTATTTTCCTCCAAAAAGAGCCCCTTCTTCCCCTAGGCATACAGCATAGGCTAAACAAATATTCGCTGAATTGCAAGGTCACTTAAGACATTTTGAGTGACTAAAGGTCCTAGTTTTAACAGCTTTGGTCAAAGGAACCTAAATTAGTCTCCATAGCAATAATCTGTCCTCAAACATCAAACTGACTTTGTCACTCACCTCTCGATCCCTTAGATTTGTATCTCCTGCAAATATAACTGTAGCTGACTCTGGAGCCTCTTGCATTTTCTTTAAAACCATTTTTAACTGATTCATTCGTTCCGCAGCATGCCCTCTGGTGCTCTCCAAATGGGATGTCATAAGGCAAAGCTCATTTCCTGACACGTTCACCTGCAGCAGGACAAACAGTCATTAAAACTGTCCACTGACTATTAATACTGAACTTTAATAATAAAATCAGCAGATTGTTCTGTCAAATGGTATATATTTACTAAACTGAAACTGTAAAATCAGCACTATGCCTATCCCTCCGGATCAAAAGAAGTATTAAAGCAGTAACCCTGTCCCCAAAGACGACGGTTTAGCAAGCACGACCTACCCCCAGATGTCACCTCCACTGTGAACCTTTCCCCAGTGTCCCCAGGCCATCAGCGGCTCCCTCCTCAATACACCAAAGGCATGCTGAACAGACTGTTTCAAAGCCCCCTAGGCTAAATTAAAAGGACAATTATTTCCCTCCTACAAAGCCATAAGTCATTTGCAAAGCAGAGATGATTCTTATTTATTGCTGTATTATTAAGGGCCTGGCATACAGGTATTCCAAAAAAGTCAGTTAACTGAATGAATGAGAATCATTTACCATTTGCAATTAAGACACCAACAATGTACAATCTATCATTATACTAAGTGTCTGCAGAATCAAGTCTAATTCTTTCATATTGGTCATTCATGCTCTTCTATAATCAGGAGCCTACCTACTTCTCAACCTGTCACATTTGCCTCTCCATGGCCCCTACACTCAACTGAATAGAATGCTCATTCATACTCATACATGTACACCTCTTGCAACTTGCAAAAGTTTGCTCATGGTGGTTTCTCTACTTGGACTCTTTTTAATATGTATGTCTTACATATTTTTCAGGGTTCATTTCAAATACCATCTCCTCTATAAAACTCTCACTAAACAATCTGGCTAAAAGTCATCTCTCCTTTCTCTAAACTTCCACACATCATTTATACCTCTCCTGTGGCACTTATGCCTTTCTTATGTTTTAGTTACTATATACACACTCTCCCTTACTAATCTATATACTATATCAGAGCAAGATCTATTTTTCATTTTTGTAAGTCTCATAGAGTAAAATATAGCAGCATGTATAGAGTAGAAAGTAAAAACATTACTTTAGGAAGCAAATGTGGAATGTCAGCAAACTCAAATATTCTTAAGAAAACAATAGACTGAGAATTCTATCTGCATTTAAAATTTATGTAAAAAATTAATTTTAGAGAGTGTTAAAGACTATCTAAAAGAATCTACATGTGTGAAGCAAATTTTTCTCTAAAGGCAATGGTTTTAAAAAGAATAATAACACAAAACTATGAAAAAATCTTTTTTTTATAAAACACTCAATTTTTAAAAATTACTCACATGCACACATAAAAGGTTTCTCATCATTTTGGTACTTGGAAAAGGAATAATCTCTTGGCTTTTTAATTTCACTCTTGATTTCTTCAACATTATAGCTGTGAAATATCCTTCTTCATGACCTACAAATGTTTGTGGAAAAGAATTTAGGCTGAGAAGGTGAGAGTTATTTTCAGTTTACCACAAGTTTGCCTATTGAAGAATTTTATAGCAAACAGGTAACAGATATTTACATGGATCTAAATCTTTAAACTATTATTTCAAAATAGTTCATCATGGCCAAACAAGTCTACCTCCTCCCTCCCAAATTTTAGCTAGAAGCTTAGAAGAAATAAAATAAAATAAAAAAAGACCAGGCACAGTGGCTCATGCCTGTAATCCCAGCACTTTGGGAGGTCGAGGTGGGCGGATCACCTGAGGTCAGGAGTTTGAGACCAACCTGACCAAAATGGAGAAACCCTGCCTCTACAAAACACAAAATTAGTCGGGCGTGGTGGCACATGCCTGTAATCCCAGCTACTCGGGAGGCTGAATTAGGCAAATCACTTGAACCTGGGAGGCAGAGGTTGCGGTGAGCTGAGATCGTGCCATCGCACTCTAGCTTAGGCAACAATAGTGAAATTCCGTCTCAAAATAAATGAATAAATAAAAATGAAAAAAAATGTAAACAAGTGCCAAAAAATAATGCTGCCAATATCAGATGAGAAAATTTGAGAAATTTCTGAAAGACACAGAGTAGATGAGATGAACTGTGGCCAGCTGATAGCCACTTACTACTTCTCATACTAGAAGTTTCAGAAAAATTATAGTAAATGAATAAAAATCTAGAAAGATATAAACCTGCAAGAACAGAAAATAGGAGTAGAGGCCATGAATGAAAGCTTCCAACAGTTTTTCAGAAAACAGAAAACAGATGGAGAAGTGGTAACCGGTTTATCAGAAGAGAAGGAAACCACTTGAGTGACTGTAGCAGAGAACCATAGACAGGAAGCAAGCAGATTTGTTCCACCAAAATCTGGAAACACTTAGTGCTTGAACATAAAGGTACCACAAAAGGTAAGGTGCTGAGCTAAGAAGAGGAGGGCCAGTTCAAGGTCTGGATATGGGGTTAAACAACCCCCAGGTTTCCTCAACTCCTTAGAGCTAAGTGACTGTCCCTCTATTAACAGGAGACTACAGTTTTACATAGAACTAAATTTTAGAGGCTCCAGAGTCACCAGCCACAGGGAGGGGCATGCATGTTAGCCCACGGCTGATAGGTGAATAGGTTGAACACTGATTAAGTAAAGTGTGCCTACTCAGCTCCCTTCCCCTCACCTGCTTCCAGAAGGTAGGCAAAACAAGCACACCACCCCAGTCCCAACACCCAGAAGGCAGAAAGCTAAATAACTCTTTTTTGGAGAAACAAAATGGTCTCAGATTAAAGGCCTGTATATACCAACACACTGACAATTGTGGGTCTCCCTCAAATGAATAAGCAGTTTGCTCTACAATCAATCCCTCACCCCTGTCCAGTAAGGTAAACTACTTAGCCTTGCTCAGGCATACTAAACTGTAATCAACATTTTAGTGTTTGGTGTTTAAATGTGAACCAAAAGCCAAGGATCCCTACATATTTAAGGAACAGGTCTAACATGACATGATGGATACTGACATAACATAATCAAAATAAACAAAAAGAAGGAAATAAAAACAATGCAGGGAAAGAGATTAAAACCTAAAACAAACAAAAAACTAACAAAAAAGATACTGTATCCATAAACCAAGAAAAGTGTGCCATAAAAAAGATATTCAGTGAATAGGAGGCCTAGGAAATTAAAATAATGCTATCTAAAAGTCAAGATAGTTGCCAAGAAAGTAGAACAGTCAATAGAGATAGGAGAATAAGAGAAAGTTAAGAAAATTCAAGGATCAACCCAGGAGATCCACCGTTTAACAGAGGGAATTCAGAAAAATGGGAGAGTAAAAAAACTTAAGGGAGGAAAGAAGAGACAGGGAGAAAAGGAAAGAGAAATAACAAAGATAATGAAAGGAGAGGCGAGGGGAATGGTGGGAGGGAGGGAGAGGGAAAAGGATTTTCCAACTAAGGTTTTCCACATATTAAAATTCCACAGAATAAAAGTTCCCACCAAGCATTCAGTACAATAGATTTTAAAAAGACCCAAAGAACACGAGGGTTAAAAAGAAGACCCTCAAAGCTTCCAGAGAGTAGGGAAAAAGAAAAGAATAAAAATTAGAATGGCATCAGCCTTATCACCCATCATCAATAATGGAAACTAGAAGACATTGAAGAATGCCTTCAGAATTCTGAAGGAAAACATCTATTTACCCAGATACCTATCTTCAGCCAAACTATCAAGAACTACAAAGCTACGACACAGACATTTTCAAATATGCTGGGATTCAAAAACTTCACTATCCATGCACTATTTCCTAGAAATTAATTAGAGAAGGTGCTCCAATAAAATAAGGAAGTAAACCAAGAAGGAAGCATGGGAATCAGAAATCCTAAAAGAATCCCCAAGAGAATACAAAATAGTTCCATAAAGAGAGACACACACAGACTGAGAGAGAACCCTCTCCTTAGAAATTCTCGATTAAGGAGTCGATTGAAACTAAAAATCACATACTATATAAAAATGAAAGTCAAAGAAAGCACTATACAGTTGACACTTGAACAACACAAGTGAACTTCAAGGTCCACTTATACAGATATTTTTTCAGTAAATACGGTTGGTCCTCTGTATCTGCATCCACAACCAAATGCAGGTTGAAAATACAGTCTTCCCAGGACATGAAACCTGCAGAAATGGAGTGCGCACATATAGATGGGTTCTGCAGAGCACACTGAGGAAACTGAGTATGTGCGAATTTTGGTATCCATTGAGGAACCCTAGAACCAATCCTCTGAGAATACCAAGGAAAGACTGTATATGAAAATCACGAGATGTGGCCAAAGTAGTATTTTAAATATATTTAGCAAAAACAAATTAGATGGAAAATTTAAAAACTAAATTACTCAGGGCAAAAAAAGTACAAAAAGAACAACAAAATAAATAAGGAATTATAAAATAAAGACTTTTTGAAAAAGCATAATAACCACAATGTGATTATTTCAGTTAAAACTTTTAACAACTGAATTTCACCAAAAAGGTGTTGTTTCTCAAATTTTAGTAATTTATATTTTCCTGAAAAATCATCCATTTCCTTTTCACACTATTAATATTAAGTTGTATAAAATATTCTCCTATAATTCTTGTAGTATTCTGTGTCTTGCTTATTTTTCTCAAACTTATTTATTTGTGCTTTTTCCTCTCTATGTCCCAATAGACCAACTTTGATTTATCTCTTTCACTGATCTGTTTTTCAAAGAAAAGACAAGTTGAATAACAAAAATTGTTACCTGTAATAATCTCATAATTACTTGATCTCTTCTTTAGGTAGCTATAATATGGGGGAATAACTTCCTGTAGAAATATCACATCTGGGCTGTACCTAATGAAAAACATCAATTTATGACAAATACCAAGTATACCATTTCATTTTCAGCTACCTAAATGAAGGAAATCCCACAACATACCAAAAACAAAAAACCCTCTAGGGCACCTAATATTGAGTGTTTATGCTGATCTTTGATAACTATAAAATGAGAAAGATGTGTGCTATTTATTAATGTAGTACTGTAACAAATATATCAAAAAGAACTAGAAAAACTGACAATAGAAACCGCCATATTGAGAGACTTCAATGGTCCTACACACTAAGAGATGCTTTCAATGTTTCTTTCAATCCTCTTGAAGCAGTTATTAACCACAATGAAGAAAACTGTCCAGAGAACTTAAGTGATTTGGCCAAGGTCACAGAGCCAGCATGGGGCACAAATAGATCTTTTTGGTAGTTTTAATTTCACGTAGTTACGATAAACAAAGTTGAAGAAGAAAACAGTACTAAAAGGCTTCTAACGAAAATTAGTGTTCCCTCTTTGCTGCAGCCTGCAATCCTGCTCTCAGAGGCAATCATCTTAATTCTTCAGATGTTTCTTCTCAGAGCTGGACATTGAACTTAGGTTTAATTCTAAAGCCCACAACCTTGAACTGTTACTTTGTATATACATAAGACACATTACTATTAAATAGAAGTGATAATACTTACAAAGCTAAGTAGGAACACACCCCTCGAGCCCTCTCTGACAGATTGTTTAGATCTAATCCATCAATATTCCAGGTAATGAGAGAGAACATGCTGCCATTTTCTTGCTGAGTATCTTCAGATGGGCTGATTTTAGAAGTGGTGGAATCAGTTGTTTCTTCATTGGTTAGGTCAACACTGGCAAGATCAGAATAAAACATGGCTTTGCAAATAATCTATAAATTGATTAAGAATTATTTTGTATTTGTAGCCCTCATTTTACAGACAAATTTTAAAAGAGCCCTAAAAGTGACACTGTCCTTACAGGGTTAACAAGAATTGCATGCCAGGTTCTAGACAGAAATATAATTGAGCATTAATCACGCTGCACTTTGGCCCACTTCTTTGTACGGAAAGTCATCCCATAGCCCTATATACTGATGACTTGCATCCCCATTGCTCCTATGGGTAGGATCTCTGACATCAGAATCATAAGGCTTTTGTTTAAGCATTGCTTAAGATGTTTTTCAGACGCTGAATTCCAGCAGAAAGCTGACACCAACCAGTTTGAAGACACCCCGACAGGAACCGAATCAGCATGAGAATGCAGTTTCTTCATCTCTAGATCCCATGACTTCATCATTGCACTCTGACCAATCAACAATCCTCACACCTTGGTCCACTCCAAACCTCTTTAAGTCTCAAGCTCCAAACTTCTCAAGGAGAATCTGAAGTTTCCTCCAGTCCCCTGGTTTGGCGGCCTTACAATTAAAATTTTTTTTCTGCTGCAACCTTTGGTGTCTCAGGGTATTGACTTGCAAGCTGTACCTCAACAACCTAGGGCACATGTCCACAAGGTAGTCAGGACTTCCTGAGGGTGTGTCATGGGTGCGTCCTTAACCTTGGCAAAATAAACCTTCTAAATTGATTTAGACCTGACTCAGATACTTTTGGGTTCGTAGATAGATTCTTACTGTACTGTCCAAATGTTTGCTCACTTAGGCAGTTATAAACAACTTAATATCCTTCAATGACATGTGTCACTAGAATAATTGTATAAACTATGATCCCAAATTAGACTCAGAAACGTAGGATTTCTAAATCTTTTTGGAATTTTTTAAAATCATATGTTAAATAAGATCTCATTGTGGCAGATAAATAGGAACTGCAAATTCTTTGCTACTCCCCTTTGAATGATGAAACCTAATGCCCCTCCCCTTTGAATCCAGACCTTAGTAGCTTGCTTACTACAGGGAAAGAATATTCTGGGACTTTTGAGGTTTGGCCTTAAGATAATCTGCCACTTCCATTCAAGGCTTTTGGAACACTCCCTCCAGGAACCCTGGAACTGCCATGTAAAAAGTCCAACCACCCTGAGACTGCCATGCTGGAAAGGACATATGTATGTGTTCCAGTCCATAGTCTTGACTCCACCATCTGCTCCCCCAACCAATACCCCAGACATATGAGTGGAGGGACAAACTTTATTAAAAGGTTAACTCCTAAGCATTTATAAACTATTCATGAATTTTAAAAATAGGTGTCTGAATTTATAATTTTAATGCCAACATTTTAACTTTTCTCCTATACACCATTCACCCAGGTTCCTCAAATATTAACATTTTACTTAACATTTACTTGCTTTATTCTTTTTATTCTGAACCATTTGTTTAAATATTTTTGTATTATTTCCTAAACACGAAGACATGCTTACATATACAGTTATGCACCACATTTGGAGAAGCGTGTCATTAGGTGATTTCATCATTATGCAAACATCATAGAGAGAATTTACACAAACCTAGATGGTACAACAGCCTCCTACACACCTAGGCTATATGGTCTAGCCTACTGCTCCTAGGCTACAAACCTGTACAGCATGCTACTATACTGGATACTGTAGGCAACTGTAACACAATGGCACTTACTTGTGTTCTAAAAATACCTAATATAGAAAAGGTATAGCAAAAATACAGTAATATAATCTTATGGGATCATCTTCATTTATGCAGTTTGTTGTCAATAGAGATGTGGTTATGTGGTGCATAACAGTATACTCTAGTATGATCAACAAGTCAGAAGATTATCATTGATATAAGTTTTTCTTTTTCTTATTGCCTCCTATGGCTAGATTTAATATCTAAAGACCTAGACCAATCTTGCCAATTGTGCTACTAGTGTCCTAATCTAGGATCACATGTTATATTTAGATGGCATGTCTCTTTTAATTTTCTTCAATCCAGAAAAGTTTTTCAGTCTTTGTCTCTCATGACTCTGACATTTTTGAAGAGTACAGGCCATTTATCTTACAGAATGTCCTTCAGATTGGGCTTATGTTTTCCTATTATTTGATTCAGATTATGCATTTTTTGGCAGGAATGTCACAGAAGTGATAGTATGTCCTCCGCAATGCACCATATCAAGCATCTGATATGGAGCTTTCCCATTCCTGGTGATGTTAGCTTTGATCACTTGGTTAAAGTGTTGTTAACCAGATTTCTCTAGTACGAAGTTATAATTTTCCCCATCATAGTAAGTATTTTGTGGGAAAGTACTTTGTGATTATGTAAATATGCTGTTGTTCACTGAACTTTCCTACTAGTTTTAGTATCTGTTGATATCTACCTGAAATAATTATCAATACGGCAGTTCCCAAATGAAGATTTTTTTCTAATTCCTCATGTCTTCCACATTTAATAGATGGAGTTCTACTGTAAGGAAAAATGTTCCCTTCTCTCTTGGACAATGGTATTTATATCAGTATGGGTTCTTTTTTTATGGATTGTAATCTATTCCTACCAAGCATCCTGTTGCTTGGGTTATACCAGATTTCACGGGGAAAGGGTAGGCAGCTTTTAAGCTAGGTCTTGTGCCCTTCTGGCATGTCCCCAACATTTTCTGGGCACCTCCTTACTTTCTAACACCACAGATACCATTGGCTCATCTTGTACTTTTTTTGCCCCTGCTCTGGAATCAGTCATTTCTTTTTAACTTCTTTTTTAATTTTTACATTAAGCCCCTTTCATTCTATGAAATCAGTCATTTCTGAAAAGCCCTTGTTCCTTTCAGTGAAGAATTGTATTTAAAGGCCATGATCTGGGTGCTAGATGAACTTAATGTCAATTTTGTAGCATAAAATATTTTGAATTGTCTCCCTTTTACATAAAAATAACCTTCAAGAGCATAAAAAAAAAGTGCAAAACTTTCTTTTGTGAATTTCATCCTACCCAAAAGTTCTCTTATTCAACAATGAGCTATTAGACTTTTTTTCAACGTCTTACTGTGGGGGAAAGAGAGATCAGACTGTTACTGTGTCTATGTAGAAAGAGGAAGACATAAGAAACTCCATTTTGATCTGTACTAAGAAAAATTCTTCTGCCTTGAGGTGCTGTTAATCTGTAACTCTAGCCTCAACCCTGTGCTCGCAGAAACATGTGCTGTATTGACTCAAGGTTTAATGGATTTAGGGCTGTGCAGGATGTGCTTTGTTAAAATTGTGTTTGCAAGCAGTATGCTTGGTAAAAGTCATCGCCATTCTCCAGTCTCGAGTACCCAGGGACACAATGCACTGCGGAAGGCCACATGGACCTCTGCCCAAGAAAGCCTGGGTATTGTCCAAGGATTCCCCCCACTGAGACAGCCTGAGATAATGGCCTCATGAGAAGAGAAAGATCTGACCGTCCCCCAGCCCGACACCCAAAAAGGGTCTGTGTTGAGGAGGATTAGTGAAAGAAGGCCTCTTTGCAGTTGAGAAAAGAGGAAGGCATCTGTCTCCTGCTCGTCCCTGGGAATGGAATGTCTCGGTATAAAACCCGATCGTACATTCTATTTACTTGGATGGGAGAAAACCGCCTTATAGCTGGAGGTGAGACATGCTGGCGGCAATACTACTCTTTATTGCACTGAGATGTTTGTGTAAAGTCAAACATAAACCTGGCCTACGTGCATATCCAGACATAGCACCTTTCCTTAAACTTATTTATGACACAGAGTCCTTTGCTCACGTTTTCCTGCTGACTCCACCATTACCCTCTAGTCCTGTCGCATCCCCCTCACCGAGATGGGGATAGTGATCAATAAATACTGAGGGAACTCAGAGACCAGTGCCCATGCAGATCCTCCGTATGCTAAGCGCCGGTCCCCTGGGCCCACTTTTCTTCCTCTATACTTTGTCTCTCCGTCTTATTTATTTTCTCAGTCTCTCGTCCCACCTGAAGAGAAATACCCACAGGTGTGGAGGGGCTGGCCCCCTTCATCTTACCACCAGAGAGAAAAAGCCAAGTGATTCCATGCCTGATCAAAGATGTTATTTCCTTTTTATGAAAAGCATTAAAACCAGAAAGGAGAAATTATTAGCTCTTTATTTCTGTCAAATCTTCTGTTTCATAGCTGAATTTAAAAATATATATACTATCATAGACAAAGGTGTTTGCTCATCACATCAGGCCCCTTACCTATCCGGCACACACACCTTTTTTTCCAAGTTTAAAGATATCCAACTATAACTCAATCTACCTCATAAAACTGTAAACACAACCCCTACTTTCCTCAACAGGTGGACTGTCATGGGTGATGTATGGGGAGAGCATGATGGTGTCATTAATCATAGCTTATACTTACTGAGCTCTATATGCCAGGCACAATTCCAAGTGTTTTACATCTATTAGCTCACTTAATCCTTACAACAACCCCATGAGGAAGGGGTTGCACAGATAAAGAAACTGAGGCAGAGAGAGGTTACACAGTTACTAAATAGCACAGGTAGACTCAGAACCATATTACTATCCCCACTGCACAAAGAAATTGAGGCAGAGAGAAGTTACACAGTTACTAAATAGCACAGGTGGACTTATAACCTTTGCATTTTGGCTCCAGAGTCCATGCTCTTATTCACTATGCCATCCTTTCCTCCTCTGTTTCATTGTAATCCAATTCCATATTGATATAGTTTGGATGTTTGTCCCCTCCAAATCTCATGTTGAGATATAATCCGTAATGTTGGTAGTGGGGTCCAGTGGGAGGTGTTTGGGTCATGGAGGCAGATCCCTCATTAATGTCTTGGTGCTATCTTCACGATACTGAGTTCTTCTTGCAAGATCTGGTTGTTTAAAAGTATGTGGCACCACCCCACCCCCTTGCTCCTGCGCTCTCCATGTGATACCTGGGCTCCCCTTTCCCTTCTGCCATGATTGAAATCTTCCTGAGGCCCAGCAGAGGCTGGGGCCATGCTTCCAGTAGAGCCTGCAGAACTGTTAGCCAATTAAATCTCTTTTCTTTATAAATTACCCAGTCTCAGGTATTTATAGCAACACAAGAACCTAATACAAATATCTCTGCAATTTATGCAACACCCACAATATTTAATATTTAATGCAGCAAGAAAAACCAGGCAACTGTATTAAAAATTTCCTTTTGGAAAAATGAAAAGGGAAATAAACTCTAAAACGTTGCTGTACAGAAATACTAAGGGAACAGAAAGGGACTGGCAAACTTTAGGGGCATGATTTGTTGACTTCATTCCTAAGCAGAGGAGGAAGTGCTTTTGTCAGTATATCTGGTGTCTTAGGTTTTATGTGTTAGGCCAGTGCTCCTCAATTTTAAATCACCTGGAGATCTTGTCAAAATACAGATTCTGATTCAGTAGGTCTGGGTGAGACCTAAGATTCTGCATGTCTAACAAATTCCCGAGTAGCAGTGGCACGCTGCTGGTCCAGAGTCCACACTCTAAATAACAAGGCTCTGGGACACGGGCTTTCAATGCTGGCTCTGCATTAGAATTACCTGCACAGCTAATAAAAAAAAAAAAAAAAGCCAATAAGGAATAATGGGCCCCACTCAAGACTAATGAAATTAGAATCTCTGGTTTTTTTTTTAAATTCCCCAGATAATTCCAATATGCAGCTAAGATTCAGCATAGCTGTTTTAAGAGGATTTCCCTTGTCTCTCATCAGAGACACTGAAGATAGATTCTAATGTAGGGGACTAAATCACTTTAGTGTTCAATTTCAATTTTTGTTGATATCCCAGGAATTCACTCCAGAATTGAGATTCCTGCGCCATTCATTTAAGACAGCCAATGCCCTTGCTCAGCAGGGTTGAGTTTTTCTGGTCATAAAATCTTCCAATCAATTTTTTTTTCCCTTTCATTTTTGCTAAAGCCAACATCAAAAATCTAATCAGGTCACAGGCCTTAGAAACACGCTGAAGTTTGCCCCTTCCCCATTTTTCTCTCTTGAGCAAACTAAACTTTAAAACCTCACTCTCATTCATACTTGACCTGAGTTCTGAGAGACAAGAGACCACAGCCTAATCAACACCTTTGCTTGTTTTTGCCAATTTACCATTCCGGGGTAAGAGAATCCTAATAGCCATGACACCATTGATCAGCTTGATCCGCATCTTTTCTGAGGGCCTATTACAGGAAATCCACTTATTTTGTTACTATTTATTGGTTACAATATAGTCTGTTGCAACCAACAGACATTAACTCAGGTTGGTTTGACCAAAACAGGAGAATTTATAAGGAAACAAACATGTCACAGAGCCTGGTACAGAAATACAGCCATGTTTAAGGAAGGGCAGTTAAGGGCTTTCTCTCAATCCTACACTTCAACTTCCCTCTGCTTCATTGTCTCTCTGCAGACCTCTGTTCTCAGCTTCTCTGTACACAAAAAAAGATATGTATGAATCCTCACAGGTGCTAAGTTAACATGTTACAGTTCCAGCTCCATAGGAAGACTCAGACTTGACTCTCTTGGTCCTAATTCTGAAACCAAGGAGAGGATCTGACTGGCCAGTTTGAGCTAGGCAAACACCTCCTAGTCCAACTTGCTCTGGTTAGTAAAACGGGAGCCAGAGACAAATCACTGTGGGTGAGTAAACAATTCCCCAACAAGAGGCAAGACAGAGAAAGGAACCTAAAGAAAATATCTTATCACATCTGTAAGCCAGTGTAGCTGAAAAGACCAAAGGGAAAATAAAGTCTCCACTATGAACAGTCAATTTTACAGGTTGTACATATAGCTGGGAGAATTTTATACATTCAGTAAATATTTATTGGGAGCTTATTATGTGTCAAATGTTGTGTCAGACTTTGGGAAATTAACAATGTACAAAACAGATACTCCTTAC
Organism: Homo sapiens; assembly: GCF_000001405.40. Classification (NCBI taxonomy): domain Eukaryota; kingdom Metazoa; phylum Chordata; class Mammalia; order Primates; family Hominidae; genus Homo; species Homo sapiens. The sequence goes on from NC_000006.12 coordinate 24,665,668, forward strand.
TAGATGTGCAGTCTAGTAGGAGACATAAAATAATGAACAGCAATTATAATACGGACTAAGGTATTGTAACAGGGGTCATGCAGGATGCTATAAGAGTACCTAAAAGGGGACTCTTACCCAGACTTAGGACATCAGGAAAAGCTTCCTAGAGATAAATCATGTCTCAGCTTGGGGCTTTAAGACAAATATTAGCAAGGAAGGGAAAAGAAAAAAATTCCAGGCACAGGTAATAAAGATCTTTACGAAGTTTCAAAGACAGGAGAAAATGACCCGTTGGAAAAAAGTAAAAGTTTGATAGGCCTGGAACCTGGAAAGGCAGGTTCTAAGTTATGGAGCCAAATAGTAGAGGGCCTTGTAAGGCAGCTACACTTTTTAAGTGCAGGAACTGGAGAGGGGCACTGAAATAACAGGAGTAGGTGTGCATTAAAAAAAAATAACAACAACAACAAACCTGTTATTCTGGCCGGTCAGCCTAGGGCCTAGAATAAATAAACAATACAGGAAGCAAGGAGACTTCCAAGTTGCCATTTTTCGATAGAAGGTTTAGCCTTCGTTCATTTGTTTCAAACCTCTCGCTTACTTATTTCCTTTCATTTGAGTTAAACATTACATTTCCATCTTTTCCTCCCTGGACCCCAAATCACGTTCGAAGCGACAGTCTGGTGCAGTGTTAGATCCGCTGCTGGGGCGCAACTCCGCGCAGCAGCAGCAACGCAAGCCCTGCTCCTCTGGCTACGCAGCTTGGAGATCTGCCTCAGCATCGTCCGCCCAGCTCCACGGCAGGTCCCAGGACGCGCAGGGCTACCTGGTATCAAACTGCCTCCGTGCGGACTGGCTCCCGCTCCCCTCATCACTTACTAGGTCTTGGGCTCAGAGATGGTTTCAGGTCGGCGTTCCAAGGCGCTCTCCTCCACCGGAGGCTCGAAGTAGGAGTTCAGAGCCCTCTGAAAAACAAAGGCACAAGGGATGAGGTTTGTGCGCTCCACCGACCTAGGTAATGGAGCCGGAAGCGAGGACAGCGAAAGCGTACTTCCATCTCCCAGTCGTTCTCGGCCAGGAAGCACTGAGCCACTGCGGCATCGCAGCTTGCGACCGAGGCAAACTCCACACACAGAAGTCGCCGCTTTTTCACCTCAGGCTCGCCCTCTTCCTCCGCCGCCTCCCTCCCGCCCTCCAGGCAACTCCCCAACTCCATCTTCCTGCCGCCTCTGCACCGCCCCTTTAAGCGGAACAGGAGGCCAACGCGCGGCTCTGCGCAGGCGCCTGTGTCATGGCGCTCCCGCATCAACCGCCCGGCGGGGAAATGCGCTGCTCTCGGAAAACTGGTGCAGCTGCGCCGCAAGGGAGCCGCCGGGGCGGTGGGTGCGAAGCGCGCATGCGCGCTTCGTCACAAGGGTGCGAGGAAAGTCAGTGAGCAAATCGCGGACCACCGGGGCTGCCAGCTCGCCTGACTCCCGGCCTCTTGCGCTCCTAGGGGCGGAGAAGGGTGCGGGCTCTTCGCCCTTTGTGTCCTCCTTCTTTCACTAACTTCTGGACTTTCCAGCTCTTCCGAAGTTCGTTCTTGCGCAAAGCCCAAAGGCTGGAAAACCGTCCACGATGACCAGCATGACTCAGTCTCTGCGGGAGGTGATAAAGGCCATGACCAAGGCTCGCAATTTTGAGAGAGTTTTGGGAAAGGTATGGGAAAGGTAGGGGAGAAGCCGTGGCTTCTAATGAAGGAAAAGAAAGCACCGTGCTTGGTGCCGTTGTGAGCTTTGAATAATTATCTCTTGTTAGGTTGTGTTCTAGTACGCCTGTAAATTCACCTTAGTAATAATGATTATTACTTTAATGGAGCCCCTAAATATGCTGGGTCGAACGCGTAAGTTCTCTATCTAAACATAGATAAGTATGGTTATGACTCGTGGAGACAGTTCCAAGGCTGGGAGGGACTTTGGAGTTTGATCCTTCAACCAACAAACGTCTGCATTGCTCCAGAGAAGAGTAAGAGAAACCTCTGCATTTAAGGCACATTACAGTCTAATTCTCTAGGCTCTAGAAGATTAGAAGATAAATAATTGCAATAAGGTACAAAAGCCAAGTGCTTGGTAGAGTGGTGAACGAAGGGAGAAGTTGTTCCTCTGTAGTGGTTTGGGAAATTTCTCAAAGGCACCCAACTCCTGAAGAAGTAAGTTAGCCCTTGGAGGAAGACTGAGTGCTTTTCTGAGACCAGCACTCACAAAGCCCGAAGGTGTTTGTTTGTTTTTGTTTTTTTAGGATGAGGTTTCGCCCTTGTTGCCTAGGCTGGAGTGCAATGGCGCGATCTCGGCTCACTGCAACCTCCACCTCCCTGGTTCAAACAATTCTCCTGCCTCACTCAGCCTCCCGAGTGGCTGGGATTACAGGCATGCGCCACCATGCCCAGCTAATATTGTACTTTTAGTAGAGACAGGGTTTCTCCATGTTGGTCAGGCTGCTCTCGAACTCCCGACCTCAGGTGAAACGCCTGCCTCCGCCTCCCAAAGTGCTGGGATTACTGGTGTGAGCCGCCACGCCAGACCTTGAAGGTGTTTGTTGTTGTTGTTGTTTTGAGATGGAGTCTTGCTCTGTTGCCCATGCGGGAGTGCAGTGACACGATCTCGGCTCACTGCAACCTCCGCCTCCTGGGTTCAAGTGATTCTCATGCCTCAGCCTTCCAAGTAGCTGGGATGATTACAGGCATGCGCCACCAAGCCTGGCTAATTCTTTATTTTTATTAGAGACAGGGTTTCATCATGTTGGTCAGGCTGGTCTCAAACTGCTGACCTCAGGTGATCCACCTGCCTTGGCCTCCCGAAGTGCTGGGATTACAGGCATGAGCCACCATGCCCCGCCAAAAGCAGGGATTTACTGAAAATGAAAGGACACTCCTGTGTTTGGGGTGTGGAGCAGCAGCTCAGGGGCCCTAATACCCCATTGAAGTCTCCTATTGGCCACTTGGTACTCATCTCATGTAAATGAAGTGGTGACCCACAATTGGCTGTGAAAAGCAACCAATGAAAGGCTAAAGTGAAGTTACAAAGTTGCCCTTATATGCAAACGAAGACGTGGCGTGCAATCAGATGGTGAAGTTACATAGTTACACTCCTATGGGAAGATCTGATTGGTTGCAGAAAGAATAATTTTTTTTAAGGGATAACTTACTTCTTAGCGTAATTTTGCTTTTTGCAACCAATCAGAGGTACTTTCAATTTCCCATCTGCCACACAGAAAAGGTGGGGGTTTGGAAAGGGAGAAGCCTCTGGTTCTTTTGTTACTTGGTGTGGGAAGTTAGGGTTTTACTTTCAATTTAGTTCTAGGAAGTCAGCGTGAAACAGCCCTAGGTTCCCTGCCTCCAGATCCGATTCTCCTGCCTCGCTTGTAAGAAAATCATGCTCCATAAGAAGCATTTATAACTAAACCTTGTGAACCCCAAAAATTTGAGACAGGTATCAGTTAATTTAGAAAGTTTATTTTGCCAAGGTTGAGGATGCGCACGCAGTGACACAGCCTCAGGAGGTCCTGACAACATGTGCCCAAGGTGGTCAGAGCACAGCTTGGTTTTATGCGTTTTAGGGACATATAAGACATCAATCAATATATGTAAAATGAACACTGGTTGGGTTCGGAAAGGCGGGACAACTTGAAGCGGGAAGGGGGCTTCCAGGTCACGGGTAGGTGGGAGACAAATGGTTGCATTCTTTTGAGTTTCTGATTTACCTTTCCTAAGGAGGCAGTCAGATACACATTTATCTCAATGAGCAGAGGGATGACTTTGAATAGAATGGGAGGCAAGTTTGTCTTAAGTAGTTCCTAGCTTGAATTTTCCTTTTAACTTAGTGATTTGGGGGCCCAAGATATTTTCCTTTACATTTGCCCCCTTTTCTTTTTTTTAAAAAAAATTTTTTTTTGGAGAAAGCATTTTAGAAGAAAAATGAGTCTTTGGTCCCAGATTTCATCTGATCGCTCATGCTAGGATGGTTTATTCCTAGACAGGTAAGTCCCAAGTTATTAGGAAAGCTAATTTTTAGAAGGCTGTGAACTCCCATGTCTTGTGAAGAGAAAATAGGGGGAGGAAGGGTGAAAAACAACAAACAAAAGAACAATCCTGGAAAATATACATAGGCCACGTTATTCTGAAGTCCATACATCAGTAGGCAGGTATGAAAGTGGCTTATGCGTGTAAATAGGTTGCTGTTATTTTCTTCTGAAGTTTAAGTTGTCTAGCTTCAGTTTGCAGGGCTTTACAAAAGCACAGCTGTTTTCAGTGACTCCTAATTAGGAAAAAAAAGGAAAAGAAAAGAAAAAAATTAAAAATATTATTTTGGAGACTTGTAGCCAGGAAAAATTAGAATTCAGCCTAAACTGTAGAAAATAATAAAAATTGAAAAAATTAGGCAAGACTAGTATCTAACAACAAGTGGACTGTAAGTTTTGAAACAATTTTTCTCTCTCCAGTTTTCCATTTTTACTAAAGACAAATCATGGTAGGACTGATTTGCTTTATTATATTTGACCAGATTATTTATATAAAGTGTAGCAAGAATAATTATTTTTCACATAGGCTTTTTAAAATTGGCTTTGAAGGAACTTTGTTCCATAGAAGGAATCTCAGATAAGATTCTTTTTAAAGCCAAGCTCAGCCATGGATTTGTACCATCAAATACCTATGAGTAGGGTGAATTTCCTCTTTTTGATGTTCCATGATAAACCAGGGGCTCCTGGACCTGTCAGAAAATGACATTCTTTACTTAGCACATATCAGAAACCCTGTACAGGGACTTTGTAAAGTGTGAGGCCAGTTTTCCCAAGGGCTTTTATTGGCTCCATAAGTCAGGTTTGATTACTTAAAGGAAAGTACACCTTTCCACTCAAAGCCTTGGTAAAATAATCAGTTTCTCCAACTGTGTCCTGTTACAAATGAAAACAGATTCTTACTGCACTTATGCAAATAACTGTATTGGCACAAGTTAAGAATACTCACAAATAGTTTACAAATTCTGGAGAAATCAGGTAGAGAGAAACAAATATGCTCCAAATTTTGTTGATTGGAGTATACTAAATTGTTAAAAGCTGTCAATAGCTCAAAAGAAAAGTTTCAAGGCTCTGAAAAACAAAGCAAAAGATCAGCAATGTTTAAGCAAAAAGTCAAAAAGATTAGTTCAGTCCCCTTAGTTAATTCCTATTCTGCTTGATATTCATGAGCATTTTAGCTCTCCATGAGTTCTGAAAGTTTTTCCTCTATTCTCATGTAACAATCTCCAAAGTTAATGGAGACCTGCATTCAAGAGGAAACAACAGGTGCTGGAGAGGATGTGGAGGAATAGTTACGTTTTTACACTGTTGGTGGGAGTGTAAACTAGGTCAACCATTGTGGAAGACACTGTGGTGATTCCTCAAGGATCTAGAACTAGAAATACCATTTGACCCAGCCATCCCATTACTGGGTATATACCCAAAGGATTATAAATCATGCTACGATAAAGACACATGCACATGTATGTTTATTGCAGCACTATTCACCATAGCAAAGACTTGGAACCAACCCAAATGTCCATCAATGATAGACTGGATTAAGAAAAAATGACACATATACACGATGGAATACTATGCAGCCATAAAAAAGGATGAGTTCATGTCCTTTGTAGGGACATGGATGAAGCTGGAAACCATCATTCTCAGCAAACTATCACAAGGACAGAAAACCAAATACCGCATGTTCTCACTCATAGTTGGGAATTGAACAATGAGAACATTTGGACACAGGGCAGGGAACATCACACACTGGGGCCTGTCGTGGGGTGGGGGGATGGGGGAGGGATAGCACTAGGAGAAATACCTAATGTAAATGACGAATTAATGGGTGCAGCAAACCAACATGGCACATGTATACATATGTAACAAAACTGCACGTTGTGCACATGTACCCTAGAACTTAAAGTATAATTTAAAAAAACAAATTTAACAAAGAAAACATTATCAAGAATAAATAATGAATCTCAAAAAACAACAACAGCAACAACAAAAAAAAACACTTTCTAAAGAGGACCAAAACAACACAACAATTGTGCGTGGATGACTAAAAGTTTTAGGGCAGCCATAGGCAAAGACACAATTGACAAGGAAATTTGATACCTCTCCTCTGTAGCACACAATAATTTTAACGTAACAATTATGATTATTACTGATAATGTACACTAGGTCATATCAGAATTACAGGAATTTCCCATAATTTTGGAACACATACCAATAACATATTTATACAAATACATCTCAAAGAAAGCCAAACACTGTTGCATATTTGACAATGCTTCCTGTGTAATTTTTGTACCAAATAAGCCAAATTATGCCATTTTTGGACTTCAGGGAATCTAATATCTTAAAGGACTAATTAGGTCAGAAAAAGACATAATTTATAATTTGATTTTGGAAAGTTTGTCAAATATCAAATGTTTAAAACACCTGATATCACAAAAATAGGATCACAGGTCATTATAAAATAAATCATTCATTTAACCAAAGTGATAACTCAAGGATTTCATAAAAAGGTGAAAACCTTCATTCTTTGAGAGAGGGGACTTAACTTTCCAAACAATAAGCCCTAATAAAAACAGCATGAAGCTAATTAAATTTGTTTTCAAAATTTTATAAACAATCTATAAAATTTTAAACTTGACCATAAGATATAATTTCTAACTGGGCGTGGTGGCTCACGCCTATAATCCCAGCACTTTGGGAGGCCGAGGTGGGCAGATCAGGAGGTCAGGAGATCAAGACCATCCTGGCCAACATGGTGAAACCCCTTCTCTACTAAAAATACAAAAATTAGCTGAGTGTGGTGGCACGCGTCTGTAGTCCCAGCTACTCGGGAGGCTGAGGCAGGAGAATCGCTTGAAGCCAGGAGGCGGAGGTTACAGTGAGCTGAGATTGAGCCACTGCAGTTCCAGCCTGGGTGACAGGGCGAGACTCCATCTCAAAAAAAGAAAAGAAAACAAAAGATATAACTTCCATAAGCCTTTATAACCTTTATTAAGGAGTCAGTTAATGTGTCAAGAAAACCTTGTTAATCTGATTACAGGGGCCCATAAGCTGATCTTGCATCATTGTGCCTTTGACGTTAATCATTAATTTATAGAGAAACTGAACTTATTTTATCTTTCAAATTTGGACCTTACAGTCTTACCTGCCCACCTCTTCTTCGATAGTCTCTGGGCCTTGAGGAGTTGAATGCCTTTAATTTCTGGCCGTGTATCTCAGGAATGCAGTTTATTTTGATTGGCGTCTTCTACGGGGCCTGAAGATGACAGCTTCAATTGCTGTCAGTGTTTAAGATTTAGTAGGACTTGGTGTCCTTTTTAGACCCAGGAGTCAAAGCCCTGTAACCTAAGGTCACAAGGACTTTAAAAGCACATACAGGAAAATACCCAGTTGTAATCATGTTAATTAAAAAATCTTTTTTTAATCTCAGTTTTTTCCTAAACATAGGAATTATTTCAACAAAATGTAAACTCTGTTAGGTCAGTTACCAAAAAGCAAAAGAAAAGACCTTCTGCAATGCACAGAACATGATGTTGGAAGAAAACACTTCCTTTAGACCTTTAAGACAGTGTGCCTTTTTAAAGGGGAGAGAAAGCTGAAAAAAAATGGCAAGATGCAATAAAAATTGAACTTTCAGTTTTAAAAAAAAATTAAATTCTCTTATAATTTTTTTTTTGAAATAGAGTCTCGCACTGTTGCCCAGTTTGGAGTGCACTGGTGCAATCTTGGCTCACTGCAGCCTCTGCCTCTTGGGTTCAAGCAATTCTTGTGCCTCAGCCTGCCAAGTAGCTGGGACTACAGGCACATGCCACCAGGCCTGGCTAATTTTTGTATTTTTGTTAGAGACGAGGTGTCACTACGTTGGCCGGGCTAGTCTACAACTCCTGACCTCAAGTGATCCACCTGTCTTGGCCTCCCAAAGTGCTGGGATTACAGGCAGAAGCCACCATTCGTAGGCAAATTCTCTTATAATTTATTAAGAGTAAGTTAACCCCTTAAGAAAAGTTTATTTTTCTAACCAATAATTTCGTGTATATGTGTCTTTTTTAACATGAAGCCCAGTCTCTAGAAAGAGCATTATAATTTCCTTTTAATTGTAAACATGATCATATACAATTTTTTTAAAACAAATCCTCTTATTGTGACATACACAGACCATTCATGACATGCTTGAACTTTTATCTTAGGACTAAATTTACCATACAGTATTCTTTCTCATGTAAAATTATTTCTAAGCTTTCTTACCACATACAAAAAAAATTTGTTTTATAACTTCCTTTACAACATCTCTCTTATTTCCTGATTCCTTTACCTTGTTGTATACATAACCTTTAAATAAGTTTTGTGGGGTTTTTTTTGTTTGTTTGTTTTTTATCTGAGACAGAGTCTTGCTCTGGCACCCAGGCTGGAAGGCAATGGCCCGATCTTGGCTCACTGCAACCTCCACCTCCTGGGTTCAAGTGATTCTCCTGCCTCAGCCTCTCGAGTCGCTGGGATTACACGTGCACCACAATGCCCAACTAATTTTATATTTATAGTAGGGACAGGGTTTCACCATGTTGATCAAGCTGGTCTTGAACTGACTTCAAGTGATCTGCATGCCACGGCCTCCCAAAGTGCTGGGATTGCAGGCATGAGCCGCTGCCCCTGGCCTAAATAAGCTTTGAATTAGACAAAACTTGTTCACCGTTTTTGGGGGGTTTTGTTTGTTTTTTTGTTTTTTTGAGATAGAGTCTCATTCTGTCACCCAGGCTGGAGTGCAGTTGCGTGATTTCAGCTGAGTGCAGCGTCTGCTTCCTGTGTTCAAGTTATTCTCCTGCGTCAGCCTCCTGAGTAGGTGGGATTACAGGCGCCTGCCACCACGCCTGGCTAATTTTCATTTTTTGTATATTTAGTAGAGACAGGGTTTCACCATGTTGGCCAAGCTAGTCTCAAACTCCTGACCTCAAGTGATCTGACTGCCTTGGCCTCCCAAAATGCTGGGATTACAGGCATGAGTCAGTGCACCCAGCCCTAGAGTTCAACTGTTTTTTTATTTTCTTATTATACTTTAAGTTCTAGGGTACATGTGTGCAACGTGCAGGTTTGTTACATATGTATACATGTGCCATGTTGGTGTGCTGCACCCATTAACTCATCATTTACATTAGGTATATCTCCTAATGCTATCCCTCCCCCCTCCCCCCACCCCACGACAGGCCCCGGTGTGTGATGTTCCCCACCCTGTGTCCAAGTGTTCTCATTGTTCAGTTCCCATCTATGAGTGAGAACATGTGGTGTTTGGTTTTCTTTCCTTGAAATAGTTTGCTGAGAATGATGGTTTCCAGCTTCATCCGTGTCCCTACAAAGGACATGAACTCATCCTTTTTTATGGCTGCATAGTATTCCATGGTATATATGTGCCACATTTTCTTATTCCAGTCTATCATTCATGGACATTTGTGTTGGTTCCAAGTCTTTGCTATGGTGAATAGTGCTGCAGTAAACATACATGTGCATGTGTCTTTACAGCAGCATGATTTATAATCCTTTGGGTATATACCCAGTAATGGGATGGCTGGGTCAAATGGTATTTCTAGGTGTAGATCCTTGAGGAATTGCCAGTGTCTTCTACAATGGTTGAACTAGTTTACAGTCCCACCAACAGTGTAAAAGTGTTCCTATTTCTCCACATCCTGTCCAGCACCTGTTGTTTCCTGACTTTTTAATGATCACCATTCTAACTGGTGTGAGATGGTATCTCATTGTGGTTTTGATTTGCATTTCTCTGATGGCCAGTGATGAAGAGCATTTTTTCATGTATCTGTTGGCTGCATAAATGTCTTATTTTGAGAAGTGTCTGTTCATATCCTTTGCCCACTTTTCGATGGGGTTGTTTGATTTTTTCTTGTAAATTTGTTTAAGTTCTTTGTAGATTCTGGATATTAGCCCTTTGTCAGTTGGGTAGATTGTAAAAATTTTCTCCCATCCTGTAGGTTGCCTGTTCACTCTAATGGTAGTTTCTTTTGCTGTGCAGAAGCTCTTTAGTTTAATTAGCTCCCATTTGTCAATTTTGGCTTTTGTTGCCATTGCTTTTGGTGTTTTAGACATGAAGTCTTTGCCTATGCCCTGAATGGTATTGTCTAGGTTTTCTTCTAGGGTTTTTATGGTTTTAAGCCTAACATTTAAGTCTTTAATCCATCTTGAATTAAGTTTTGTGTAAGGTGTAAGGAAGGGATCCAGTTTCAGCTTTCTACATATGGCTAACCTGTTTTCCCAGCACCATTTATTAAAAGGGAATCCTTTCCCCATTTCTTGTTTTTGTCAGGTTTGTCAAAGATGAGATGGTTGTAGATGTGTGGTATTATTTCTGAGGGCTCTGTTCTGTTCCATTGGTCTATATCTCTGTTTTGGTACCAGTACCATGCTGTTTTGGTTACTGTAGCCTTGTAGTATAGTTTGAAGTCAGGTAGCGTGATGCCTCTCCAGCTTTGTTCTTTTGGCTTAGGATTGTCTTGGCAATGCAGGCTCTTTTTTGGTTCCATATGAACTTTAAAGTAGTTTTTTCCAATTCTGTGAAGAAAGTCATTGGTAGCTTGATGGGGATGGCATTGAATCTATAAATTACCTTGGGCAGTATGGCCATTTTCACGATATTGATTCTTCCTATCCATGAGCATGGAATGTTCTTCCATTTGTTTGTGTCCTCTTTTATTTCGTTGAGCAGTGGTTTGTAGTTCTCCTTGAAGAGGTCCTTCACATCCCTTGTAAGTTGGATTCCTAGGTATTTTATTCTCTTTGAAGCAATTGTGAATGGGAGTTCACTCATGATTTGGCTGTTTGTCTGTTATTGGTGTATAGGAATGCTTGTGATTTTTGCACATTGATTTTGTATCCTGAGACTTTGCTGAAGTTGCTTATCCGCTTAAGGAGATTTTGGGCTGAGATGATGGGGTTTTCTAAATATACAATCATGTCATCTACAAACAGGGACAATTATAGAAGGACTGGGGGTCCTTCTATAAGCATTTCTAATAGAGGGTCCTGCCTTGCCGCTCTTTTGGCTTCAATATCCGCTTGGCAGTTCCTTTCTGTTTCCCTTTCCTTTCTGGTGACTCTGGCAGTGTAAGACTGCCACCTCTTTAGGTTTCTGTACAGCCAATAGTAATCTCCTAATGGCTTCCTGATGTTTGATAGGTGTTCCCTCGGAAGTTAGGAATTCCCCTCTCTCCATATTGCTGCATGGGCATGGAGGACTAGGTAAGCGTACTTAGAGTCTGTATATATATTTACCCTTTTCCCTTCTCCTAATTCTAGTGCCCGAGTGAGGGCTATTAGTTCTGCATGCTGAGCACTAGTTCCTGGAGTGAGGGGATTAGTTTCAAGTATTCCATTATCACTGACCACTGCATACCCCGCTTTTCAAAGTCCTTTTTCTGCAAAGGAACTTCCATCAGTATACAAGTTGAGGTTGGGATCAGTCAAGGGAACCCCTAAAAGGTCCCCTTGAGCAGCATTAGGTTTGAGCAATCACATGTTGGCATTTATGTTCTATCTTTTCTTCATTGTCTGGAAGAAATGTGGCTGTGTTAAGAGTTGCACAAGTGCGCAGTCACACCACTGGCCCATCAAGTAATAGAGCCTGATATTTAAGTAAACGGTTGTCTGACAGCCACAAGTCTCCTTTAGCAGTGAGTATGCCATTCACATCATGAGATGTTCACACAGTAAGATCTCTTCCCTGTATTACTTTAACTGCTTCAGATACTAAGACTGCTACTGTTGCCACTACCCGTAAACAATGAGGCCAACCCTTTGCCAGTACATCAATTTCCTTACTCAGGTATGCCACAGGTTGCAAGCTGGTCCCTCGGACCTGTATAAGGACTCCTAGAGCTATTCCTGTTTCTTTTGCGACATATAAAGAAAAGTCTTGCCCCATTGGCAAGCTTACCACTGGGGCTTGGGTTAGGGCCTTCTTTAGGGCCTGAAAAGCCACTTCTGCTTCAGGTGTCCATCTTACTAAATGGGTATTGGCTTTCTGAGTTTCCTTAGTGTGTATAATGGCCTGACTATTTCGCTGTACCTGGGAATCCATATTCGGCAGAAGCTTGTTATGCCAAGGAACCCTCTTAGTTGCTTTAGGGTTTTGGGATGAGGATAAGCCAGTATAGGCTGGATACGTTCCTCACTGAGGGCCCTTGTGCCTTTGGATAATTTTAGCCCTAAGTTTTTAACCTGCTGTGAGCAGAGCTGAGCATTTTGTTTGGAAACCTTGTAGCCACAGGTAGCAAGGAAATTTAAGAGTGCTTGGGTGGCTTGATGGCACCAGGTTTCTGATCGGGTGGCTAAAATTAAATCATCCCCGTACTGAAGGACAAGAGTGTCCAGGTATGAGAATTGGCTCAAGTCTTGGGCTAATGCCTGGCCAAATAGATGGGCGCTATGCTTGAACCCTTGGGGTAAAACAGTCCAGGTGAGTTGAGACATTGGGTTCAAAGGATCTTCAAAGGCAAACAAGAATTGAGAGTCAGGGTGTACAGGGATGCAGAAAAAGGCATCCTTAAGGTCCAGGACTGTAAACCACTCTGCTTTCTGTGGTTTTTGGGAAAGCAGAGTACAAGGGTTAGGTATAGCAGGGTATAGAGGAAGAACAGCCTCATTGATAATCCTGAGATCTTGCACTAACCTCCACTGTCCATTAGGTTTCTGTACTCCTAAAACTGGAGTATTGCAGGGGCTATTGCATGGTTTTACTAGGCCTTGGGCTTTTAAGTCCTTAACAATCTTTTGGAGTCCTTGTTGGGCCTCAGGTCTAAGGGTACTGCCTTTGGTAGGGAAAGGAGGTAGAATCCTTTAATTTAACTTGAATAGGACAGGCATTCTTTGCTCATCCATATTGTCCTTCTGTTGCCCAGACGTCAGGATTAATTCCTTCCTCAAGCAGGGGAAAACAAACAGGTGTTCCTTCTCCTATGTTCAGATATATAATGGCCCCTGCTTTTGCTAGAATGTCTCCCCCTAACAAGGGAGTGGGGCTTTCAGGCATAATTAGAAAAGCATGTGAAAAGAGTAAAGTTCCCCAGTCACAACTTAGTGGCTGTCCTAGGACCCCTCGGATAGTGACAGATCTGGAGGACAGTTGTCTGGGACAGGAGAGTAAGACTGAGAAGGCCATGCCAGTGTCCAGGAGACAGTTAACCTCCTGGCCTTCAATGTTCAAGCATACCCGGGGCCCTGTGAGGGTGATGGCATGGGCTGGTGCTTGCCCCGGGCACCCTCAGTCCTGCTGCTGGATCATCTGGTTAGTGGCTTCTGACTCAGAGGACCTTCGTCCCCTGGGGCAATGGGCCTTCCAGTGATTCCCTTGACATAAGGGGCATGGACGAGGGGGCAGCTTACTTCTACTTGGACAATCTTTTTTAAAGTGTCCTTGTAGACCACACTGGAAGCAAGCCATATTAGGCATTCGATTTGCCCAGCTTTTCCCTTTTCCAGAGACTCCAAAGTCCGCTTGCCTGAGGGCCATGACTAAAGCAGTGGCCTTTTTTTTTATCCCGTTTGTCCCATTCCGCCTGCTTCTCCTGATCTGTATTATAAAAAACCGAGGTTGCCAAGTTCAATAGGGTCTAAGTTTTGCTCTGGGCCTAAGGCGGACTTTTGAAGTTTTTTTCTAATGTCTGCAGTTGACTGAGTGATAAACTTATCCTTTAAGATTAGTTGGCCTTCAATAGAGTCAGGTGACAGAGAGGTATGCTTCCTCAATGCCTCCCTTAGTCTCACCAGAAAGGCAGTAGGATTTTCTTCCTTTCCCTGTGTTATAGTGGACATCATTGCATAATTCATAGGCTTCTTCCTAGTTTTCCTTAGTCCTAGCACACAAGTTAGCAAATGTCTGCGGCACCAATTTCCATGTTCTGATTCTGTGTCCCAATGAGGGTCTACACTGGGAACTGCCTGCTGGCCTGTGGGGAATTGTTCTCTTTCCTCTGTTGTCATCCTATCATTGACCTGACTGAGATACCAGAGATCACCAAACTCTTCGGGCTGCAGTTATGGCGACACTTCTCTCATTTGGGGTTAGTGTCTGATTTAGCAGTAACATTATATCTCTCCACATCAGATCAAAAGATTGTCCTAACCCTTATAAAACTTCAGTATAGCCATCAGGGTTATCTGAGAATTTACCTAGGTCTATTTTAATTTGCTTTAAGTCTGAGAGAGAAAAAGGTACATGCACTCTGGCTGGGCCGAATTCTGCTCCTCACATTGCTTGGAGGGGGCATAATCGGGGAATATTGGCACTGTTTGGTTCATTGTTTATCCCTTTGTCTATCTTCTTTGGACCTTTGGGTAAAAGGGGGGTCCCTTATTAGTTGCAGAAGGAGTCGGGGGGATGCTGAGATAGGGAGGCAGACTCTGAGGGCTTCCTGTAGGGCATAAACCACACTTTTTACATAATTGCGAGTTGTCTCTTAATGAAAAGGAAGTTTGCACATATGGCACTTCACTCCATTTGCCCTCCTTTCTACAGAAGAGGTCAAGCTGTAAGATGGTGTTATAATTTATACTTCCCTCAAGAGGCCAGGTTTCTCCCCCTTGAAGAGGATATCATGGCCAGGCAGTACTGCAGAAGAATATAAGTCATTTCTTTCTTAGCGTCTGAGGGTCAAATTGGTCCTTATTCTCCAGAATACATCTTAAGGGCGTTTTTGCCTTGGGGTGTGGGGAACGTTTCCGATCTGAAAAAAGAACATAGGGATGCCAGCACCCCTAGTCATTTTCCGATGAGCATTAGTCCTAAAGCATCCTCTAAGGGCCTAATGCTTATTCTTTTCCAGGGTGCGTAACCACCCATGGACCTCTGCTTATCGGATTAGTTACGCTCACCAATGTAGCAGTCCTGCACCTATTTTTCCACCTCTCTTGACCACAAAGAAAGGGGTCTGGGCTGCTGGATTCTAGTGGTCCTTTACCAGCGTGCCCGACATTGCTTTTGCGCTCAGGGGTGAGTCCTAGAGCTGGGCTGGGTTCCTGGGTATTTCATAACAACCCAGCTGCCCCATCAAGATGCATTCCCATAAACAACACTCTTATGCAAATTCGTTTCAGAGAGGTGTAGCGAACCTTTTGAGTCAGGATTGAAATAGTCTTTTGATTATGTAAGTATGGGCTTGGCTGAGTGCAAACAGCTCGCACGTTTGAGGAGACCAATTATTAGGCAATTTTTCTAACTCTGCTTCCACAGAGTCTCTGTATTAATTACTGAATACCTATTGTGGTTTTTTCCCTCAATCACCTGGGAGGAACCATCTATCGTCCTGTCCTGAAGGGAGTTCCTCCTAGGTCTGGTCGGACCTTTGTATGGTAATTAAGATTTAAATCCTTTGTTAGGAAATCTGCTGGGTTAAGTGAATTATCAGTGGTTGGAGTTACATTACCCTTTTCTAACATAATAGCCCCATACTTTAAGATTTTTGATTTAGTAAGCTACCTTTTTGCTTTTTTTTTAACTTAGAATAATGTAACTGGTGAGGTGTGCTCACAAGAAGGTTTCCTCTAAAAGTTACTTTTCTACTTTTAGCAAAGCAGTTGCCGCTACCGACTGAATGCATTTGGCCCATCCGCGGGTTACTGGGTTAAGGATTTTTTATAGGAAAGCTACAGGTTGCCAGTGGCCTCAGTGCTTTTGGGCTACGCCCTTATTTACATTGACAACAGTGGTATTGGAGTATTATAGAGTCATAGAGAAGACCTTCAATTATCAATTACAGGTTTTAAATTTACGCTGGCTTTTAAAGGAATAGGGCACACTTTTTTTTTTTATTCTATCTTTTTCTTTCTTTTTCTCTTTGACTCTGTCTTTGTCTCTCTCTCCGTCTCTCCCTCTCTCTCCGTCTCTCTCTCTCTCAGCCATTACAAACTTGGGGCCCTGGCAAGGGTAGTGGGGAACGGGTCCCACATAACTGCCCATGTCGAGAGCTGCATACCTGAATCAGGAGGGACACCAGGGATAAGACTCCCTGGGTTACAGCCCAGGTGCCTAAGGACACAACGCAGAGCCTCCCTAGATCCCTTTGGAGATACAACTTGCTAGAGGAAATGAAAGTGTGAACCATTAGTACCTAGGAGGCAGGGATCAGAGGAAGTAGATTCAAAGGTAAGGAGAATTTTGGGGCTACACTTTCAAGAAAGTCGTGGTCAGGACCCATGAGGTATGGGTCAGAAGGAAAGGTAGGGGCGCACCCATGGGCGACTGTTGAGTAGAGACTTCTGGCTGCGCCATGATCTCAACAGGCTAATGCCGGGAGTTCTGGACGACAGCTTTCTGCCTCTAGTCAGCCCTCGGATTCCCCAAGAAAATTGAAAGTGGAAGCTGGCTCCAAGCAGACCAACGTCCCCAACCCAGAAGGGTTGGGGGTTGTTAGAAAGCCCTTCCGCAGATAGCGTAACACCTGAGTCTTAAGTCCGGCGGCCACGCTAATCGTTTTTAACTGGCTGACAGGTGCCCAGTATTTTCCTCCAATTCTAAGGAAGGATAGGACAGAATAACAAGCGAAAGTGGTCCAATATTACTCACCGCTTTGGATGTCCCTTCGTGGTCACCAAAATGTTACCGGGGGTCCTTGCTTCCAGAGCTCCCAAGATGGTTGTGGGCCACTTCCACAATGGTGGCAGGCCACTTCCAAGATGGTGGCAAGCCTCGTGTTCTCTTACCTGGGGTTCTTGGCCTCACGGATTCCAAGGAATGGAATCTTGGGCCATGCGGTGAGTGTTATAGCTCTATTAGAAGACATGGGTCACGGAAGAGAACCGTGGAACCCAGTGACTAGTGTTCAGCTTGATTAGGATGAACCCAGGCACTTAGCTGTGCAGGAACAATGGCAAGCCTTTAGCCTGATTGGGAGTGGCAATGGACACCTCGCTGGATCAGGAGCACAGCGGACACCCTGCTGGATCCGGAGGGATGGGAGTCAGTGGTGGGTCTGCAGTGGCAGGTCTGCGGTGGCGGGTCTGCGATGGCGGCAAACAGCAGTGGTGGATGGCGAGCGAAAGCTCAGCTCGAGCCATAACAAACATGGACCAGAAGAGTGCAGTTACAAGATTTAATAGAGTGAAATAGAGTGAAAACAGAGCTCCCACACAAAGAGAGGGGACCCAAAGAGGGTTGCTGTTGCCAGCTTGAACGCCTGGGTTTGTATCCCGATCCTTGTCCCTCCCACTGTGCTCTCAGGCAATAGATGATTGGCTATTTCTTTGCCTCCTGTTTTTGCCTAATTAGCATTTTAGTGAGCTCTCTGATTGGTTGGGTGTGAGCTAAGTTGCAAGCCCCGTGTTTAAAGGTGGATGCGGTCACCTTCCCAGCTAGGCTTAGGGATTCTTAGTTGGCCTAGGAAATCCAGCTAGTCCTGTCTGTCAGTTTGAGCCATAAAGTTAGCTCATGCTGGTACCAAGCACTGATAGGAGATTTGTCAAAGGTCAGGGGCACCTCCACTCAGATCCCTTTATGGTTACCAAATGTGAACCCCAAAAATTTGAGACAGGTCTCAGTTAATTTAGAAAGTTTATTTTGCAGTTGGGCCCGGTGGCTCACGCCTGTAATCCCAGCACTTTGGGAGGCCAAGGCAGGCAGATCATCTGAGGTCAGGAGTTCAAGACCAGCCTGGCCAACATGGTGAAACCCTGTCTCTACCAAAATACAAAAATTAGCCAGGTGTGGTGGCAAATGCCTGTAATCCCAGCTACTCAGGAGGCTGAAACATGAAAATCGCTTGCACCAAGAGGCGGAGTTTGCAGTGAGCCGAGATTGTGCTGCTGCGCTCCAGCCTGGGTGGACAGAGTGAGACTGTCTCTCTCAAAAAAAAAATTAAGTTTATTTTGCCAAGGTTGGTTCTGATGACGTGCCCAAGGTGGTCAGATCACAGCTTGGTTTTATACATTTTAGGAGACATGAAACATCAGTCAATATATATAAAATGAACATTGGTTCGGTCTGGAAAGGTAGGACAACTCGAAGTAGGGAGGGGGCTTCCAGGTCACAGGTAGGTGGGAGACCAACTGCTGCATTCTTTTGAGTTTCTAATTAGCCTTTCTAAAGGAAGCAATCAGATACGCGTTTATCTCAGTGAGCAGAGGGATGACTTTGAATAGAATGGGAGGCAGGTTTGCCCTAAGCAGTTCCCAGCTTGAATTTTCCTTGTAGCTTAGTGATTTTGGGGCCCAAGATATTTTCTTTCACAGCGTGAAAAACAAAAGCCCTTGGTATTGTCAGCTTCTTGAGTTAGTTAACCTAAGAACGTTTAGGGGGTTTCATAAATGTTTTAATGCATGCATGTCTGTTTTTCTGATTAAGATAGAATACTGGGAAATTTGGAAGTGGAGTTTAAACACAGAATCAGCTGCAGTCATGTATAGGTCCCCTCCTGAAACACAACTCTCAGGCTGTGTTGTAACAACGTATATAATAACTGTCCCTAACTATCTCTCAGGGCTTTTGTGAAAAATAGAGGAAATAATACTTAGACAAATACATTTAATGTTTTCAAATGGCAAATGGCATAAAATCCAAGGGCATACTATTTGATAGTAACTCTTTGAAAGATAAGTTATCCAGAAAAGGATGTATTGGCCTAAGGGGATCTTTGAATTCCTTAAAAATCTGTAGTCATTTTCCTTGGTAAGCTTTCAACAACTTCATGAGTGTGTATCTTCTTGTGATAATCTTGCCATGGGTTGGATTGCCTTTGAGTATCCGGTTAAAATCCTCATACCTTGAACAGACACACTGGAATAGTCATAAACTACATCCTTGCCTAAGTTGGCAGTGATGGTAACTTGCCTTCCAAGAAGACTGATATGCCCGTTGAACCAGAAGTTGCAGTACGGCTGAAGTGTCCAGATTAGTGCTAACTGGTGGAAATACAATGTAAGCTACAATGTGAGTGATATCTGTAGTTATAAATTGTAAAATAGCCACGTTTTAAAAAGTGAAAAGAAATAGGTGAAATTAATTTTAGTAATACAGGTAACAGTATATAAAAAGTGTTAATCAGGCAGACATGGTCTCATGCCTATAATCCCAGTGCTTTGGGAGGCCCAGGTGGGAAGGTTACTTGAGGCTAGGAGTTTGAGACTAGCCTGGGCAACATAGCAAGACCCCTTCTCTACAAAAAATTAAAAATTTTCCAGGCATGATAGTGCGTAGATGTGGTCTCCTCTTCTCTGAAGGCTGAGGCAAGAGGATCCCTTGAGCCCAGGATTTCAAGGCTGCAGTGAGCTATGATTGTACCACTGCACTCCAGCCTGGTGACAAAGTGAGACCCTGTCTCTAAAAAAAATTTTTTTTTAATTTTTTTGAGTCTTAAATCTTTCCATACTTAATTTTTGAAATCCAGTGTGAATTTTATACTTACAGTACGTCTGAGTTCAGACTAGCCACATTGCAAGTGCTCAGTACTGACGTGGCTACTGGCTGTTGAACTGTACAGATTGATACCATTGTAGGTACTTTGTATTTGCTAATTTGATCTAAAAGAGGTTTTGTGGCTGTTTATGTTTTGTATAGGCAGAGTTGCTAGGGATAAAGTATGTATTTATGCATAGTAATTCATAAATCTAGTTGTAGACATGGTCTCTTTCCTTTTACTGTACTTTTTTTTTTTTTTTTTTTTTTTTTTTTTTTTGATACAGAGTCTTGCTCTGTTGCCCAGGCTGGAGTGCAGTGGTGCAATCTCGGCTCACTGCAAGCTCCGCCTCCCGGGTTCACACCATTCTCCTGCCTCAGCCTCCCGAGTAGCTGGGACTACAGGCGCCTGCCACCACGCCCGGCTAATTTTTTGTATTTTTAGTAGAGACAGGGTTTCACCATGTTAGCCAGGATGGTCTCGATCTCCTGACCTCATGATCCACACGCCTCAGCCTCCCAAAGTGCTGGGATTACAGGCGTAAGCCACCGCGCCCGGCCCTTTTACTGTACTTTTTAAGGTAATATTAACTACACAAGCTGTTCTCAGTTGGAGGTGATTTTGCTCCCCGAGGGACATTGGCAAAGTCTGGAGACATTTTTGAGGGACACTACTGGCATCTAATGGATAGAGACCAGAAGTGGTGCTAAATATCTTACAGTGTACAAATCTGTGCCCTATTCCCCCACAACAAAAAAGTATGCAGTCCAAATGTTCATAGTGCTAAAGTGAAAAGCATTGACTTAGAACAAAGATTAACAGTCAGGCTGAGTACCATAGCGCACACTTGTAATCCCAGCACTTTGGGAGGCCTAGGTGGGAGAATTGCTTGAGGGCAGGAGTTCAAGACCACCCTGGCTAACATAGGGTGTTAGACTCAATCTCAATTTAAAAAAAGGAAAAAAAAAAAGGTTAACCGTCAGACTAAATGTCCTGCTCTTGATATAAAGATCACTTTTAAATTTGTCAACAAACTAAGTACTGTGGGACTATAAAGAAATACTAACCATAGTTCTTGGCCTCTAGGAATTTATAACCTAGGAATGGAAAGTGTATTGCAAGGAAGAGTCCCATCAGAGGTACTGTTTAGAAAAGGAGTTTCATGAGTAAGTTCAGGAAACACTGATGTATCCTTTTTTAAAAATTTTGGTAAAATACACATAACATAAAATTTAATACCTGTGTTAGTCCATTTGCGTTGCTATAAAGGAATACCTGAGACTGGGTAATTTATAAAGAAAAGAGGATTATTTTGACTCACAGTTCTGCAGGCTGTACAAGAAGTGGGGTGCTTGCTTCTGGTGAGGGCTCAGGAAGCTTACAATCATGTCTGAAAGCAAAGTGCAAGCAGGTGCGTCAAATGGCAAGAGAGAGGGAGTGCCACACTCTTTTTTTTCTTTTCTTTTCTATTTTATTTTATTCTATTCTTTTTTCTTTTCTTTCCTTCCTTCCTTTCTTTCTTTTCTTCCTCTCCTTTCTTTCTCTTTCACTCTTTCTCTCTTTCTTCTCTCTCTTTCTCTCTCTCTCTTTTCTGTCTTCTCTTCTCTTCTTCTTTTCTTTTCTTTTCTTTTTTCTTACAGGATCTTACCCTGTCACCCAGGCTAGAGTACAGTGGCACATTCACAGCTCACTGCAGCCTCAACCTCCTGGGCTCAAGCAATCCTCCTTGTCTCAGCCTCCCATGTAGCTGGGACCACAGGGGCGTGCCACCATCTCCAGCTAATTTTTAAAATTTTTTGTAAAAACAGGCCTCACTTTGTTGCCTAGGCTGCTACACTCTTTTAAACAATCAGATCTTGCATGAGCAAGAGGGGCACCAAACCATTCGTGAGAAATCTATCCCCATTACCCAAACACCTCTCACTAGGCCCTACCTCAGCATTAGGGATCACATTTCAACAGGAGATTCGGAGGAGACACACACCATCTTAACCATTTCTAAGTGTACAGTTTTGTAATATTAATTACATCCTCATTGTTTTGCAATGATTACCACTATCCATCTACGGAAGTCTTTCCATCTTGCAAAACTGGAACTACGACCCATTAAACAATAACTCTCCATTTCTCCTTGCCCCCAGCTCTGGCTACCACCATTCTACTTTCTGTCTCTATGAACTGACTACTCTAGGTACTTCATATAAGTGGATATGTTGTATCCCTTTTACATATTAAAACTTTTGAGTAGTTCTGCAGTAAATAAATATGCTTAACATTATCGTGTTTAAGTTAGTTGCCATTGAAACTTTTCTCCCACAGTAACACGTGGAGGAACATACGTTGGGAATATCAACTGACACGCACTGTGCTAGGATCTAGAAATACCATGTGGACTCCAACACACATAGAAATAAGGAAGTGGAATTCCAAAGGAAGGCAAAGTGTAAAGTCATCTTTATGGAAATGAGTGATGAAGGTGAATACCTGAATGAGATGTCAAGAGGAGGAACACACTGGAGAGAAGCAGTAAAGATTTAGGACTGAACCTTAAAGACATACAGGCTTGAGAGAAAGAAAGCATGTAAAGAAGACAGAAATGGTTAGAAAGGTAAGAATAGAATTTTTTTTTTTTTTTTTTTTTTTGAGACAGAGTCTCACTTTATTGCCCAGGCTGGAGTACAATGGTACGATCTTGGCTCAACTGCAACCTCTGCCTCCCAGGTTCAAGTATTTCTCCTGCTTCAGCCTCCAGAGCAGCTGGGATTACAGGCACGCGCCACCATGCCTGGCTAATTTGTGTATTTTTAGCAGAGATGGGGGTTTCACCGTATTGGCGAGGCTGGTCTCAAACTCCTGACCTCAAGTGATCCTCCTGCCTCAGCCTCCCAAAGTGCTAGGATTACAGGTGTGAGCCACCGCACCCAGCCAGAAGAATAGATCTTATACTTACTATTAATAGAAAAACTTATAGATTTTGGACTGACTACAAAAGGGCAGTGATATTCAAAATTGATCAACATGATACACAAATAGATATTTTCAAGTTCATTGGTCATTAAAACTGTCTTATGTATAAGCAATACACAAGACAAAATAAGGCATTTTTTTTTCAAAGATCTATGCACAAAAAAATTTGTTGCAGCATTATTTGTGATATCAAAAGTGGGAAATAGCTGGGCATGGTGGCTCATGCCTGTAATCCCAACACTTTAGGAGGTGAAGGCAGTAGGATAGCTTGAGCCCAGGAGTTTGAGACCAGCCTAGGCAACAAAATGAGATCCCATCTCTACAAAAAAATAAAAAAATTAACCAGGTGTGGTGGTGTGTGCCTGTGGCCCCAGCTGTGCAGGAGGCTAAGGTGAGAGGAACCCTTGAGCCCAGGAGGTCGAGGCTGCAGTGAGCTATGATCATGCCACTGCACTCCAGCCTGGACAACAAAGTGAGACCCTGTCTCAAAAAAAAAAAAAAAAAAAATTGTGTGAGGGGAAATAACCTAAATGTCCAACCATGGGAGAATTAGTAAAAGAAATCACAGCAACTGCATGTGACTGAGTCCTGTGTTACTATAAGTCACATCTTAAAAATGACTTACTAACAGGAGCATGTCATTAAATGATGTGCACCTTAAAAACTTAGAAATTTCAATTGTTTATTTTTAAAAACATCTACATAGCACTATGTGTCAGGCACTATGCACTTTGTTCATCTGAACTCATCTTTTTATGGCGAGAGATACAATAAAAGTCAAAATACAACGGTCTGGAATTTCACCATATGAATTGGTGTTAAAATCTGATAGGTAAAAAGAACTGTAGAGACAGACTGTAATAGGTAAGTAGGCACAAAAGACATAAATAGGCTGTTCACAGAAAAAAGGCAATAAACATTAAAGGATGCTTAAAAGCACTGTGAGTCTGGCTAATGCAAATTAAAACCATGAGATACTATGTTTTGCTTGTCAGAGTGTAAAAATTAAGGTAATATGCATCTTTGAACCTAGGAGGTGGAGGCTACAGTGAGCTGAGATTGTGCCACTGCACTCCAGCCTGGGCAACGAGAAAAAGACTCCGTCTCAAAAAAAAAACAAACTTTAAAATATATACTCTTAATACCCAGCTATCTAATTTTGTCAGTCTGTCATATACAAATAAAGCATCTTTGTGATGGTAAAAAAAATATAGAAATAACACATTTTAAGAAATAGTTTGATAAATTGTAGTATATTCATAGTAGGGAATACCACACAGCTATTGAAAGAGATCTATATACATTGGGCTGGAGGCTGCGCATGGTGGCGTGCCTTCTCCTTTTGGGTCACTTAAGCCCAGGAGTTTGAGTCCAGCCTGGGCAAAATAGAGAGACCCCATCTCTAAAAAAATTAAAAATAAATAAATTGAGCTAGAGAAATGACTGTGATACATTGGGAAGAGAAAAATGAAAGCTGCCAAGTAATGTATATAATATGATCCCATTTTTGTAATTGAATAAAAGGCAAGAAAAACACCCTTTAAGAAAATTTTGTATACCCTGTGTATATATGAGTAAGCCTAGGGAATGGTATAGAATGATATTCAGCACCGAAAGAGTAGTAGGTAGGAAATTGTACTTCTATGCTGCTTTATATATGTAAAATGAATGTTTTTATTTTTATAATTAAAAATCTAATAAAAACAGTAAGTTAGATGGCGCAGAGATAGGATTGAAGGAATCAGCATACAATTAGTGAAGTAATGAACTCAAGAGTTATTCATATTTTAGAGGAAAGGAATGTGGCATAAACTCACAGCAAATATAAGTATTTTATAAAATTAATTAATTTTAGCAGTAGTGAATGGATGACCAATTTCAAGAGAAATGATGAATACATTTTCTCTGCCATGGAACATAGTCAAGATTTAGTTCTTTCTATGTAGATCCTCTGAGCTACTGCTGAATTAAAAACAGCACTAAGAAAAAACTGTAGTTTTTACTTGGCCATCCTAGGAGTTCCAGGACTTTGTAGCATACAAAGTGAACAGAGATGATTTAAACTTCTTTGTGCCTGTTTTGTTTTGTATGACTAATGGGCTGTTCCCCTGGCCTTGATTTGCCAGATTTGCATTCCTTCAGAGCATCATCCCCTCCTGGGAACTACCGTACTAGATTCCAAACTGAAGCTCAATTGCAAAAATTCTACACAATTTGCGCTTTCCCTCTTTAAAGGAGAACTGGAAGTGTGAACAAGCATTTCCCAAATCCTCAATCTATGGAAGACAGGATAAGAAAGGCTCCTTCCCTGTCAGCCCCCTTTTCCCAGGTTCAAGGCAGTAGAGAACCTGTGTATCAGAGAAGTCTTGCCAATAAGATCCATGTGATAGAGGCCTTCAGAGCACCCACCTTTATAGGCATTCCAGAATGATTCAATAAAATCTGCCACTTACCAGCCTTTGGGGAAGAAAAATATAGTGATTTCTTTTTTAATCATTAAACTTTGTTTTAGTGGGATAGTAATTGTTTTTATTCTTTTGTAGCATATCTGTCACCACCACCACTATCTCAGTGAACAAAAAGAGTGTTACTTAAGCTTAGCTAACTAACCTTCAGGGAATATTTAATTTAATTCCTGTTTGCTCTTCCCTAGGGCTTTGTTTTGCTTCCCATGGCATTAGTTTGCCAACTCTTGTTATTTTTGGCCTTCTCTTATAACCCTTGCTGTTTTGTACACTCCCTGAGGATTAGGGCAACATCGTACTCACCTTTGGATCCTCTACCCTTGCCCCATTTGCCTGCCATTTTCACTTATCCTTCAAAGTCCTTTGCAGGTGACACCTGCTATCTCTGAGAAGGCTTCCCTGGCAGCCCCAAATGTCTTCCTCTGATCTACTTCTACACCTTGACTAACTTTTGTTATAGAACTTTCTGTATATTATTGAAAATATCTGCTGATTTGTTTGTCTTCCCTCTATACTTTTTCCTTGGGAGCCAAGTCCATATGCTTAATAACCATTTGTCAAAGGGAACTTTAGTGCCTAGTGGAAGGTGCCCAGTTGAATGCCTTTTACATAGAAGATTCTCCCCATAGTTTGTTCAGTTAGTTGCTGAAGCCACTAAATATTGGGCATATTGTTATAGAATGCTCCTTGTTGACCTTCAGGTTTCAGTGTATTCATTCACTCAACAAATATTTGAGTGCCTACTATGTGCCTACACCCTTACTGAGCCAGAGACATACATTCCTTTAGGAATGTATTTAGCTACTAAAACATTCCTAGTCTAGGTACTGGAGATACATCAGTGAACACAACTGACAAAAACGCCTGCACGCAATGGAAGTTCTATTTTAGTGGAGCAAATCAAACACTAAACAAAATAGGTAAAGAGAATATATAGTATGTTAGATGGTGATAATTGCTATAAAGGAAAATAAAGGTGGAAGATAGAGAGTATTGGTGCAGGAGAACTTAAATCCACCCCCCACCCTGCCCCAAGATGTGTATTCCTGTAAGTTCTTTTTTTAAGAATTCAATTTTAAATCTTATCTGGAAAGATATCACTGAAACAGTGACGTTTCAATAAAGACCTGAGAAAGTCATGAATACTGAAGGAGGAGAGTGTTCCAGGAAGGGGAACAGAAGGTGTAAAGGCCCTCAGACTTTCCATTGCTGTGCTTTCCATTGTTTGAGGGCCCCATTAGAGAGGGTTTTAAGCAGATGAGTAACATAATTTGACTTCTACAGCTGCTCTTTGACTTACGATGAGGTCGCATTGGGATAAGCCCATCATAAATTGAGATACTTTCAACTTAACAATAGTTTCATCTGAACATAAAGTCAAGGATCATGCTGAAGGCATATCACTTTTGCACTGTTGTTTTCTGTCAAGCAGTCTATATTTTCAAAGGAGCATTCTTGTAGCTACTATTGAGACTAAACATGGGGATGGTGGCAAGGGCAGAAATAGGGAGATAAATTGGAAGTCAGTTGCAACAGCTCAGGAGAGAAATATATCCTATATCCTTCTGAGTGAGTCCAGTATCAAGTCTGGTCTTTGAACGACTAGTTAACTCTAAGACTTAAGAGCCAGCAAAGGAGACTGGGGAGTGGCTGGGAGAGTAGGAGGAAAACCAGGAGGAGGTGGTGTCATGGGAGTTAAGGGAAGGCTAGGAAAAGTTCACGACGTCACCAAATGCTGAGAGGTCACTTAAGGGAAAGAGAGGCTGCCAAGGGTCCTTTGAGTTTTGTAGTTAGGTCATAGTTGACCTCGGCAATAGAAATAATTTTAAGAAAATTCATGCCAAACTATACAAACCAAAGTTTCTGTTTGATAATAGTTTTTATAATAAGGATGCAAATTAAAGTGGTGTTGTTTTGGGGACAGGGTCTCACTCTGTCAGCCAAGCTGTAGTGCAGTGGCACGATCACAGCTTACTGTAACCTTGACCTCTTGGGCTCAAGCGATCCTCCCCACCCCAGCTTCCCTCGGAGCTGGGACTGCAGGCACATGCCACCATGCCTGGCTAATTTTAAAAAATTTTTCTAGAGTTGGGGTCTTGCTGTGTTGCCCAGGCTGGTCTCAAACTCCTGGGCTCAAGCAATCCTCCCACCTCAGTCTCCCAAAATTAAAATGTTTTGATCACCTGTGATATACCAGGCCTTGTCCTAATTTGAATTTTAATCTTAATTTTTACAAAACCCTATAAGGGCAGTACAGTACATTATCTCTATCAATGGGGAAACCTCAGTTCAGGGTCTTGCCTAAGTCTGCTTCCAGAGCCAGTACTCTCAACCATTAAGCGGAAGCCACCTGTGTAATGAAGCTACTGAAACATACATTATAAAGCAGAAATGCTGGACTGATAACAGCAATATGGTTGAACCATGGTACTTTTATAGCATCTACCTTTCTAGAGCCCCTTGAACATAAATGTCATCTGTGTTTGTTGCTGTTGCTACCCCATCACACTGCCACATCCTGTCTTTTTACCTCCTTTCCTGCTTATATGAAGGTGCATTCATACACTGTCCTTAGACACACCTCCTGTCATCTGCAGTGTCACACACAAAGTTAGCAACATCCATGGTCAGGGAAAATTGCTTGAAAACAGCCTTATTCACAAATATACACATACAAAATTGTCATCCATTAAGATTGTCTGTTTTTCTTTGTGCTTCTGTAGACAGTCTTCTTTTGGGGGTGGCTCACGTGTTTATGTACACAGATTTTCTCATACCATATGTCACACTCCTGTGCTTGAGGCCCATTACAGACACCCTTACTGAGCCAGAGACATACATTCCTTTATCTGTTTAGCAGAGGCAGTGGAGGCAGTGGTGGTGAGCTGCATAGCAGCCAGCAGCAGTTACAGTGATGGCAGTGGCTTGTTTATCCCACTGCTCAGCAGAATGCAACCCTTTTAAAAAAAGACCAGAATGATCTGAGATGCCAAGGCTTAAAGAGAATTCTTGGTTCTCAGCTTCATAAAGGACCATCTCAGTGATGAATAACAGCATCTTCACTGCTGTTATTAGGCAGCCCTTCTCCCTATCTATCTTTGCTGAAAAAGTGAGGAAAGGAGAGACTCTGTGTCATGTGGAGTGTCTCTTTGTGATGAATTGTATCTCAGATGGGAGAGGGAGGGTGAGGGGCTATGGCAACCTGAGTCTTTTTTTTTTTTTTTGAGACGGAGTCTCACTCTGTCGCCTAGGCTGGAGTGCAGTGGTGCGAACTCGGCTAACCTCCACTTCCACCTCCCAGGCTCAAGGGATTCTCCTGCCTCAGCCTCCCAAGTAGTTGGGATTATACGTGTGCCCCATCATGCTTGGCTGATTTTTGTATTTTTAGTAGATACAGGGTTTCACCATGTTGGCCAGGCTGGTCTTGAACTACTGACCTCAAGTGATCTGCCTGCCTCGGCCTCCCAAAGTGCTGGGATTACACAGACGAAGTTGCATAAACTCATATGAATGCATGAAGTGCAAGGAAGAGACAGCACGATATAAGGCCATATATAAAAGGGACAGATTATTGTATATGTGTGTGTACATGTAAGAATTGTTATGATATACTGAGGAGCCCATTGTGGCAAATAGTGCTGAGCCATAAAAGTTCTTGCCAACCTACTGCAATTGTCCAACCTGCAGGATCCTGGGACTGAACACATCTGGACAGTTCTCTGTATTGTTAGGCCATGGCAGGTAAATTTTTGACCCCTTGACATCATAAAAGCCTCCATACCATCTTCACCAAGACACCTAAGGAATCAGAACCCAGTTGTCTGTAGCAGTCCAGGTGATATTTGAGGGTAGGCTGTTTTGCATAATGGTTAAACCTGAGACATCCTAGTTAAACTTTTCGACAGTTTCTCATCTGTAAAATGGAGACAATAGTATTCACTTCAAACATTGGCAGCACTGAGACAGCACATGTCAAATTGCTCAGCATGGTCTCTAACATGGAGTTAGCTATGTTGATATAACTGAATAAACAAGTGTGTGCCCTACAGCCCATCTTTACCAAGGCTGAGATGTTTTTTTCACAAGGTTCTCTCCCTACTCCCCTTCCTCATCAGAAAGAAGTTAGCTTTGCATTGGCCTCTTCCCCAGCAAGACTACTTATTAGCTCTGGGAGGGTGGGCAGGACATTCCTTCATCATCTTCCGTTGGTTTAATTCTCTTATTTGACCTGAGGAGACAAGAATTGAGAACATATAAAGGCATTTATATTGCCATATCAGGCTGCCCAGTAAAAAATTCTCTCTATTCCAATGTAAATTTTAAAACAATTTTATTAGTATGTCCTTTGGCCTTTCAAGTTGGGGGGAAAAATCAAAACCAGTATTCTGTACTAGAAAAATCTAACTGACATTTGTCTTACATTTTGTCATCCCAGCCAAAGTTAGGTAATCAAATGGAACTTTAAGAACTAAGCTTTACTGAACAAACTGTGCCTTAAAATACACTTAAACTGAGGCGCGGTGGCTCATGCCTGTAATCCCAGCATTTTGGGAGGCCGAGGTGGGTGGATCACCTGAGGTCAAGAGTTCAAGACCAACCTGGCTAACATGGCAAAACCCCATCTCTACTAAAAATACAAAAATTAGCCAGGCATGGTGGCACGCACCTGTAGTCCCATCTACTCAGGAGGCTGAGGCAGGAGAATCACTTGAACCTGGGATGCAGAGGTCGCAGTGAGCCGAGATTACACCACTGCACTCCAGCCTGGGTGACAGAGCGAGACTCTGTCTCAAAAAACAAAAACAAAAACAACACATTAAAACTACCTTTGCTGTCTACAAGCCGCTCGTATTTAGTTCTATTTCTTCAACTGCCTGGCTTTTTCCCTTATCTTCACCTGGATAACTCCTGCCTGTTCTTCAAGACTCAGATGTCGTTCTCCAGGAAGCCTTTCCTAATGTCTTTTCCCTGGAAATATACATTTTTAAAAGTTAGATATCTTTACTCCAAGAAACCTGTATTTATTCTGTCTACAACAGTTTCTTCCTCTGCAGTTTTTGTACTTGTCTCTTCCTTTAGACACTGAACCCGCTAAGAGCAGGGATTAAACTTCATTCATTTTTTACATTGCCAATGCCTGCTATAAAGAATCACATAAATGTGTGAATGAGGTTAAGTTTACACCTTATTCCTGCTCGGTGTGTATTATTTAGTTTATGAGGACATCTTGTGGCTAGATCATTTATTGCTATAAACAGACGATCATAGGCCAGGCGCGGTGGCTCACGACTCTAATCCCAGCACTTTGGGAGGCCAAGGTGGGTGGATCACCTGAGGTCAGGAGTTCGAGACCAGCATGGTGAAACCTCATCTCTCCTAAAAATACAAAAATTAGCTGGGTGTGGTGGCATGTGCCTGTAATCCCAGCTACTTGGGAGGCTGAGGCGGGAGGATTGCTTGAACCTGGAGGGCAGAGGTTGCAGTGAGCCGAGATCAAGCCACTGCACTCCAGCCTCAGCAACAGAAAAGGACTTCATCTCAAAACAAAAAACAAACAAAAAAACAAAAAACAAAAAACCCAACAACAAAAATCCTGTTCTAAAATTTATTTTTGACATTGATTTACCTGTTTTGCAAAACATGACATAATATTGTTTAGGATGTTTTATATCGCGTGGTTCTGTTTTCCTTCAGGGCCTTCAACAATAAAACCACTAAATAGGTGGTTTGTGAAACTCTCAAATGTCTTCCTGGTGGGAGTCATACCTAGAGGTTACTCATATATAGTTAGTGATTGGGAGATGTGAAGGTGGAAAGACCTACATCTACATCTCAGTTTCCATCACATCTTGGGTGATCTTGAAAATAAATCACTCTGAATTTAAGTTCTCTGCAAAATGGATGTTGTCTCTTCCTTACTATATAGTATATGTAAAGTGCTTGGCACAGTGCCTAGCATATCAAAGTGCCTAATAAATGGTACTTATCTAGAATATAACCAACCATTTAATGCTTGAGACATCCCCCTACTCCCAAACACAACAGACACACCAAATACTCATCCATATTCTTCCTGAACACCTCTAGTGAGGGTGGAAATTACTGTTTTGGATGCAGCACATTCCACTCACAGCTCAGCTCTAACTTATACCATGATATTATACCCTGATGGTTTTTCCTAGTAATTTAAACACAAATATATAAGAAAACTTACCTTTCCATAAGTTGCCTTTTTAAAGATGTTTGATATAAAAATCATAAATTCTTTTTTTTTTTGAGACTGAGTCTCCCTCTGTCATCCAGGCTGGAGTGTAATGGCATGATCTCAGCTCACTGCAACCTCCACCTCCCGGGTTCAAGCGATTCTCCTGCCTCAGCCTCCTGAGTAGCTGAGATTACAAGGGCACGCCACCACACCCGGCTAATTTTTGTATTTTTAGTAGAGACTGGGTTTCACCATGTTGGTAAGGCTGGTCTCAAACTCCTGATCTCGTGATCCACCTGCCTCAGCCTCCCAAAATGCTGGGATTACAGGCGTGAGCCACCGTGCCCAGCCAAAAATCATAAAATTTTAAATGCATTGTTGCATATGTTTATCTTTCATGTAATACTTTTTCCTTATACTTACTATAAATGGGCCAAAACCTTAAAAGCAGTAACTTACTTTGCTGGATTTTATTGTTACATTTACACTTTATACTAACATGGGTTTATAGTATAAAAGTTTTTTTTAAATGCTAGTAACTCAATGACTGAATTTGTCTTTTAAGTTGAACTGTTCATTAAGTGACTTAAAATGTTATTATTCTGCTTGTACAAAACTAGGAAACAACAAATTAAACCTATAATGAGTTAACAGATCTCAGCTGGGTGGCTTTGTTGGCGTCAAAGTTCCAATGAGATAAATGCTAGTAACTCAATGACTGAATTTGTCTTTTAAATTGAACTGTTCATTAAGTGACTTAAAATGTTATTATTATTCTGCTTGTACAAAACTAGGAAACAACAAATCAAACCTATAATGAGTTAACAGATCTCAGCTGGGTGGCTTTGTTGGCGTCGAAGTTCCAATGAGACATTAAAAAATGCCAGGCGTCATACATATGACTGAAAAGCTCAGACTGAATGTTTAATTTCTGCAGAGGAGTGAAGATCAGCAAAAACTACTATTTTTTCACTAAACACTCCTTTTTCTTTAAAAATAACTTGCATAAGGGTTAATTTCTATCAGAGATTGGCAATTTACTTGAATTTCTGAGTCAACTTTTTTCAGAAGATTCAGTTCAATCCATTGTTCTTCATGGGCTTTTTTGGCTTTTCTAATTCTACAGAATTAATGTTCAGGATTCTTTTTTTTACACTTAGATTACTCTTGTCTCTGCTGCTCCTGGGAAAGTGATTTGTGAAATGAAAGTAGAAGAAGAGCATACCAATGCAATAGGCACTCTCCACGGCGGTTTGACAGCCACGTTAGTAGATAACATATCAACAATGGCTCTGCTATGCACGGAAAGGGGAGCACCCGGAGTCAGTGTCGATATGAACATAACGTATGTATCCAAACTGTATTCCAAATCCCTTCTGTGTGATAACTGTCTAAACAACTGAGACTAAACACATTTATATTATTAGTAACGCATGAGATTCAATTAGCTGCTTATCTCCTTAACTGCACCTATAGATTTTGTCCTAAAATATTCCAGCCTTAAAATCTAGAACTAGAGCAGTTAATTTGCAAGTACAGTGTGTATCAATAGTAAAAAGGGAATGATCCCAAACATTCAAAAGAGCAACATTCAGCTTTTAATGTGTATACTGATGCAGGGGGAAAAATCACAAACTGATGGCTCATAACTGTTTCATACAGTCCTTAAAAGTGCCATTCAGGGCCAGACGCAGTGGCTCACGCCTATAATCCCAGCACTTTGGGAGGCCGAGGCAAGAGGATTGCTTGAAGCCTGGAGTTCAAGACCCCCATCTCTACAAAAAATAAATATTATTTAATTTTAAAAATACCACTTATAACACTATGAGGATTGTATTGAGTACATACAATTCAAAGTAAAGTTAGAGTTCATATACACATTATAATCTTACTCTAACAAACTGAACACCATTGCTGGGGTTTTTTTTTTTTTTTGGACACGGAGTCTCCCCATCACCCAGGCTGGAGTGCAGCGGCACAATCTGGCTCACTTCAGCCTCCGCCTCTGGGGCTCAAGTAATTCTCCTGCCTCAGCCTCCCTAGTAGCTGGGATTACAGGTGTGCGCCACCATGCTGGGCTAATTTTTGTGTTTTTAGTAAAGACGGGGTTTCACCATGTTGGCCAGGCTGGTCTTGAACTCCTGACCTCCAGTGTCCACCCACCTCAGCCTCCCAAAGTGTTGAGTTTTAAGAATGGGCAGCAATCCTGGATCTCTCCCTGTGACTACACAGACATGTTCTGTGAGTTAAACTACATGATCAGGGAACAGTGCCCCTCAGGGTCAAACTTCCAAAATGTAAGAAACTCAATTCCAACATAAACTGGTACTACTGCAGCCCCATTCAATAAAGAAAGAGCTGGGCACAGGGATTTAGTTTCAAGACAACTGCTTTTTCCACCTAAGCAACAAAAATGTAACTAACTGAGAGGTCAGGTTGAGAGAGCCATTGTGAGTAGATATGAGGGTAATGGAAATAATGTAGGCTTTTTTTTTTTTTTTTTTTGAGACGGAGTCTCGCTTTGTGGCCCAGGCTGGAGTGCAGTGGTGCAGTCTCGGCTCACTGCAAGCTCCGCCTCCCGGGTTCACACCATTCTCCTGCCTCAGCCTCCCGAGTAGCTGGGACTACAGGCGCCTGCCACCATGCCCGACTAATTTGTTTGTATTTTTAGTAGAGATGGGGTTTCACCGTGTTAGCCAGGCTGGTCTCGATCTCCTCACCTTGTGATCTGCCCGCCTTGGCCTCCCAAAGTGCTGGGATTACAGGCGTGAGCCACCGCGCCCAGCCAATGTAGGCTTTTAAGGAATCTAAATATTTTATCAAGTTTACTTAAGAAACATTCAGTCCCTCTTCATGGGAATAACTTAAATTGAGGGTACAATAAGCAAATTACAAGATGCAGCCAAATGCTCTTTTTGAAATTAAGATGTACAGAAAAGAAAGGCTCTGCTTATGTTACTGGTGTGCATATTCAGCAGTCCTTATTTCATGTGGTAAGAGGTGAGATCAGTAGATGACTTGATTTTCCCTAAAAGTCTCTATTAAGAGCAGAGAGATCTTCAAACCTAGCACTGCATTTCATGATCTACTAAGGTACTTTTGCCTTTAGAACCCTAAGGAATTTTCAGTAAGTCAAACATAGTTTTGGCCTTTCAAATATGTGTTGCCAAAAGCATTGGCCATCAAGAGCTGCCTACGCTTCAAAAACTGATTCACTTCAACAAAAACTAGGACATGGTCTTTCAAAAGTTAGAGATATTTCAAAAGTAAATGAATAATGTTTCAGTCAGTTAACACTTCA
The DNA here is from genome assembly GCF_000001405.40 of Homo sapiens. Classification (NCBI taxonomy): domain Eukaryota; kingdom Metazoa; phylum Chordata; class Mammalia; order Primates; family Hominidae; genus Homo; species Homo sapiens. Next base: position 24,700,024 of record NC_000006.12, read on the forward strand.
TGATTCACTCTTTGATTTACTTGACATGGTACCAAATTTACTCCACCCCTGCACATCAAGTCCTATATTATACAGACTGAGGATGCCTGTTAGACTGTGACTTAGGTTAAAAACAAGCGAGGTTCCAAAACAACAAAAGGGGAAATTTTAGAGTATTACTGACAAAATGTCAATCTCCAAATTCCCCGGACTTAATGTTTACTCATCTGTAGCACAAAGGGTTCCTTATCTTCCCTCAGTTTAAGTTAATGGCTGTTAGCCAAAATTCTTGATTTCTAAGACAAAATTTAGGGAAATAATAAAAACTGGCCAAACTACTACTAAACATACTATTTTTCATTTCTTTACATTGAGGTATGTGAATTAAAGACAAGCCTGTTCTTTCCAGCAATAAGATCCACCTTTTTTTTTTTTTTTTTTTTTTTTTTGTGAGATGGAATCTTGCTCTGTTGCCCAGGCTGGAGTCCAGTGGCGCGATCTCGGCTCACTGCAACCTCTGCCTCCTGGGTTCCTGCCATTCTTCTGCCTCAGCCTCAAAAGTAGCTGAGATTACAGGTGCCCACCACCATGCCTAGCTAACTTCTGTATTTTTAGTTGAGACGGGGTTTCACCACGTTGGCCGGGCTGGTCTCGAACTCCTGCCCTCAGGTGATCTGCCCACCTCGGCCTCCCAAAGTGCTGGGATTACAGGCTTGAGCCATCGTGCCCGGCCAGATCCACCTTTCTTATACCTCCTAGCCATAAATACTGAAGTCTTATTTTGAATATGGCAAAAATACATATCCTTTTTAAAGGTTTCTTTCTAAAAAGCAGAAACATAAAAATAAACTGTAAGGAAATTATTTCCCTTTAAAACATTAACATTTGTTTTAAACAATCCTCATCTCCCCAATTTTTTTTTTAATTAGCTGGAGCCAGCTGAGTTAAAGACAACTTATGATTACAAGTGACTAGGATGTACATCTCTTAAAAATATAGACAGTCCATCATCAAGATTGTAAGGACATCATATCAATTCCTTATAGTTGTTATATTGTCATTTTAGAGTCAAATAAATTGTAAATATGGATAGGACAATATACAGACACCAAGTGATATTTCATCTAAGAAGTTAAGGAGATTAAATGAAAGCTGGAGGAAATCTTTCACCAGCCCCAAATAAATGTGAAGTGGGAAATGTAAAGGGAAAAAAGGGGAGGCAAGAAAACCTCTTCTCACATATTTGGGAAAAGAAACTTGTGTGGGTAAGGAATGGGTAAAATAGAACCTGGTTAGGACCAGCCATTCACATTTGATAGTACAGAAAGCTTACCAATACTACCGTTAAAACTATTTTTAGGAGTAAAATAAGTTACATAGGAACACTGTTGTGAGATGCACACAACTTTCCCTTTGAAAAATTATCTGCTGTTAACTATATTCATTTTCTTTCAAGGTACATGTCACCTGCAAAATTAGGAGAAGATATAGTGATTACAGCACATGTTCTGAAGCAAGGAAAAACACTTGCATTTACCTCTGTGGATCTGACCAACAAGGCCACAGGAAAATTAATAGCACAAGGAAGACACACAAAACACCTGGGAAACTGAGAGAACAGCAGAATGACCTAAAGAAACCCAACAATGAATATCAAGTATAGATTTGACTCAAACAATTGTAATTTTTGAAATAAACTAGCAAAACCAGAAGCAGCTAGAAATATTCTTGGAGGAAAAGGACCTGGATATCAAGTAGGGTAAAGGTGGGGGTGTCTTTTTTCACTTTAAGCATCTTGTTTTCTAATCATGTGTGATAATTGGGTGAAAAATTCTTAGCTCAAAGTGTTTTAAAAACAGGTAAAGCAAAGAAACTAGCAGGACCACTCTCAGTTAAGATTAAAACTAAAGTCCAGTGTTAAGCTAAAGGAGAAATAGAAATTAATGGTTCTAATTCTGTTTGGGCTGCTAGGAACAACAGAAATTTTTCATGGTTCTAGAAGCTGGAAAGTCCTGGGTCAAGGCCCAGCAGATCCTGTTAGGTGAGGGCCCGCTTCCTGGCTCATAGATGGTGCCTTCTCACTGTGTGGTGGAAGGGGCAAGTGAGCCCTCTGGGTTCTCGTTTTTGAAATGGAGTCTCGCTCTGTTGCCCAGGCTGGAGTACAGCAGCACGATCTCGGCTCACTGCAATCTCTGCCCCCTGGGTTCAAGTGATTCTCCTGCCTCAGCCTCCCAAGTAGCTGGGACTATAGGCATGTGCCATCACACCTAGCTAATTTTTGTAGTTTTTTGTAGAAACAGGGTTCACCATGTTGGCCAGGCTGGTCTCGAACTCGTGACCTCAGGTGATCCGCCTGCCTTGGCCCCCCAAAGTGCTGGGATTACAGGTGTGAGCCAATGTGCCCAGCCTGGGTTCTCTTTTGTAAGGGCACTTACTCCAATCTTGAGGGTTCTGCCCTCGTGATCTAATAACTTCCCAAAGACCCCCACCTGCTAATATCACCTTGGGGGTTGGGATTTTAACATACAAATTTAGGGGAAACACATGGAGACCACAGCAATGGCCAATCCTTAGCGAATCTTAGGTCCTTCCCAGATCTAAAATGCCAAGCTACACTTGCATTTCCTTTTTTTAAGATTATGAAACTTCAAAATATATGAACTACAGCCCATATTGAAAAATAAAATAGATTGAGCCATATGCCTAAAAAAGACCTCAAGAAAAGTTTGAGGCTAAGCATGTTAGTGTTACAGGAAATGGTCCAATAGAGGGGGAAGAAAAAAAGCATGCTACTAGCCCCTTTTCTTGTACCGAGAATAAAACCATGCAGATCTCAAACCTCCAAGTCTATAGTATTGAAAAGACCAAGTTCACTTCTCAGAAGTCTCCAAGTTCAGTTGACTGTGGCACTCTGAGACAGCTTCTGTCACTCAGGCTGGAGTGATACAATCACAGCTTCCCATAGCCTCAAAATCCCAGGCTCAAGACATTCTTCCACCTCAGTCTCCTGAGTAGCTGGAACTACAGGCGTGTGCCACCACGCCTAATTTTATTTTTGTAGAAACAAGGTCTCACTGTTGCCCAGCCTCGTCTCAAACTCCTAGGCTCAAGCAATCCTCCTGCCTTGGCCCCCCAAGTACTGGACTTACAGGTGTGAACCACTGCACCCAGCTGACTCTTACTTGATTTCTGTCAGGGAATCTTAATGAACATTTCATGACTAAAGACTAAAAAGGATGCAGCTTTAAGTAAATTTAAGTCAAGTTAACAGTTAAAGACAAATCCTTTCCCTACATTAGATCGCCTGCTGATCTGTCCACTGTGAAAGGGCAGAAGACTCCACAGTAGCAATAGCAGCAGTGAGCATACAGGAGTCCCAGATGTTTACTTCTAGTATTTCCCACTAAAAGGAAGCTGGGCTCCTTGGAGAAACAGCTGACTCCAGGGCTTGAGGCTGGGACAGAAAGGTTACAGTATCTTATGCATGAAAGGAGATGCTCAAAATAATAAAGGCATGCAAATTATGATTTGGAGGGAAAAAATATGAGGCCATAGTGTTTAGGTAGATAATAAATGGCAGAGATAGAACACTCTCTTACAACAAATGCTGTAAATGGACAAAGCATTAGATTTGGAAAATCACTATTTTGTAACCATCATAGTTAAAGACTGGTTTGGGTTTTAGTCTGGAAAGAATCGCCAAGGGAGCTCCTGATAAAGGAACAGGGTATTTGCACATTGCTTCCCAGAGATTGCTAGTAGTAAGTACCACACATAGGGCAAAACCAGGACACCTTGACCAGGCGCTCAAAAGTAACATCAATGAAGAGCAGATGGAGAGTATACTTGAGAAGGGCGTTAAGCATGAATAAACAATTCAAATGCAAAATGAGTAACAATTTACAAGAAAAATTGCCCTGTACTCCAAAAAACATAGAGGTCATGGAACACATAAAGGCTAAGGAACTGTTCCACATTAAAGACAACTGAGAACAACTAAATTCAATGATCCTGTACTCTAGAGGGGGGGATCTAAAACAAGCTACCAAGGATACTGGGACAACAAAACGAATATGGATGATAAAGAGTATCAACATTCCCTGAGTTTGGTAATTTTACTCTAGTTATATGAAATATTCTTGTACTTGGAACATATGCCGAAGTACTAAGGAAGGGGTAAGGAAGCACAAAGTGTGCAACAAACTCAAATAGCTCACAGGTATAAGTGTACAGAGAAAATGAAAAAAATGTGGCAAAATAATAAAAATGAGGGTAAAGATTACACAACAGCTTTCATATTACTCTGGTAACTTTTCTAAATTATTCCAAAATAAAAACGTAAACAATGGCTGCCAAAATGCCTAACTTGGTGAACATAAGTGTAATTCAATATGGTAAATTAATTCAACATGGTAAATTAAGAGCATAGGCCTTAAGAGCCAGCCAGCCTGGTTTTAAATCCTCCACTACTTATGATCTGAGCTTGAGCAAGTTACTTAACCTCTGCATCTATTTCCACCAAAGGTTGAGAGGTTAAGACAAGAGCTTAGAAGAGTACCTGGTTATAATAAACATTCAAAATGTTATTTCAAATAGATTCTAATTTTTAAATAAGAGGACACATGAAAGCATTTTGAAATTTAAGAATGGCCCTTTCCCATGAAGCAAGGCATAAGGCCAGGTTGCTAACTGTTGAAAGCTGACAGTATGTTCTTGATTCCTGTTCTTGTTGAAGTTACACACTCAATTGCCAGGTATTTTTCTTCTGAATTTACTATTTAGCCACAGACTATGAAATAATTCTCTAAGGTGACCAGTAACATCAGTGAAATGGAAAGAAAAAGTTAACACTTCAAACTTTGTGTATTCACCTGAATAGTCAGGGAACTTTCACCTATTTTATTTAGGTTTTCTTTTTCTTTTTTTCTTTTTTTTTCAAATTCCAACCAGAAGCTAAATACAATTGGAAACTGGTAAGCACTAGTTTTACTCCAAAGGAGTAGGATCATTCAGATTTACTCCAATAAAAGTATGCAACCCTTAAGCAAAGCTTTTCTTCATTTAAAAGGAGAAAAAAAAAAAAACCTATACAGTAGTCTTTCCTTATGTTCATTGCACAAAATGAGTTCTGCTTTTAGAACTTTGACACTCAATGGTTAATTTTACAATTTAAGATTCCAACTTTATAACCTTTTTTCTACTCCAAAACACCCTTGTAAAGTTTTTCTTTAGGATGGTGTAAAAACCAGCATTTCTGCACAATTCACTGGAATTTTTTTCTTTGTAATAAAAATCTCTTCTCTGTAAAACCAAAAACAAAACAAAACAAAACAAAACAAAACCAAAAGAAAAGTCCTCTACCTATCATGGTTTCTGCAGCTATGCATGTATTTCTGTTTTATAGCTGCTTTATAGCTACTTCAGACTCCAGATCTGCTTTAATGTGTATAACTGCATCCACACGCAGCAGAATACTCTTACAATAGCAACTTGGGGAAAGAGATCTGGAAAAAAAAAATACATGAGTACCAGGAAACAAACATGGCCCAGTAAAATATGAGGCAAAAATGCCTACAATGAGATGCGTTTTTCATTTAAGATTTCTTTCCCATGGTTGTATTTTCTTTTTTTAAACCAGTTCTGGTCATTAGAATGTATCTGACAGTGCTCTGGAACAACTGTGATTATAGCAAAGTTATTGTTTTTAAAAATGTTATTTATACCTGTTACATTCACTTCTCACCCTCTAAATACTGATGACAGATGTCAAAGAGGCAAAAACCAGCACAAATGGGAAGACCATAAAAATGAGTATCACCTTGTGCTTTCAGATACATTTAAGCATTTCAGTGTACAATAGTCCTTTCATTTCACATTTTTAGTAAGATACTGATGCAGTGCAGCAAATATGCAAAGCATCTTCTTTCACACAGTCCGTGCACGACATCTAATTTTTGTTTAAGTTCTGAGATAAAAATGATTTAAAAAAATCCAGGATGAACAAGTTTCAAAATGCATAGTGTTCTGTGCATGAGTCCATTTTCTTTAAACTCTGAAAGAATAAAGTGGTAAGAAAACAAGAAAAAAAACTGCTGCTGCATTCTCTGATCTTCTCCATTTTGCTGGTCAGTACTCTACTCTGGCATATAAGGACGGAGGTGATCCTCTATGGTGCCAACTGCCCAGTGGGTGAGCTGTTCCTGTGGCAGGTAGAGGCAGATGCTGCATAACTTGAAGATTGTAGCTTTGTTTTTTGGAGTCTGGAAGGGGAAAACATTTTAATATTTTTTAAAAATAAGACTTTAGCGTAACTGTCACATGAAGTCCATTTCCCACAATTTATTAAACATCTTAACATACAGAGTAAGGGACAAATTGTAGTCCCTATCCATATTCTAGACAGACAAAATCTTGCCATATAAGATAAAGGAAAAATTTATGCAGAATTAGAAGATAAAAAGTTAGGGAAGTAAACCAGAGACTACTTGCTAGAAGAAATTAAAGCTAAAGGCATTTCATGGGGACAGATTTTGAGAAGTTTGAAGTCATTTTTATATAGAGGAAGATAAAGCAGATGTGGTAAGAATAGAAGCTAGTGAGAGGATGAAGGAATAGGTAAAAATTTAAGGCTGGGTGTGGTGGCTCAGACCTGTAATCCCAGCACTTTGGGAGGCTGAGTCAGGAGGATTGCTTGAGCCCAAGAGTTCAAGACCATTCTGGGCAACATGACGAAAACCCATCTCTACAAAAAATATAAAAATTAGCTGGATGTGGTGGCACACGCCTGTAGTCCAGCCACTCGGGAAGCTGAGGTGGATAACCTGCGCCCAGGAGGTCAAGGCTGCGGTGAGCCATGATCCATATGCCAGTGTACTCCAGCGTGGTGACAGAGTTGAGACCTTGTCTCAAAAAATAAATAAAAGATTTAAGCATATCCTGGGGTAAGGGACTAGAAAAAAGCCAAAGTATTACCAGTTAAATCAAAACCCTTATTTTTAAAAAGTAGTTACCATTTGAACATCCAACTTAATTACAAAGTTCATCTTTTCTTCACTATCTAGCACCTCTAAAAGGCAAAATAAGGACTCTGACTTTGAAGATGTCTGAAGTAGCCTACAAATGTAAATAAACCTATACATATGTAATATACTTTACTTGTATTAGTTAATTTTAAATGTAACAACCTTACGTTAAATTTAACAACCTTAGGATTATCATTTGTTCAATTTCACAGAAGCAACATGCTCACAGCAGTTACCTGTCCAAGATCATACAGCCAGCAAGTGGCTGCATCTAAAAACTAAATTGCAATACTTGGATTGCTGCTTAACTGGGAAGTGGTTATTTGTTGTTGGCGGTGTTTTTTTTTTTTTTGAGATGGGGTCTCGCTGCATTACTCAGGCAGGAGTGTGTTGGTGCCATGGCTCACTGCAACTCTAAACTCCTGGGCTCAAGTGATTCTCCCCTGCCTCAGCCTCCAGAGTAGCTAGGACCACAGGAACACGCCACAATGTCCGGCTAATTTCTTTGATTTTTTGTAGAGATGTCGTCTCACTCTGTTGCCCAGGCTGGTCTTGGACTCAAGCAATCCTCCCCCATCGGCTTCCCAAAATGCTAGGATTACAAGTGTGAGACACTGTGCCCAAATGGAAGTGCTTATTTGAAATAAATGTGGATCTTTTAAATATATGTCCCTCATCCTTTTAGATTTAAAAAGTCAGCCGGTTGCGGTGGCTCACGCCTGTAATCCCAGCACTTTGGTAGGCCAAGGCAGGCAGATCATGAGGTCAGGAGATTGAGACCATCCTGGCTAACATGGTGAAACCCTGTCTCTACTAAAATACAAAAAAAAAAAAAAATTAGCTGGGCGTGGTGGCGGGCACCTGTAGTCCCAGCTACTCGGGAGGCTGAGGCAGGAGAATGGCGTGAACCCGGAAGGTGGAGCTTGCAGCGAACTGAGATTGCGCCACGGCACTCCAGCCTGGGCGACAGAGACTCCCTCTCAAGAAAAAAAAAAACGTCCAGGTCAGTGCTTCTGGAAACAAAGTGTGTTTCAAATCACCTGAGGGTTCTGTTTAAAGTGCAGACTCTGATTAGTAGAGCCTGAGAGTCTATATTTTTAACAAGTTCTCAAGTGATGTTCATCCATTGCCCACACATCTGGTAGACACGCTTTAGGGCAATAGTTCTCACTACTGTTCACTAGAATCATGACTTTTAAAAGCTTCGAAGGAGGTGGGTTTTTTCCCGTTTAAAAAAAAAAAAAAGGCTTGCCAGGTTGCTGTAACATGCAGCAAAATTTGGGAACCATTGTTCTACAGTGAGGCCTGGGAAATACTTTTTTAAAAATTCATTTTATTTTTTGAGACAGGGTCTCGTTCTGTCATTCAAGCTGGAGTGCAGTGACAAGATCTCACTGTAGCCTCCTAAGCTCAAGCAATCCTCCCCCTTCAGCCTCCCCAGTAGCTGGGACTACAGGCACACGCCACCATGCCTGGCTAGTTTTTATATTTTCTGTAGAGATGGGGTTTCGTCATGTTGCCCAGGCTGGTCTGGAATTCCTGAGCTCAAGCAATATGCCCGCCTCGGCTTTCCAAAGTGCTGGGATTACAGGCATGAGCCACCATGCCCAGCCTATTTTTTGCTTTTTAAATAACTTCAAAAATAATGCAGTGTTTGGGGGACACAACAATTAAGTAACTTGTATATAAAACGTTTACTAACCAATAAGTTTTTGAATGAGCCTGTAAGTGGTTTTCAAAAAAGCTGCTTACCTGCAAGTGCTGTCTGTCAATGAAGAGAAACACTGACTGGTTAGGATTGTTGACAACGATTCCAGTCTTGTCCTTGCGGCTCAGTACATGCAGAAACTGTTTTTCATAGTCACCATGATGAAACTCAAATTTGGCCTAATTACAAAATACAACATTTATATTAAACTACAAACAAGTTATACTACCTATCTGCATCTATATGCTAGCTGTGCTGTCCAATAAAGCAGCCAACAGTCCGTTATCTTTTCCTCTTTAAAAAAACAAATTTTGGCAAACCCACAGCCAATAATATCACAGGCAAAATTTAGATTAAAAGCAATTTACAATTCCATTCTTCAGTAGCACTAGCCACATTTCAAATGCTCAACGGTCACATGACTACTGGCCACCATTAAGAACAATCTCTTGAGATACAGAACATTTCCTTAATTGTAGAGAATTCTATTGGACAGTACACTCCACAACAGCAGTTGATCAGGAAATGCTCTGCATCAAAATGACTAAATCCTAGTACTCCACGATCATAAAATTGTATTTTCAAACCTACTCAGTCCAAGACTCCCACCATAGTACTTTAAGCCCCAAGGACATCTCTTTTCTTTTGATTAGGAGTCACATTGTTAATTGCTGTTTCTAAGAAAAAAAAAAAATAAATCTGTTTATTCTAACCCTAGCTGCACAACTCACTAGTTACGTGACCGTATGCAAATCCCTTAAACTTCAGCTTCCTCATCTATAAAATAAGGCTGTAACCCATTTCACAGGACAGTTAAGAGGGTTAAATGAAATGTAAAGCCCACAACTGAAATATAGTTTTGCTCCTCATAGATAGGCTATGTTTTTATGTGAATTTTTCCCACAGTTAGCCTTGGGTCATTCTCAAAAATTTGTGAAGTTATGAAAGACTGTTATCAATTAAGTCAGAACACTCCCTTCAATCTTTTAACATGAGGAAGATCAACTCCATCCTCCCACAAAATATCTGTTGGGCATGGTGAGACACCAAATGCTACATGACATGACCAGGCTTGATGGAGAATTCAAGAAACCTAGATTTAACAATATGATATTTAGACAATACTGAGTTGTACAAATAATTGTTAGTCCATTTTGGTTCAAACAAATTTTATTGCCGTTACGTCAAAAACAGTAGGAAATAATAACATTGAAAAACCAAGTTCCTGCTATGTAGCATTTTATACCTAGGAGCTTTTCTTATAAACCGTAACATAAAATATGATACAGCATCACAATATACCATATGTAAAATGATACTGAATTGTACTTCCATACAATTCAAATATTAAATTATTAGTATGATCATAAGCATATCAAAAGCATGCTATTAGCTACTAAACAATAGGAATAAGGTTACTTCAGCCTTAAGGGGCTTATTATACTGCTGAAGAGGACAAGTACAGCCAAATATAAAACCCAACTTGCTTCAAATCCTTTCCCAGAATAAGATGTGGTTATCTGTAAAACTCCAATTTTTTTTTTTTTTTTGAGACGGAATTTCGCTCTTGTTGCCCAGGCTGGAGTGCAATGGCGCGATCTCGGCTCACTGCAACCTCCGCCTCCTGGGTTCAAGCGATTCTTCTGCCTCAGCCTCCCAAGTAGCTGGAATACAGGCATGCACCACCACGCCCAGCTAATTTTGTGTTTTTAGTAGAGATAGGACTTCTTTATGTTGGTCAGGATGGTCTCAAACTCCCGACCTCAGGTGATCCATCTGGCTTAGCCTCCCAAAGTGTTGGGATTACAGGCGTGAGCAACCGCGCCCGGCCCAAATTGGGTTCTTATCATCAAACCACTATAGGAGAAAAAAAAAAAAGTAACAGTAAGTAACACGGGAACATTATGATTTTGGATTGCGCCTTTAAAGATTAAGAGGATTTCCCCAGGACAAAGTAGTAATGGTAAGTAATCTGATAAACGCTGACTGGGCATGGTGGCTCAGACCTATAATCCCAGCACTTTGGGAGTCCAAAGCGGGAGGATCACTAGAGGCCAGGAGTTTGAGACCAGCCCGGGCAACACAGTGAGATCCTATCTCTACAAAAATAATTAGTTGGGCATGGGGTGCACACCTGTGGTCCCAGCTACTCATGAGGTTGAGGTGGGAGGATCACTTGGGCCTGGGAGTTCAAGGCTGCAGTGAGCCATGACTATGCCACTGCACTCCAGCCTGGATGACAGAGTAATACCCCATCTCACCATCTCAAAACAAAACAAAAAAAACAGCCATACTAGGAAACAGAACCAACACAAAAACAAATGTGTTAAAAACTGAAATACTATTCAAGTAACAAAGCTGCAATATGGTAAGCAACCAGGGTGGGTGCAAGAACCGGTAACCACACTGAAAAAAGGTTTGAGTGAGACTGAAAAAGGCCTTCCTTATAGTTCTTTAGCATTTCAATTCTATCATATTGAATATCCACTTATCTGAAAAGAAATGGTACACACACACACACACAAACACACACACACAACTTCTCATAAGCAGCATGAAAGAAGTAATTCCCACAGAAGTAACGAAATATTCTAACAGTCAGGGGAGGAGCTAACCTTGGCAGTAGCATTAATAATGAAGAGAAAAGAAGAGATACATTTTAGTAGTACCTCCCAGCACTTCACAGTACACTGAAGAACTCAGTATTTAAAAACAATCCTTATTCTGGTTCCGATTATATCCTCACTACCCATATATTCAGGTTTTACAGTGCTTCAAAAGGCCAGGCACGGTGACTCACACCTGTAATCTCAGCACTTTGGGAGGCTGAGGCAAGAGGATCACTTGAACCTAGGAGTTCAAGACCAGCCTGGGCAACAAAGTGAGACCCCATCTCTACAAAAAATTAATTAAATTTTAAAAATAAGTAAAGTGCTTTAAGAGTCAAAAAACAAAAAACAAAAAAAAGAGGCCTGCAAGTTAACATTTACCATTCCTTTTCTCATTTTCTTTGAGAAAGAACTGAGTGAGTTATATTTAAGGCCCCTCATATAGGATATTCACACATTTTAAATTACTTCAGAAAAGCAAATTAGTTCTTACAATATTAACCTACTTACTGCAGTTGAATTCTAAAGTCATTACCTACATCATACTGCTTACACTCAGTCCAGAATTTTAAGATTCTATAATTAATATAGGTAAATTTTCACAGTACAGGGTAGTGAGTTAAAAGCACAGTCAGTCCAGGCTTTTATCCTATTTAACTGCCTTGGGCCTTATTTACCTAATTTCTGTCTCAGTTTCTTCCTATCTACCCAGTTATTTTAAGGACTGAGATTAAATATATATAAAGTAAGAGAAAGTCTAAGGCCAAGTGTGGTGGCTCATACCCGTAATCCCACCACTTTGGGAGGCCAAGCCAGGCAGATCACTTGAGGTCAAGGACACCACCCTGGCCAACATAGCAAAACTCCGTCTCTACAAAAAAAATACAAAAATTAGCTGGGTGTCATAGCATGCGCCTATAATCCCAGCTACTCAAGAGGCTGAGGCACAAGAACGGCTCAAACCTGGGAGGCAGAGGTTGCAGTGAGCCAAGATCACGCCACCACACTCCAGCTTGGGCGACAGAGCAAGACCCTGTCTCAAAAAAAGGACGGGCATGGTGGCTCATACCTGTAATCCCAGCACTTTGGGAGGCCGAGGCGGGTGAATCACGAGGTCAAGAGATCGAGACCATCCCGGCCAACATGGTGAAAACCCGTCTCTACTAAAAATACAAAAATTAGCTGGGCGTGGTGGCATGTCCCTGTAGACCCAGCTACTCGGGAGGCTAAGGCAGGAGAATCATTTGAACCAGGGAGGCGGAGGCAGAGGTTGCAAGGAGGAGGAGGTTGCAGTGAGCCAAGATCACACTACTGCACTCCAATCTGGCAACAGAGTGAGACTCTGTCTCAAAAAAAAAAAAAAAAAAAAGCTGAAACTAGTACAGTCAACTCTCAATAAACATCAGCCATGACTTCAAAGAGTACTATTTGACACAAGACTAAAGTTAACTCAACTATTTCAAATAAGGTCCCAGTGGGAAAGGCAGGGTATTAGAAATTTGAAAACATACTGTAATAAGCAGACCTACATTTTTCCAGTGGGAAATCCTTAACTAAAAAACAACAAAATCCTAACACCACCTCCAGAGAGCAGCTAGAGTTATCAGCCCTGCGCTGAGAACTTTAAACATGCCTTTTCTATTCCTGTTTTCATGCCTTTTATATTCATTTTCTCCCTTCAGTCAGATATCATCCATTAAATGACCGAAATACAGATGCTCCACGACTTGTGATGTTACATCCTGATAAACCCAGTGTAAGTTACACGTATTTTAAATCAAAAAGTGACTTTTGAACTTACAACAATTCCAATTTACAATGACTTCACCTGGATGTAGTCCCATCATAAATCGAGGAGCACAATGAATTCATATGGCTTTCACATCATGGTAAAGTTGAAAAAATCTTAAGTCGAACCATTATAAGTCAGGGGAATCTGTATACAGTACTTTCTTATGTATGTAACCAATGGATTATTTTTAAAACTTAGTTGAATTAATCTTAAAACATTAAAAATGATAATTATTAGAGCTTATGTGTAGCAACATTACCATGGGGCGGGAGAGTATATCAATTTATACAGTCTGTGAAAAACATAAGCACCACAAAGATACTTCAGGGTAATAAGTAGAAGCAAAAGTTTTAAATGACAAATAATCCTCACAATTAGCTTAAAATAAAGAAGCCTTCTAATATTTGATTTAGTGTACTTAAAATGAGTCCTTAATATCATTTTTCTGATTATAAAAGTATACTTAAGAAAATCGTGGCAATCTATGCCATAAATTATAAAGGAAACACAAATGTAAATATATATATTAAAAAAGGAAAGTTAGCTATACCTGACCTACAACTAAGCATAATTAACACTTTGGTGGACCTCCATCTTCTATGCATACAAATATACTGTAAATAAAACTAGGTTCAACATGAGTAAATGCCCTTAACACTAGAGGGGGGATTCACTTGAGCAATGTCTAGTATACCATGACAAACAGTCAAAAGTCAGCAAGATTTTAAGGTTAAGAATGACTACTAAATTTACTTCTTTCTTCTATAATTTTATATACAGATCAACTTCTACAAAATGATTTCTTCACCCATTTCAGATCACATTCCTTTGGGAAGCAGCAGTTAAATATACGGTTTTAGAAGGATGTGTGGTGAAGGCTTCAAGAGTTACAGATCTCAGAAGCTCATCTGTGGGCCCCTCTATAAATCAGTAAATGTCCACTTTAAAAGATTTTCTCTAGTCATAATTTCAAAGCCACACTGGGCAGGTGGAACCACCACACTGTCAAGAGATTCTATAATCCAAACGCTTTCTTCTCTTGCATCACAATATTCTAAATAGGGGAGACTCGTGAAATAAAACTATCAGAAACCATTTTCCCAAAGAATTTCTCAAGTTAGACCCTATTATATTCTAGTAGTTTTCACATATTGAAATACTCATCACACTTTAGACCAAAATACCTGAACAGGCCTAAAAGGCTCATCAGATTCTTTCCACCTAGAAAACAGGAGACAGACGATTTTTTCAATATCATTCCGAGGCCAAAGAATGAAATCCATCTCCTGAGTACAGCCAATTACATCCTATAAAATGATTAAAAAAAAAAAAGTTTACTTTTAAAGAAACAGCTACATCAAGCCATGTCACAAATTATAGGGTTCCCCTATAAAAACATTTTATAAGTACAAAAGATCTACCATATATCATTTTATATCTTAGGAAGTAAACATAATAGTTTATAATCTGAATAGCTCATGATGTAATTTTTTATTTTTGGAGACAGAGTCCCTCTCTGTGGCCCACACTGGAGTGCAATGGTGCAATCTCCGCTTACTGCAAATTCCGCCTACCAGGTTCAAGCGATTCTCGTGACTTAGCCTCCCGAATGGCTGGGATTACAAGTGTGTGCCACCATGCCCCGCTAATATTTTTTGTATTTTTAATAGAGACGGGGTTTCACCACGTCAGCCAGGCTGGTCTCGAACTCCTGACCTCAGGTGATCCACCCACCTCAGCCTCCCGAAGTGCTGGGATTACAGGCTAAGTCACTGTGCCTGGCTCTAATTTTAATTTTTATCTTACAGAGAGTCACATACACTCAGTCCAATGCTCCTAACACCAAGACCTAGACTTATCAGTGCATGGTGAAAACTCCAACAAAATCTCTGATATCTGTTGTATTGTCAGACCCTGAACCTTTATTTCCACCTTTAAAAATCAATCTATTTAAAAAGATGTCTTAGAACTCCTAATATGAATCACTATCCTATTATAGCTGAAATGCTATTTTTATTTTGATAGAAAACTACTTTTCTCCATTCCTGACTTCTGCTTCATTATTGTAGCCAGCATATTAATTTTTGAAGGTCCATAATTTCTTCCAGACCAGTATCTGGTTATCTCCAGCATTCTCCCCAAGTAACTGTGGGGATCTCTTGGTTCAGGTATGCCCAGATTAACTTTTAACATGTTGCAGAAGTTTACAAAGCTGGAAGCACTTCCTTATATTCATATTCCCCCCAAAAAAGGAAATACAATAAACGGAGACATAAGACATTTATCCACAATAATAATACACAATATTATGAGCCTAATACAACAAAGTTGTCCATGTTTTACTCAAGGTCAAGTTTTCAAAAACAAACCTACTTCAAAAATTTTTAAACTTTCTGCATAACACTTAAATTATTAAAAACAGTTGGCTACTGGCAGGGTGCAGTGGCTCACACCTGTAATCTCAGCACTTTGGGAGGCCAAGGCAGGAGGATCACTTGAGGTCAGGAGTTCCAGACCAGCCTAGCCAACATGGCAAAACCCCATCTCTACTAAAAACACAAAAAATTAGCCAGGCATGGTGGCGCACAACTGTAGTCCCAGCTACTCGGGAGGCTAAGGCAGGAGAATCATTTGAATGCGCGAGGGCAGAGGTTGCAGTGAGCCAAGATCATGCCACTGCACTCTAGCCTCAGCGAAAGAGCAAGACTTTGTCTCAAAAAAAAAAAAAAAAAAAAAAGTCCGAGATCATCAACACCTAACACAGATTAAAGAAATCCCTTTATATACTTCATCCACATAAGAATGGTCTGGCGTAAAAAAACGTGTTTTTCTAATCCTATAAACACAATGCTTTAAAGTCATGATCCCAGTTATCAACATGGCACAAAGACAAATTTACCTGAAGAGACTGGTCACTATCATAACTATCCACTTTAAGGGGGGTTCGGGGGGCGGGGAAATGCAAGGTTAATCCACAGAAACTTTATCAAGTCAAGACTTAAGGCAGAACTTACCCTTCTCATAGACTGATATCGAGGAGCATGGAGCTGTACCACATCCTTCTGTAAAAGCTCTAGGGAACTTTCCAAGGAATAGCTGGAATCTCGCACACCTTTCAGGATATTTTCTTCATAATTATTTGTCATGACTGGTATAACCTCAGACACTTCAAAAAGTGCTGACTTTTTCTTCTAGAAGAAAAGAAAATGGTGTATTAACCCACAGGGAGCACAGCCTTTTAACACTCAGTTCATATTACAATGTCATGTAACATTAACTCCACAAAATTCTTAACTGTCTGCAGTAACTTATACACTGAAAACACATTTTCAGATAGGTAATTCCTTCTGTTCTTCCCCTACCTCCCCCTCCAACCATACATGTACAAACTGTCATTAGAATGTTTAATGCTTGAGTTTTATAGCATAATGGTATCCATAGCACTATTTTGGACAATACTTCTTAAAATTAAAAATCTCACCAGTTTTAAAACAACGCTATTCAGACAAATGAATAGTTTTATTCCTTATATGGGCCAATTTCCATTACTTTCTCAATATTACATTATCAAAACCATCAATATTTCTGGTTTTTCTTTTTTTTTTTTGAGATGGAGTCTCACTGTGTTGCCCAGGCTAGAGGGCAGTGGCACCATCTTGGCTCACTTGCAACCTCTGCCTCCTGGGTTCGAGGGGATCTCCTGCCTCAGCCTCTCGAGTAGCTGGGATTACAGGCCTGCGCCACCACACCTGGCTAATTTTTGTATTTTCAGTAGAGACAGGGTTTCACCATTTGGCCAGGCTGGCCTTGAACTCCTGACCTCAAGTGATCCGCCTGCCTCAGCCTCCCAAAGTGCTGGGATTACAGCCGTGAGCCACTGCACCCAGCCAAAACCATCAATATTTGAAAGACTAAAAAGAAGCACACCAAGTTCTCTTTTAATACT
The DNA here is from genome assembly GCF_000001405.40 of Homo sapiens. NCBI lineage: Eukaryota > Metazoa > Chordata > Mammalia > Primates > Hominidae > Homo > Homo sapiens. Next base: position 24,717,080 of record NC_000006.12, read on the forward strand.
ACTCAAGACCAAGTACGCATCACTAAACTACTTTTTAAAATTCTGTACTATTAAGTATATATCATGAATTATTCAGGGCAACTGCATGGACACTGTCCATTCACAGAATAAAACCAGATTATCGTTGGTGTTAAAGAATTAAGATGGTGCAATTTGGGGCAATATATAGATTAAATACAAAGATATGGTCTCACTACTTATTATCTTGGATTTATTTAAAGAGCATACACTGTATCATCTTCAACTAAAATCCAATCTCATCAATTTTGAGTCAGCTTGTCAACAAAACAAAAGTGGAGATGTAAGTCCTTGATACCACCCAATCTTGGGACAGTCACTTCAAAAATTACTTAAAAATCACTTCACAATGCTATACTTCAGCAGCTAAGAATGTTCTTAAATACAAATAACCTTTTAGGAGTTAAGAGTTGGGGCTGTGCGTGGCAGCTCCTGCCTGTAATCCCAGCACTTTAAAATGCCATGACAGGAGGATCACTTTAGCCCAGGAGTTCAAGACTAGCCTGGGCAATACAGTGAGGCCTGTCTCAGCAACAAAAATAATAAGAGTTAAACAGTAGGGGGAAACCTGGAAAACTTCCAGATACTTAATAGATACCACACTAAGATTGTATTTCTGATCTGAAATTAGCTAACAATTTAAGCACCAAAATCCAAGTAGCACTTCCTTACATTCATAACCTCATCTTTGGTCAAATAAGCCTTGCTGATAATTTAAGAAAATGTTCATTTTAAGTTGCAAAAAATACTGCTCTTATCATCCCATCCTTGACTACTCACAACTTACTGTTTGCTATTTAACTGCGGAACTAATTCTGATTAAGACCTCCACCGCCCCTAAAAATGAAACTTCCTCTAGGTCATTTTGAGTTTTTAAAAACTGTACTTCTATACAAGGCAAAATGAACTCTAAGTAAAAAAGAAAATCACACTTCTAAACACAAATTAACCATTTCAGTATTTAATTGCTCCTAAAAGGTGTATTCTACTTCATTAAATGTAAGAGAAAAGGTTACCTACATTACGCAGTTTAAGAAACAGGATAAACTTTAGCATATAAACAGTCTGATTACAATTTCACACTTTCAACCATCTTATTTATACTCTACATTAGATAATCTTTAAATTCCATCATAAGGTTTCCCATGTTAACTCCATATAAAATTTTGTAATCTTGCCCACCCCATGTCAACTCAGTGTATACTACTACTAAGCTTCAGACTCAAATTTATTTCCAAACCAAAGAACGCTCAAGGGTCTTTTCGCATGCTGCAACTGCTCAATTCACAGAATCACCCCTAAGGGTGAAAAAACAGAGCATACAAAGCAGACTTTTTTTCAACCACTCTTTAACCTAATATTCATAATAATTTAAGAGTAACAAATAATATACACTTACAAAAATTACTTGTGCTAATTCACCATTAAGAACTTTAAATTACCTTCTCCTTGAATACAAAGGCAATATACATCTTGAAGTCAAACTGGTCAGCTAGAGATTCTTTTTTCTTTCTAAGCTGAGCACGTAGTCTGTTCAGAGCTTGTTTCTTCCGGGAGTTTGGGTCCCCCATTTTGAAATACAGGTGGTACTAAAGCCTTTGGAAATTGTCACTAAACTATGGGCACTTTTTCTTAAGACTCAAGTACAACAGAAACAAGTCATTTTTTTTCCTGCTAATATGATTGATTAGCGAAAATCACGACTATAACCCAAAAACTGCACCTTCTGTCAATATTAGCAGACTGTCATATTACAGGGTCAAGAAACAAAAGCTGCTGTCCAGTCATGTTTGGACAATAACGTTTGGGGTCAGACGGGAAAAAGGGAGGAAAGAAAGGAAAGAAAGAGGAGAAAATAACTAACTTTCTGGAAAACACATTTGGCTTAACTGCCAAAATAAAGGCTTTGCGGAGAAATGAAAAGCCTATAATCAGGATTTAGGTGTGCAATAAAACACAGCTGACACCAGACCAATCCCTAAAATCCATCCGGATTTTCCCCCCTTTTTAGAAAAGGGATTAAGGAACAGGGAGGGGGAAGTGTGATCCTTGCTTTCCAAAAAAAAAAAAAAAAAAAACTCACCAAAACCAAAACCAAAACCAAACACCAAAACAGGGTAGGTGAATGAAACTGAAATATCCAATTAGATTTTACCCAGCCAGCTCCATGGCTGTAGTACCTAATTCTTAGTTATTTCAGATTTCACTATTGCTATGTATTGTCAGTGCTTGTTATTGATTACACTTGGTGGTGAGCATAGAGAAAAGTGCAAAATCGGTAGAGAAGGAAAGGGAGAGGTACAGGGTTTCCCTGCAATCAACTACAGTGTATACCGGGGGCGGGCAGCTGTGGCCCAAAGGAGCCATGAGAAAAAACAGCGGAGTCATTACCAACTTCCCCATCACCCACATTTTCACCCTCAGGCGGCTGCTAACGCTGCTGCCAAGGAGAATCATGACGGCAGAAGGAAAAGGGGTATATAATACGGTATTAATTATTCCGGCTCTGTGGTTAGACCTGATTAATGCCCGGGTTCCCAACACCCCCAGCCTGCAACTAGTCCTACATTCCCCAAGGGAGACTTCCCTGTGGATCTGCCCCCGTTCAAAATGGTGGGGAGTGCGATTTATCTTCTTGTGAGCATTGCCGAGGCAAAGGTGGCGGGTTCTTCTCCCAAATCCCAGGCGGTGCCCGGAGACCACCTGCCTTCCACCCCCGCAGGTCCCACCCCCACCCCTTGCCTTCAGCGGCAGCGACTCACTCGCACCACGGGAGACACAGGATCACTCAGGTTTTCACTCATTTCATCGTGGAAACAATTCCCGCCCGGGTGGAGTGGGCGGGAGAGGGTAAATGGGAAGGTTCAGTGGGGGAAAAAAAGAAAATAATTGTGTTAATATTACTTCTAAAGTAAGCCCACCCACCCTCCCCCCAAAAAATTAAGTTCCCGGATTAGCTCTCTCTCACGTTGAACAGACCATGTTTCCAGAGTTTGGATTGTTTAGGGTGGGGTCGTTAGTTGTTTCCCGAGGGGCAGGGGGTGGAATTGAGGCAGCTAGGGCGGGGTGGGTGACGGGGAAATCCCCTCCCTGTCCCCGCGGAGCCCGGGACTCACGGACCGACTCTAGGGCGGGGTTTGGGCCCTCTAGCCGCAGCCTGCGGGCGGAGCGGTGGCGGCGGCGGAAGAGGCGGCGGCGGCGGGGGCGCTGCTGGTAGCACGGGCAGGAGCCATGTCAAGAGAAAACCACCAGCCAACTGAGCCCCTCCATCCCCGCTGCAGTGCGCACCGTGACTGGACCGCCCGCGCTGCTGCCGCCGCTCAGCCCCCACCTGGGACCCATAGTCTGGCTCGGCGCCCTGGGCGGCAACGGAGGGGAAGGACGCGGAGACAGCGGCAACAGGGAGAGAAAAAGAAAAAGAGGAAAAACAAAGAGAAAGATGGGGAGTTGGATTGGTACTGGCGGCGGAGGGGGAAGGGAAAGGAAGCCCTGCGCTAAGGGTCAGCAAAGTAACCCCCCAAAATAAAGTTATTTCAGTTCAAGCATCTGCTCTTGAGTCTTTCTTCCCCCTACAGTCGGATTCCGGCTCTCAGGAAAGGTCGAGGAGACCCGGAGGGGGGAAAAGCCGAAGCGGTTGGTGAGCGTCCGCGGCAGTACTGCCTCGTTCCCCCCCCCGCCGGTGGCTGCAGAAGCGGCGAAGGCCTCGGGCGCCTCGCGGGTCCGGGGCAGAGTCGCGTTTGAGAAAAGAAGCGAGAACAAACAACTTAAAATGGCAGCGACGGCCGCTGCGTCACCCGCCTCTCACCGGCACCGCCCCGGTGTGACTGCGACTGCGCGCCCTGCGGGACCCCACCATTTGCGCAGAATCAAAGGGGGAGAAAGGATTGGAGGTGGGAAAGTTTTCAAGGTTACCGAAAAAGAGGAAAACAGATCAAGAGTACGGAATAGGGACAGGTCTTTTAAAAGTGGAGCCTTTGAATTTAACCTCTCCATTTCAGTAATCGCCCCTCAAAAGGGGAGTTTGAGAGTTGAGACTCCTCTCTCCTCCAGTATGGAGTATCCAAGGGGCGTGGAAAGGGGGGGGCTCCCCGCCACTCCTTCCGCCCCCCTTCTTCAGGAAGTCCCAGTCTCCTGAGTTGGCTCTTCGCCCCGCCCCGATGTCGTCATAAAAGCACGCCCTCAACCATCCTCAACAAAACACCCGGATGGAGTCGCACTTCCCGAGTCTCGTCAGCCTCTCAGAGTCAGGCTGGGCGCGTGACAGAGCCGAACTAGCGACCTGGGCGGGCCAAAACTGCGGAAGTCGGCGGAGAGTGGGCGAGGGTAGGGGCGGAGCAAAGAAGGAAAAGGAAAGTGTGTGTTGGAGATTGGAAGATTCTTATTTCGATTCTTATAATTAGTTAGTCCTGGGGGTCGGCCCCGCGGTATCCTGCGGCAACAAACCTAGAACTCAATTCGACACCTGGAATTTAAACGGCGTGCGGGAGCAGATGTCTCATGTTAGTGCTACTTGCCTCTGTCCCCACCCCGCCACGTGCGCAGGCAGGGAGGGCGGTCCTCAAGCTTCGAACAAGGTCAAAGACGTTGTTCAGACGTTGCTGCTGTGGCTTAGGAGAGGAGCAGCCCAGTCTGACTCGTGGATTTTTACCCACTGCTGTCAGAACACACTTTCTGTTAGAATCCCCCAAGACCTCAGACCTACAGCCTGCCCCTTAGGTGGTTCACTGTCTTCATCGAAACGTTTGCCGCCGAGTCGCACGTCCTTGGCACCAAAAAGCGTTGAGTCCATTTTTCAAAGCTCTAATGTGCTCTTTAAAACACAGTTATGTAAGTACTTAGCAAAGGTCAATACTCCACATAAGCAATGCTTATATACTCATTGGCTACTCTGAGATTTTAGAAGTCCATTGGGACCCCAATTACTACTTTTCACTTCGTGAAGTCAAAACAGATCAGCTGTAATAACATTATTTCAGCCATGAGCCAAAAGAATAACTGGTACCCACCCTTCAATATAAATTGTCCAGAACCAAAGGATGAGTCCTGAGATTTCCAAATAACTTCTAATCTCGGAAGATACAGCTTGCATTTTGCTAGTGCTTTGCTGATTTGTTTTCAAAATCATGTAACTATGGAAAGCTCACAGAGATAAAACAGAAAATGTCACGTAGTTTAGAGCATTGGTTTAAAAAAGAAAGATTTTTAAAAGTAAGCCGAGCATGGTGGCTCACGCCTGTAATGCCAGCACTTTGGGAGACCGAGGCAGGCGGATCACCTAAGGTCAGGAGTTCGAGACCAGCCTGGCCAACATGGTGAAACCTCGTCTCTACTGAAAATACTAAAATCAGCCTGGCTTGGTGGCAGGCGCCTGCAGTCCCAGCTACTCGAGAGGCTGAGGCAGGAGAATCGCTTGAACCCGGGAGGCGGAGATTGCAGTGAGCCGAGATCGCACCATTGCACTCCAGCCTGGGCAACAGAGTGAGACTCCGTCGGAAAAAAAAAAAAAAACAAACAAACATATGAGACATACAAGCCAGTATGATCTTCAGGTGATCCGCCTGCCTCAACCTCCCAAAGTGTTGGGATTACAGGCATGAGCCACCATTCCCAGCCGGCTTATATGTTCTTGACCTGGCCTTGACTTGTATCCATGATCAACTTCATGGAAGAATTTTTAAAATAACAGCTTTATTGAAATATAATTCACATACCGTATTTATCTACTTGAAGTGTACAATCCAATGGTTTTTAATATATTCAGTGTTGTGCAGCCATTACATTACCCCAAAAAGAAACCCTGTACCTATTAGCAGTCACTTCTCTTCTTTCTAGTTTATGTTCTGTCTATAGATTTGCCGTTTCTGAAATTTCATATAAATGAAATCATTTAATATGTGGTCTTTTGTGACTGGCTTCTTCACTTAGCATAATGTTTTCAAGGTTCATCCATGTTGTAGCATGTATCAGTACTTAATTCCTTTTTATTGTGGAATAATATGTATTGTATGAAATTCTATATTCATTCATCAGTTGATGGACATTTGAGTTGTCTCTGCCTTTTGGCTGTTATAAATAATGCTGCTATGAACATTTACTTAAAAGCTTTTGTATAGACGTATGTTTTTAATTCTCTTGGGCATATACTTAAGAGTGGAATTACTGGGATATATGTTAACTCTATCTTTAACCATGTGAGAAACTGCCAGATGTTTTCCAAGTCTGTTGCATCATTTTACATTTCCTCCAGCAGTGTATTCCAATTTCTCCACATTCTTGTTATTATGTCTTTTTTAGTATAACCATCCTAGTGGGTATGATGTATGTCATGGTGGTTTTGATTTTCCTTTCCCCAACGATTAATGATGTTGAGCATCTTTTCATGTGCTTATTGGCTGTTCTAATATCTTCTTTGGAGAAATGTCTATTCAGAACTTTTGCCCATTTTTATTTATCTACTTGTTTATTTATTTATTTTTTGAGACAGAGTCTCGCTATGTTGCCCAGGCTGAAGTGCAGTGGCATTATCTCAGCTCACTGCAACCTCCGCTTCCTGGGTTCAAGCAGTTCTTCTGCCTCAGCCCCGAGTAGCTGGGCCCACAGGCCCCCACCACCATGCCCGGATGATTTTTGTATTTTTAGTAGAGACGGAGTTTCACCATGTTGGCCAGGCTCGTCTCAGACTCCTGACCTCAAGTGATCCACCCACCTCGGCCTCCCAAAGTGTTGGGATTACAGGTGTGAGCCACCAAGCTCGGCCTTTTACCCATTTTTAATTTAAAAAATTGTTTTTTTAATTATTAAGGTGTAGAAGTTTTTTATTCTAGATACAAGTTCCCTGTCAAATATATACTTTACAAATACGCTCCCCTATTCTGTGGGCTGTCCTTTCACTTTCTTGGTGATATCCTTCGCAGCACGGAAGTCTTTAATTTTAATAAAGTCCAACTTATCTATGTTTTTCATTTGTCCCTTGTGCTTTTGTTGTTTTATCTAATACACCATTGAAGAATTTTTTCACTACTATAATAATCCTGAAAAAAACAGTATGGAGCAGATGTTGAGGAAAAAATGAAGTTTTTAGTTTCAGCTACTGTGAAACAGAATTGGAGACACCTGGTCACAGCTGAGCACATCCTATGAAACTGTGTTATGGGACTGTGCTAGGTCTTAATGAGATGAGCCAAGAAATAGCAGCAATGTCCCCTGGAGGACGAAAACACTGCTAGCTCAATTTTCTCTGTAACTTGAAAGGGCTATAAAATAAGAAGGTAGTCGAAGGAATTAAAATTTTTAAAAGCCGTGACCAAACGTTTCTCAATGAAATTCAGATAAAAGTCAGAGAGCATTCACTTAAGATTTAGCTTCTTTAACTGTGGAGAAATGCATTTCATTGTGTTAGAAATGGCTTACTTAGGGTTAGGCTGCTTCAAACACAATAGGATTTGTGGAGTGATGATTTGATGGTGGCACCTTGGCTAAAAATATCTGCTTAACTTCCCTTTTGGAGTTTTAAATTATACCACTAGATACATTGAAATTTCCCTGGTTGAAATGCAGATATCACTGCAAAGGTTACATTTTAATGAAATAACACCTTATAGAGATTCTGTGCGAGCCTCCTTTCTGAAGAAACACAATGCAGGCCAGCTTGGGCGGGCTCCTGTGTTAACTTCCAATCTTTAAAGAAGGACAACCTCGGATAATCCCAGTCTCTGACATTTATAGCAAGTTAGGAAATGATTTCTCAAACCTGTGCTTGTGTAGCCTAAATAAATGACAATAAGATAAACAATAAAGTATTTAACAATTGGCCTTCACTTTTCTAAAAAGAGCCAGCCTTTTCTTTTACCTTTAAAACATACATTGTCTGTACACACATGCTCTTCTTTTACAGAAATCTAGTTTTCTCAACATGCTCAAGCATATTAGACTTCTCAGGGTTCTCAAACATCTTGTCCCTTCATTAGTGCTATGAAATTTGTCAGACATGGGCCTTGAATTTTGGCCATATTTATGATTAACAGTTCAATAAGCATGATAAACGTCTACAGCAGAACAAGTTTATGGTTAGACTCTACAGGTCTTGAGAACAAGTTCTATTGCTCTACAGTTTGATCCTGAAAGCAGCCACACCAAGGATCTTGTCTCCAGATTTCAACTCTACAGATTTATCATCTAAGATAATTATGATATTATGTGTTAATAAAATTTCATAATCCAATGGGGATTTTCACAATATGTACTCTAGCACATACAGACCTCGCATCTACAGCAGAGCTGCATGGTTATGAAACCAAAAGGGTATTAAGAGGAGAAACTATGTTTGTTTTGAGAGCTATTCTTACCCTTTTTAGGAGGATCAGGGGATAGCTTGGTAGTTTCTTCTTTAGTCTCACCCTTATTTCATGTTAGCCCAAACTATAGAGGTCAGTGCTTATTTGCAGGCTGATCGTTGAATATTTATTGAAGGCCTAAAACAAGTTGTAGGCTTGAAAAATGAGATTTGAGCCGGGTGCAGTGTCTCTAGCCTGTAATCCCAGCACTTTGGGAGACTGAGGCGGGTGGATCACCTGAGGTCAGGCATTCCAGACCAGCCTGGACAACATGGTGAAACCCTGCCTCTTTTAAAAATACAAAATTAGCCAGGTGTGATGGTGGACTCCTGTAATCCCAGCTACTCGGGGGCCTGAGGCAGGAGAATCTCTTGAACCCAGGAGGCGGAGGTTGCAGTGAGCCGAGATCGAGCCATTGCCCTCCAGCCTGGGCAACAAGAGCAAAACTCCGTCTCAAAATAAAAAAAAAGAAAGAAAAAGAAAAAAGAAAAATAAGATTTGGCCAGGTAGCAGCCATTGTCCTGGAGCTTGGGACAGGGTTAAGAACCAGAGGCATTTTCAAGTGAGTACGTCTATCCCACCATGTATTTTCTTTATTTATTAACTTCTTCTTTCCCCTGTTCCTTTTTTTTCTCTCGCCTGCCTTTCTTTTTTTCTTTTCCACTTCTCATGCTTTATGCCCACCAGCATTATCAGAAAATACTAATTAGACACCTTTTGTTTACACTTTGGGTTAAAGCTATACAGATTGCTGTCCAAACAAATCTGCTGGTACCATTTAATAAGGAATATTTTTTACCCATTATCTTTGCCTGTTAGTCTCAATTTGTTATCAAACACACTTCTATTTAGTTTTCCTTAACCCCGGGCTCTCACTGACTTTTGCTTCTTGACTACTTCCTAATTTCATTTCAAATATTTTTCTAGATTCCAGATGTCACTCCCACAATTCAAAATGCTCTTACTATTCCATTTAACGTGTCTAGGAAGGTTATAGTAGATAAATTGAAAAAGCAACCTTCTGACACTTTTGTTAGAACTCCATCATCATCCTTAGAAAGAAAATGTTAAAATATTATAGAGTTCGTGCCACTCTTCTTACCCTATTCCCACATACAAAGAAGGCAAATTTGAGCAATTAACATATGAAGGAAAGTTTAAATGTTTTAGAATTTTTTTCCTCCCTTCCCAGAACACATTCCATTCTCTATTCCACAAAGATTAGGTGTTGGAAAGGAATGGGAAAGATATATACATGTATAACAATTTTTTCCACAGGTAAGGTAATTCCACTTATCTAAAATCATGTAAGTATACTATAATTATGGACGTCCATTAATTCTTTGTCCAGTAATAAGACATGTTAGTATATATATAAGCCTATGTGCAAATATATACATATATAAGCATACACAGTACCAGTACACTTTTCGTTTGAACACTGCATGTTATCTGTTTGTAACAAATTGCCCTAAAATTTTGCAGCTTAAAATACCAAACATTTATTATCTCATATTAATTGTGGATCAGGAATTCGGGAGCAGCTTTACTGGGCAATTTGTCGTCAGAGTTCTTCATGAGGTTGCAGTCAGGATTTTGGCCAAGGCACCAGTCATCTGAAGGCTTGACTCAAATGACTGTTGGCAGGAGGCCTCAGTTTCTCACCATGTGGGCTTCACAACATAGTAGCTGGCTTCCCTCAAAGTAAGTGATCTTGGAGAGAGGGAGATAGAAGCCATAATGTCTTTGATGACCTGGGCAAAGAAGCAATATTCCGTTGTTTCCATATTGGTTATACAAGTCAGCTCTACTCAGTGTAAGAAGAGACTGCACAAGAGTGTGAGTATCAAGAGGCAGGGATCACTAGAGCCATCTTAGATACTGGCTACTATAAACATCTTTTATGTTATGTACAAAATAAAAAGTAGCCATCTAAAGGTTTTTACCAGAGACCTCTAGGTCTATCATAGTCAGCACAGATCAGGTTAGAGGTCAGCAAACTTTCTTAAATGGTAAAAGTAAATATTTTAGGCTTGCAGCCCATACAATCTCTGTTTCAACTACTTACCTGGGTGGCAGCATGGAAGTAGCCATAGATAATACATAAACAAATACATGTGCCTGTGTTCCAACAAAACTGTATAAAAACAGGCAGCTTGCCTGCAGGTTGCAGGTTGCCCTGGACTAAATTATACTGAAATAAAACCCCCAAAATCTCAGCGGCTTAAACTACAAAGCTTTGTTATTCACTCACGATGAGTGAGTTATAGGCTTTCAGGAATTCAGAATTATGGAGAATCACATGTTTCCACGATCCCTGAAGCAGAAAACAGAGACGAGACAAATCCCACACTGGCTTTTAAAGCTTCCACCTGGAAGTGATATCAATCTCACTCTAATTTCTTTGGCCAAAGCAAGTTACATGACTACCCCTAACTTCATGAGATCAAGGAAATACAAATACAAGCCTACCAAGTGCCCAAAGAGGTGGTGAAGCAGATATATTTGGTGATATGAACACTAGAAGCATACTATTTACCATTCTTTTGCTCTTGGTTTACCTTTAAACCTTTAGTTGAAGCTGACACTGTTAGCAACGTTAGGAGAACTCACTCACTATGGAAACGCCAGACTATAAAGTCTATTTTTAGTCACATTTTGCTTTTGCTTTTCCCCAAACCACTCTTGTCCTACCTGCTTCAACTCTTCTGGATGTATCTATTGTCATTGCTTTCAGCAGACAATGTTTATGCTATAAAACTTAAGTTTTTGCTTAATGTAGAATAATTAGCAATTTTTTTTTTCTGCCTGAAATGGAGCTTCACTACTCAGCTTCCAATTCAAAGACAGCCTTCCTAATGTTTCCAGAAAAAAGAAATATAAGCAGTTAGTTATCTACCTCCTCTTCTACAACAGTAGAGAAGTTAATCAATTACAAATATTTGTTGAATACCTACTATATAATCACACTGTGCTGTGTGTTTTGAAGGCTACAGAAAAATAAACACTTGTTCCCAAAGAGTTTTAGGTAGTTACCAAAATAATAATAAACATCTAAAAAGAGTGAGTAATACTAGACTGTATAATTAAGAACTGAAATGTGATTGACAGGCATTGAGCAGGATAACAGTAAGATAAGTAGGAGGTCAATGAAAGCTGAGTTAGATGAGATTCACAAAGGAAGCGTACTCAAGTTTTGAAAGTTGGTAAGAATTTTGCTGGATTTAAGTGGAAGAAGAGAGGGAAGAGAAGAATGAAATTTCTGAAAAGGAAACATAATAATTGAGGGCATGAAGGTGGATTTTAGCCTGGTATATCCATGAGACAGTGAAGATATCAATCTAAATACAATGGAAGATGCACATTTAGAAAGAGCAGAAAATGCTTGAGAAAAGATAGAATGAAGCTCTGGTTCAAGATGGCAGCCTGAACACACACTCTTTGGTCTCTCTCTCTTGCAATACACAATTAAAAACAGTAATAAATAATTTTCAAGTGAACAAAGCCAGAACACCTAAGAGAATGGGAGGAGGGCAATTAGTAGACAATAGTTTTTAACTAAATGCTCATAAACTGATGCTGGTGTTGACACCCCAGTTAAAGCCCTCTTTCTTGGCTCCCTGACACTTTTTCCTGAAGGGAAGCCTTTCTGTTTAGCACTCTCTACTTGACTGATTAGAACTTCCTGTCATGCCAGGCTTGGTGGCTCATGCCTGCAATCCCAGCATTTTGGGAGGCTGAGGCAGGTGGATCACCTGAGGTCAGGAGTTCAAGACCAGCCTGGCCAAACTGGCAAAACCTCATCTCAACTAAAAATACAAAAATTAGCCAGGCGTGGTGGCGGGCACCTGTAATCCCAGCTACTCAGGAGGCTGAGGCAGAAGAATCACTTGAACCCGGCAGGTGGAGGTTGCAGTGAGCTGAGATTGTACCACTGCATTCCAGCCTGGGCAGCAGAGCGAGACTCCATCTCAAAAAAAAAAAAAAAAAAAAAAAAAAAAAACACCAAACTGAACTTCCTGTCAGCCTCTTCTATTTTCTGGACAATTAACTAGCAGGAAAACAGCTCTGTATAAAATAATAAAGGAAACACACAGGAAAATCAGCTAATTTCCTCTTCTTCTTTTTAACATAAAAAAGTATCCCTAAATCACTGGACACATGAAGAAAATCAGCTACAAGCAATTCGAAAACTGGAAGAAGCAAAAATAAAGGCTGACTACACAAGAAACAATTTGGGGAACAGAAAAATAGCTTTTTAAGCGTCTAGTTAGTATTCTCAGAGGTAGTTTAGAAAATTAATACATGAAATCACAATGAGATGCTACAAATAAAGCACAATTAGAGAACATGAAAGAGCACTTGGAAGTTAATAATAAACTTGTCACATTTCAAAATTGGTCAAAATATGACATTAGAAAAAAGGAGAAAGAAAAAAACTAGAAAACATAAAACTCCTAGAGGTCTAATCCCAGTTCAAGCTCTAACCAATAGGAATTCCAGAAAGAAAACCTAGGGAAAAATGCAAGAATAGAAGTTACTGCAGAAAATATGCCAAAGCTGAGATACCCATGAATCTTCAGATTGAAAGGGCATACTGAAAGACAAGCAAGATAATAGTAGATGAAATAAGGAAAAAGATAAGATTCAAAAGGCATCCAGAACAGAGACAAATAGGTCACCTACATGGGAATGAAAATCAGACTGACAACAGGCTAAATATCTAGAATTATCAGATATCAGAAAACAATAGTGTCTTTTCAACGGATAGTGCTAGAACAACTGGGTATACATATTAGCAGGGGGAGGGTCTTAACCACTACATCAAACCATGCGCAAAGACTGTGATGACTCTTGGACCTAAATGCAGTAGCTAAAGCAAAAATATAGAAAACACAGGAAAATATTTTCATGACTTAAGGGTGGGCAAAGTTTTTTAGATAAGACACTAAAAGCAAAACCTTGGTAGAAACAATTGACAAATCAAAATCACCAATTTTTAAAACATTTGTTTATCAAAAACATTGTTAAGAAAATAAATAGACAAGTCACAACCTGGGAAAAAATTCTGCAAAACATATATTTGACAAAGGATTAGAATTCAGAATGTGTAAAGAATCCATACAACTTATTAATAAAAAGATAAACAATCAATTTTTAAACATGAGTTAAAGATTGAATCAGACACCCCCTGATATGGTTTGCCTGTGTCCCCACCCAAATCTCATTTTGAATTGTAGCTCCCACAATTCCCATGCATCATGGGAGGGACCCAGTCAGAGGTAATTGAATCATGGGGCCAGGTCTTTCCTGTGCTCTTCTCATGATAGTGACTAAGTCTCAAGAGATCTGATGGTTTTATAAAGAGGAGTCCCCCTGCACAAGTTCTCTCTCTTTGCTTGCTGCCATCCATGTAAGACGTGACTTGCTCCTCCTTGCCTTTGCCATGATTCTGAAGCCCCCCCAGCCATTTGGAACAATGAGTCCATTAAACCTCTTTCCTTTATAAATTAACCAGTCTCAGTTATGTCTTTATTGCAGCATGAAAATGGACAAATACAGTAAATTGGTACCAGTAGAGTGGGGTGCTGCTGTAAAGATACCCGAAGTAATGGAATCGACTTTGGAAATGGGTAACAGGGAGAGGTTGGAACAGTTTGGAGGGCTCAGGAGAAGACAGGAAAATGTGGGAAAGTTTGGAACTTCCTAGAGACTTGTTGAATAGCTTTGACCAAAATGCTGATAATGATATGGACAATGAAATCCAGGCCAAAGTGGTCTCAGATGGAGATGAGGAACTTGTTGGGAACTGAAGTGAAGGTGACTCTTGCTAAGTTTTAGCAAAGAGACTAGTGGCATTTTGCCCCTGCCCTAGAGACTTGTGGAACTTTTAACTTGAGGGAGATGATTTAGGGTATCTGGTAGAATAAATTTCTAAGCAGCAAAGCATTCAAGAGGTGACTTGGGTGCTATTAAAAGTATTCAGTTTTAAAAGGGAAACAGAGCATAAAAGTTCAGAAAATTGGAAGCCTGACGATGCGTTAGAAAAGAAAATCCCATTTTCTGAGGAGAAATTCAAGCCAGCTGCCCGAATTTGCATAAGTAACAAGGAGCCAAATGTTAATTGCCAAGACAGTGGGGAATATGTTTCCAGGGCATGTCAGAGATCTTCATGGCAGCCCCATCCATCACAGGCCTGTAGGCCTAGGAGGAAAAAATGGTTTTGTGGGCTGGGTCCAAGGCCCCCCTGTTCTGTGCAGCCTAGCAACTTGGTGCCCTGTGTCCCAGCCACCCCAGTCACGGCTAAAAGGGGCCAAGATATAGCTCAGGTGGTTGCTTCAGAGGTTACAAGCCCCAAGCCTTGGCAACTTCCACATGGTGTTGAGCCTGCAGGCGCATGGAAGTCAAGAATTGAGGTTTGGGAACCTCTGCCTAGATTTCAGAGGATGTATGGAAACACTTAGATGTCCAGGCAGAAGTTTGCTGCAGGGGTGGGGCCCTCATAAAGAACCTATGCTAGGGCAGTGTGGAAGGGAAATGTGGGGTCAGAGCCCCCACATAGAGTCCCTACTGGGGCACTGCCTAGTGGAGCTGTGAGAAGAGGGGCACCATCCTCCAGACCCCATAATGATATTCACTTACAGCTTGCAATGTGCACCTGGAAAAGCCACAGAAACTCATTGCCAACCTGTGAAAGTAGCCGGGTGGGGAGCTACACCCTGTAAAGCCACAGGGGCAGAGCTGCCCAAGGCCTTGGGAGCCTACCTCTTGCATCAGCGTGACCCGATGTGATATGAGACATGGAGTCAAAGGAGATCATTTTGGAGGTTTAAGTTTCGACTGCCCTGCTGAATTTCAGACATGCATGGGTTCTTTAGCCCCTTCATTTTGGCCAATTTCTCCCATTTGGAATGGGTGTATTTACCCAATGCCTGTCCCCCCATTGTATCTTGGAAGTAACTAACTTGCTTTTGATTTTACCAGATCATAGGCAGAAGGGACTTGCCTTGTCTCAGATGGGACTTTGGATTGTGGACTTTAGAGTTAATGCTGAAATGAGTTAACACTTTGGGGGATGTTGGGAAGACATGATTGGTTTTGAAATGTGAGGACATGAGATTTGGGAGGGGCCAAACTCATCACTCACATTATAAAGAAATAATGAGGTTGAATTAAATTAATAATAAAATGCTGAATTCAAAAAGGACTTTAAAAATTGGGGGATGTTAAAAGGATGGTCAAGTAAAGATATTTAAGCAAATTTAAAAACCTTATTACCAATATTTCATTTAAAAGTTGATGTTTAATATCATAAAAGTAGGAAGGATATAATCTCATAATAAGGAACAACAACTTACATTTAATACATGTAGTCGTAATAACTAAAAAAAAACTACTAATAATAAAATGGAACCTCAAATGTCCAATATTAGGATATGATTAAATATTATTGTATATCCCTACGATGAATTACAATGAAGGCATTTAAATTATCTAGTAGCAGAGCACTTAATGGTATGAAACAATGTCTATGATACAGTATTATATGAAAAATACAGCTTATAAACAGAAAACAAAGTATTATCAATGAGTGGAAAAATTCTGGATTTCTGTATATGGTAAAACAGCAATGTGGCAAAATCTTGAGATGGCAGGGGAAAATATAATAAATATGCTTTTAAATACCTAGCTGTACTCA
The DNA here is from genome assembly GCF_000001405.40 of Homo sapiens. Lineage (NCBI taxonomy): Eukaryota > Metazoa > Chordata > Mammalia > Primates > Hominidae > Homo > Homo sapiens. Next base: position 24,733,130 of record NC_000006.12, read on the forward strand.
CAAGAGAATAAAGGATATCCCCAAAGGCCCAAAACAAAGAGGAAGATAGAAAGCAGAGCAGAAAGCTGATGGTGAAGCTGCAGCTGCCAGACACAGCTGCCAGATACAGCACTGATTTGTGCAACAGAGAGATGTGAGTTTCATGGATGCACAGAGGACAGAAGTCAGAGCCTTGAGCTCACTCAAGGTGGGGAGTAGGAGCAAAAGTGCTTCATAAAGCCAGGAACCCTAAAGAAGTAGAACCTTGGTAGGGCGTGGTGGCTCAGCCTGTAATCTCAGCACTTTGAGAGGCCAAGGCAGGTGGATCACCTGAGGTCACGAGTTCGAGACCAGCCTGGCCAACATGCTGAAACCCCGTCTCTACTAAAAATACAAAAATTAGCCAGATGTGGTGATGCATGCCTATAATCCCAGCTACTTGGATGGCTGAGGCAGGAGAATCACTTGAACGTGGGAGGCGGAGGTTGCAGTGAGCTGAGATCGCGCCATTGCACTCCAGCCTGGGTGACAGAGCGAGACTCTATCTCAAAGGAAAATGAAAATAAAAATAATAAAAGTGAATAAAACAAGTAGAACCTCGTTCGTGAAGGGTAGACCAGAAAAAAAAATTTGGCCACTGGGCTCTGTATGCAGATAAACTTCTCCTTCAAGAATTGGCAGCTATAGGTTTGCTTCACATAAGTTTGGGCTTGGCTTTTCATTACTAGTTTGGTTTAATAAACCCCAGGGGGAGAAATGAACTTAAAGTTGTCCTGAGTTGTCAGTGCCACAGGTACGTAGCAGAGACAATTATAAATTCCTTCTGGAAGAACTTTTCTCAACCCCAGAGAGAACCTAGACAAACCAGAACTTACTATTTAAAATTACAGGCTAAGTGGAATGGCTCACAGCTACAATCCCAACACTTTGGGAGGCCGAGGGAAGAGGATTGCTTGAGCCCAAGAGTTTGAGACCAGCCTAGGCAACATAGTGAGATGTCATCTCTACTAAAACTTAAAAAAAAAATTAGCCAGGCATGGTGGTGTGCACCTGTAGTCCCTGCTACTCAGGAGGCTGAGGTGGGAGAGTTGCCTGAGTTGAGGCTGCAGTGAGCCATGATCACACCACTGCACTCCAGCCTTGGTGATGAAGCAAGACTCTTTCTCAAACAAAATAAATAAAATGGTACAGCCACATGGAAAAAGATCTGGAAGTTCCTTATGAAATGAAATCTACCCCTACCCTGTAGACTCAGGAACTTCATGCCTAGGTATTTATTCAAGAGAAATGAAAGCTGTGTCTACAAAAAGATGTGTACAAGAATGTTTATAGCAGCTTTACTCATAATAGCTGAAAATTGGAAACAGCCCATGTGTCCGTCAGTGAGAGAATGGATAAATAACCTGTGGTATAGTCATACAGTGAAATAGATGAAGACTACAACATGGATGAATCTCAAAAGAGTGCTGAATAAAAGAATGATATAGAAAAGAATGAATGCTTGGGAGGCCAAGGCAAGAAGATCACTTGAGGTCAGGAGTTCGAGACCAGCCTGGCCAACATGTGAAACTCCGTCTCTACCAAAAATACAAAAATTAGCTGAGTGTGGTGGCAGGTGCCTGTAATCCCAGCTACTCAGGAGGCTGAGGCACAAGAATCGCTTGAACCCAGGAGATGGAGGTTGCAATGAGCCAAGATCATGCCACTGCACTCTAGCCTGGGTGATAGAGCGAGACCCTGTCTCAGAAAGAAAGAAAGAAAGAAAGAAAGAGAGAAAGGAAGGAAGGAAGGAAGGAGAAGACAAGAGAAGAGAAGAGAAAAGAAAAGAAAAGAAAAGAAAAGAAAAGAAAAGAAAAGAAAAGGAAAGGAAATGCTATACGAATTCATCCTCATGAAGTCACACCGTGGAGGGATTTACTGGAAAGAAACATAAGGGAACATCTAATGTTCTGTATCTTGATATGGATTTGGGTTGCAGTGTCAGAACTCATTGAATGGTACACTTAATATTTGTGTATTTTGTGTACAGATTTTACCTCAAATGAAAACAATTATAAACAAATATTGAACTCTAAGTAATGATATGCATGCTGAAGTGTTTGAGAGTAAAGTATAGTGATGACTGCAATTTATTTTGAAATGCATAAAAAAGATGGGTCAACAGCTGAACAGAGGGATAGATGGATGGATGTTTGGTAAAACAAACATATTATAATGTTATTTGTAAACCTAGGTTGTATGTATATAGGTATTCACTATAAATTCTTTAAACTTTTACTTTGAAATTTTTCATGATAAAATTTTAAGAAGAAATAAAACAATGAAATATTGCTTTCAACATTTTAAAAGAGAATTATCATAAATCTAGATTTTACGTTCAGCTAAACTATCAACCAAGTGTTAGAGCAACATGAAGCTATTTTCTAGTTTTTCAAGGAATAATGAACATGTGTTTTTTGCCTCCCAAGAATCTCTTAGGGCTCCATCCCTACCCTATGCTTAGTTCCTGTGCTTCAGGTGGGATATTCCCACCTCTCAACATTATGGTTAGGCTTATAGCTCAGGTTTGGCCAAGTAAGTTATTTCATGGCCCTGGCCACAGTGGTTGATTCAGAAATGAGTCAAGCAAGTTCTATCAGGCAGTCCACGGGTATTTTGCTGGAACTGTCAGGAGAGTTGTTTTTATTTTTGCTAGAATCACAATCTTTGAAGAAGAGATGAGCCTAGAAGGATGCTGATACCTCTATTCGCCAGTACAGGAAGTGACCTTGCTTGAGAATAAAGCCAATACAAAGGAAAACAAAACCAGAATATGGAGAGAAAGAAACATTGCAGTGATTACATTGCGGGAGCTCCTGGATTAATCTTTGGACTTTTTAGTTATCTGCCCTGTAAGTTCCCTTTTTCTTTGCATTACTTAGAGTAAGGGAGATATTAACCACATAGTGAGCAAGTCATATTTTTCTTCTTGTAGTGGGATGAATAGTATATACCCAAAACTCATGTCTACCTGAAACCTCAGAATGTGATATTATTTGGAGATAGGGTCTTTGCAGATGTAATTAATTAAGGATCTCAAGATGTAATCATCCTGGATTTAGGGTAGTCCCTAAATCCAATGACTGGGTTACATATAAGAAGATGATAAGACACAGAGATACACAGAGAAGAAGGTCATGTGAAGATGGAGGCAGAGATCGGAGTGCTGACGCTACAAGCCAAAAAATGCCAAAGACTGCTGGGAGCCACCAGAAGCTAGGAAGAGCCTTCTTCCCTTCATTCCTGAAAAGGGAAATAAAAGAAAAAAGAAAGAGAGAAATAAAAGAAAAAGAAAGAAAGAAAGAAAGAAAAGAAAAGAAAAGAAAAGAAAAGAAAGATTCCTCCTTAGAACTCCAAGAGAGCATGGCTCTGCTGACTTTCAGCTTCCAGGACTATGAGAGAATAAATTTCTGTTGTTTTAAGCCACCTACTTTCCAGTAATTTGTTACGGCAGCCCTAAGAAACTAATATACCTCTAAATAAAGAAAGATAACAATTAGAAACACAGGCTGCCTATAAGCCCAGCATTTTGGGAGGCCCAGGTGGGTGGGTCTCTTGAGCCCAGGAGTTTGAGACCAGCCTGGGCAACATAGTGAGATCTTGTGTTTACAAATATTACAAAAATTAGCCGGGTGTGGTGGCACATGCCTGTAGTCCCAGGTACTCCGGAGGCTGAGGTGGGAGAATTGCTTGAGCCCAGGAGGTCCAGGCTGCAATGAGCCATGATCACACCACTGCACTCCAGTCTGAGTGAGAGTGAGACTCTGTCTCAAAAAAAAGAAAAAAAAATTTAAAAATGCTGAGAAAAAATGTCCAAATATGAAGCAAGCTAAAAATGTGGCATGATTTTTGAGCAACTGAATGAAAAGACAGTCTATTTGATGGATGTTAAGAACACTTTATTGTGGGCGGGGTGCAGTGGCTCATGCCCGTAATCCCAGCACTTTGGGCAGCTGAGGCGGGTGGATCACTTGAGGTCAGGAGTTTGAGACCAGCCTGGCTAACATGGTAAAATCCTGTTTCTACCAAAAAATACAAAAATTAGCCGGGCATGGTGGCATGTTCCTGTAGTCTCAGCTACTTGGGAGGCTGAGGTGGGAGGATTCCATGAACCCAGGAGGCAGAGGTTGCAGTGAGCTGAGATCATGCCACTGCCCTCCAGCCTGGGCAACAGAGTGAGACCCTGTCTCAAAAACAAAACAAACAAACAAACAAAAATAACACTTTCTTGTGAATGGCCCAGGCATTGTGATAATGGAACTTGCCAGGAGGGCATTATTCCTGGCACAATATTTTGTTCTACAGTGAACAGTATTTACATAGTCATAATAATGCAACCCTATATATTGGCATTACACTCTTAGAACAAATCTATAAAAATAACATACACTCCTTGAATATTGTCATGCACAGAATATAAATGCTGTCCCTCTTGACAATGTGAAACTAAAGACATAGCTGACAGAAGTTGGAATGTGGAGGGGGAAAGATACATGAGAGAGAGAGTAAGGAGACAAATGATCTCATTTTACTTTGTAAGGAGTTAAGAATATTCATGGCAGCACAATTATTATGTATACATAAACATTAAAAATTAACAAATTAGAAGAAAGAAATCAGTGCCACCAGAGAATAGAAAAATGTTTGAAGAAAAAAGGCAATGAATGACGAAGTGTGTATTTCTTCAAAGTACTAAGGTTAACAAATGTCAAGCACAATTCTATAACTGGCTAAACTTTTATTCAGGATGGAAAGAGTAAAATAAAGCATTTTTATATATTAAAAAAAAAAAAAAAAGAGGCCGGGCGCGGTGGCTCATGCCTGTCATCCTAGCACTTTCGGAGGCCAAGGCGGGTGAATCACCTGAGGTCGGGAGTTCGAGACCAGCCTGACCAACATGGAGAAACTCTACCTCTACTAAAAATACAAAATTAGCTGGGTGTGGTGGCCCATGCCTGTAATCCCAGCTACTCGGAAGGCTGAGGCAGGAGAATCGCTTGAATCCAGGAGACGGAGGTTGCGGTGAGCCGAGATTGTGCCATTGCACTCTAGCCTGGGCAACAAGAGCGAAACTCCATCTCAAAAAAAAAAAAAAAAAAAAGAATATTTAAAGCATCATTATTCATAGTAGCTCCAAATAAAACATAACCTAACCTAAATGTCCATCAACAGTAGAATGGATAAATAAATTGTGATATAATATAGGCATACAAAGAAATGTTTTACAATAATAAATGATAGCTACATGCAACAACATGGATGAATCCCACAAACATTACATTGAGCGAAAGTAGCCAGACACAAAATAATGCTAACTATATAAGTTTGTATAATACAAACTATATAACCATATAAGACTATATTTATATAGGTTGAAGAAAAACAAATCTAATCTATAGTAGCAGAAGTCAAGATAGTGATTACCCTTGGGAGGAAAAAGAAAATAGTGCCCTAGTTATCTACTGGTAAGTAAAAAACCACTCTGAACTTAGCAACTTCGAACAACCACCACAATGTGCTTTGCCAACAAGTCTGCAATTTCGGCAGGGCTTGGAGGGGACAGCTCATCTCTGCCTCAACAGCATAAGCTTGGACAGTTCAAAGGCTGGGGGCAGTGAGGGCGGGTGTTGTTGGGGACTTGAGACTTGGAGGTGAAATCACTGGGAGTCTTACCCACTTACATGTCTGGCAGTTAATGCCGACTGTTTGCTGGGACCTCAGGGACTGTTGGCCAGAATACCTACACTTGTCCTCTCATGTAGCTGCATGGTTTTTCTTTATCATGGTGGCTGGATTCCAAGAGCAAACATCCCAAGAAACAGGAAGAGAAAGCTGCCAGTTTCTTAAGGCCTGGCCTGAAAACTGGCACAGTATCACTTCTGCAGTACTCTATGGGTTAAGCTGTCAATCTTGATTCAAGGGCAGGAGATAGAGACATTATTTCTCGATGTGAGGAATGGTGTCAAAGTAGTATTTGGGGACTATATTTTATAATCGCTGTAAGCTTTAATTAGGAGCACATGAGAGGAGAGGGTGCTTCTGGGGTTCTGGTTTCTTGAGCTAGGTGGTGATTATACAGGTATCTTCACTCTCTAATGATTCCTTCATCTGTACATATGGTTTGTGCACCTTCCTGAGCATATGTTTCAACTCCAATAAAAGAAAAGCTTAAAAAGGATGCAAACATTCTTTATGTCCAGATATAGAACAATCCCTAAGACATAGTAACATGCTATCATGGTTAAGTACTGAGCTCTGAGGGCTTGCCTGCTGGGTTCAAATCTAGTTCTGCCAATCCTAGGCTTTGTGTCTCAGTTTTCTCATTTGTAAAATGGGGATTATAATAGCTCTTACTCCAGGAGGTTATCTCAAGGATTAAATGAGTTAAAACATGCAAAGCATTCAGAATACTAATAGAAAAATAGAAAGTGCTTGAGAACTGCTTGCTATTTTTGTTATATTAAATGAAAATTGCAATTTGTATAGGTAAAGCAGTGTCTACAGTATGATGCCTTATATGGTTTGGCTGTGTCCCCACCCAAATCTCATCTCAAATTGTAGCTCCCATAATCCCCTTGTGTCATGGGAGGGACCCGGTGGGCAGTAATTGAATCATGGGGGTGGGTTTTTTCCATGTTGTTCTCATGATAGTGAATAAATCTCACAAGATCTGATGGTTTTATAAAGGGCAGTTCCCCTGCATACCTGCCCTTGCCTGCCACCATTTAAGATGTACCTTTGCTCCTCCTTCACCTTCTGCCATGATTGTGAGGCCTCCCCAGCCATATGGAACTGTGTGTCCATTAAACCTCTTTTTCTTTATAAATTACCCAATTGTGAATATTTCATCATAACAGTATGAGAACAGGCTAATACACTGCCATTTGTGGGAAAATGAGTAGACGTACCCATGGGTACAAACTAGCTATAAGATCAGGATATACAATAAACTAATAACGTTGGTTGCCTGTGGGAGGGAGATTTTTCACAGTGTAGACTTTGGTACCTTTTGAATTTTCAACTATATGAAGGCTGCATCTGGGAAATGGGTCTGGGTAGGGAAGAGGACTGTTGCTTTTTTATTGAGTGAAAGTAGCCAGACACAAAAATTTAGTGTTATATTTTCTACAATGTACATGATAAACATACTAAAAGAAAAGACAAGATGGGTCAGATTACAGAGGGCCTTATAAAAGACCAGGCATGGAAATTTAGAGTTGATTAAGGCCTGAAAATGGCACTGGCAATGGTGATAAAAGGATGAATTTAAACACTTAATAGAAAAAATCTAGAAAGTAAAATATCTGGATAGAAAATGATAGAGGTAAGTGAAGAGGACACCCAAGTTTTGGTGCGAGTAACTGTTACGGACTGAATTGTGCCTCCCCAAAATTCATATATTGAAATCCTAATCCCTAGTATGCTTCAGAATGTGCCTGTATTTAGAGATAAGACCTTTAAAGAGATGATTAAGGTTAAAAAATTATTAGAGAGGTGAAAAAGTTATTAGAGTGGTCTCCAATCCAATATGATTAATGTCCTTATAAGAAAAGGGAGAGAAACCAGAAATACATGCACAAAAGAAAGGCCATTGCTGGGTACAGTGGTGCATGCCTGTAATCCCAACAACTTGAGAAGCTAAAGCAGGAGCATTGCTTGAGCTCGGGAGTCTGAGGCAGCAGAATGAGACCCTGCCTCTGGTGCAAAAAATAAAATAAAATAAAAGCCATGTGAGGACCCACCAAGAAGATGGCCATCTGCAAGCCAAGGAGAGAGAGTTCAGGAGAAACCAAACCTGCCAGAATCTTGATCTTGGACTTCTGACCCAGAGAACTGTGAGAAAATAAATTTCTGTTGTTTTAGCTATCCAGTCTGTGGTGTTTTGTTATGGCAGCCTGAGCAGACTAAGACAGTGACTAAGAAAGTGACCATGCCATGACCACAGGCAGGAAAGTGGGAAAGGGAGCTAGTTTGAGAAGGGAGGTGATTTTGAATTGCAGCACCAGCCAGGCATAGTGGTTCATGCCTATAACCCCAGCACTTTGGAAAGCCAAGCCTAGAGCCCAGCCATGGGAGGTTTGCCTGAACCCAGGAGTTCAAGACCAGCCTGGGCAATATAGTGAGATGCCATCTCTACAAAAAACTCATAAATTATCTGGGCATGGTGGCTTGCATCTGTAGTCCCAGCTACTTGGGAAGCTGAGGCAGAAGGATTGCTTGAGCCCAGGAGCTTCAGGCTACAGTTATCTATCACAGCAGCACTGCACTCCAGTCTGGGTGACAGACTGAGACCTCATCTCAAAAATAAATATGTAAATAAGGCCAGGCATGGTGGCTCATGGCTGTAATCCCAGCACTTTGGCAGGCCAAGGCAGGCAGATTACTTTAGGTCAGGAGTTCAAGACTAGCTTGGCCAACATGGCAAAACCCCATCTCTACTAAAAATACAAAAAAATTAGCTTGGTGTGGTGGTGCACGCCTGTAATCCCAGCTACTCAGGAGACTGAGGTGGGAGGATCATTTGAGCCTGGGAGGCAGAGGTTGCAGTGAGCTGATATCTGACCACTGCCCTCCAGCCTGGGCTACAGTGTGAGACTCTGTCTCAAAAAATAAAAAATTAAAATAAATAAATAAATACATATATACATAAAATAAAATTTAAAATTGCAGCCCCAGTGAAATATGGCGGCTCACGCCTGTAATCCCAGCACTTTGGAAGGCCAAGGAGGGCAGATTACCTGCAGTCAGGAGTTCGAGACCACCTGGCCAACATGGTAAAACCCCATCTCTACTAAAAATACAAAAATTAGCCAGGCATGGTGGCACATGCCTGTAATTCCAGCTACTCGGGAGGCTGAGGAAGGAGAATTGCTTGAACCTGGGAGGCAGAGGTTGCAGTGAGCTGAGACAGAGCCACTGCACTCCAGCCTGGGAAACAGAGCAAGACTCCATCTCAAAAAAAAAAAAAAAAAAGAAAAGAAAGAAAGAAAGAAAGAAAAGAAAAAGAAAACAGAACAGGCCTTTTTAACCGCAGAGGTAATGGCTACAGGGAAGATAATGTGACTTTGGAGTGAAAGGATAGAGAGAATAGGGAGCAAGGGAATACGTAGCAAAGGAATGGCAAGAGAAATAAAAGGCAATAAAAAGGGAAGGAACTGCTAGCAAATAGGACAGAAGCCAAGGAAGCCGAACATTTGAGGTATGAGAAATCTTTTTTTTTTCTTTTTAATGCTGTAGAGAGAAACAGAGAAAGAAAAACCAGAAAAGAATAATGGATTTAACTAAAAAGAGGTCTTTGTTGACCTTTTAGAAAACAGTTTCAGTGTTGCTGGGAGGATGGAAACCGCATTGCCAAGTATGCAGTAGATGAGATTGTGGATAGAGAACAAATGCAACCCCAAGGCATTTACCATCCATTTAAGAGCTTAGGTAGCCCACAGAAAGTGTGCTGGGGGCTGGGCATGACTATCCACGGAGACCTGTTGTAGCGTTGAAGGTAAATGGGGAAGGAACCAATGAAGTGGGAGAATAAAGGAAGACCAAGTAGAAGTGAAGTCCTCTGAAGGTTTGCCTAGGATGGTTGGGAACACCTTAGATGAATTTATTTTAGAAAGGAGGGGGATAAGACTCCCAGAGAGGGAGGAGGCAAGGTGGAGAGATGGCGTACCAATACACAGAAGTAGAAATTAGAATAATTGTAGGAGCTTGAGACTTGGTAGTGGCATACACAAGAAATTCATTGAATGTGAAGTAAGGGAATGGAAGGAAAGCTTGAGGAGAGAAAGAAAACCCATTGGTAAGATTATGAATTTCATACAGGCAAAAATTCATAAGAATTTCATACGAATTCGGTAAAAGATACCAAGCAATAGTAATACTTATTCACTAACAAAAGCTCAAGCATCTGTAAAACAAAAGAAATAACAAAGAACTAAAGACAATCTGGGCCGTTTACGAAATCCATGTGTGTGACCTTAAAGAAGCTCTTTCCCGAATCATTTTCTGTTGTTGCATTGCTGTTTCCAGAGTTCTGGAATTCTATGCCACAAGCTGAACATTAAGGTCATTGATATCATCTGAAGCCAGGAAGAGTCTCTGCTAGGAAGACTTTTAGCACAAAATCAACTATTCTCTGCTCCAAGTAAAATGTCTAAACTGTCTGCAAAGGCAAATGGCTAAAAGCTTTGACAGGAATACTTCGTTAAGTGAGATTAGTCATGACCTCTTAGTAATATAAGCCTGAAGAAAGAAATGAAAGTTGGAAGTAAAGATATGAGTCATGCTGCAACTTGGTAGCTGGCATTCATTCAGGAGCTCAACAATGTCAGCAGATCTTAGGCTCCTTCCTTCTGCTCTGCCAGTCCTTATTCTTGTTAACTCATAAATTCAAAATGGCTGCCACAGCTCCCAACATCACAGTTCAAAGGCAGAAAACAGGGTAGTCAGGGTAAAAGTCTTTATCCTTCTGGGGCTACTCTTATCAGGCGAAAGATTACCTTTCCCAGTAGCCCTGTAGTAGACTTCCCCTCAAATCTCTTTGCCATATAACTGACTACTCTTAGATGTAAGGAAGGCTGACAGAAGGACACAGAATGGCTATGACTGGCTTAGCTAATAATGACTCATCTGCTAGGGCTGGGTACATTCCCCAGACAAAATAAGGCAGTGGGGCAGGAGCAGGGAAATGGCTGTTGAGTAAGCAACAGTGTCTGTCACAGTGAATTTAGCCCATATACATATAAGTTTGGTCTTAATTCTGTATCAAATTTTGTATGATATTTTCTGGGTTTTTGTTGTTGTTGTTACTTTTTGAACACTTCTCTACTGGACTGTATTTTCTTTGTGTTTGCATGTGTGTGTTTCCTAATAGTTTATAGGGAAATAAATTTTTGTTCTAGTGGTTACCTTATAACTACAAGTTTATATAATAAACCTAATCCTCTTTCTTCAAGCAAAACCAGTTGACTCCATACTATGAACACTGACAAAATTAGCACACTATCACTTCCCTTTTTCTGCTGTTCTTAGTATTTATCTTCGCTTTTTTTTTTTTTTTTTTTTTTGTAGAGACATGGTTTCACCATGTTGGCCAGGCTGGTCTTGAACTCCTGGCCTCAAGTGATCCACCCACTTAGGCCTCCCAAAGTGCTAGGATTATAGGCGTGAACCACCACGCCTGGCCTTTATCTTTGCGTTTCTAAATATACTTATTCTATTAGGTTGGTGCAAAAGTAATTGCGGTTTTTGCCACGTACTTGATTTATCATCTTTAGATGATTTATTTCCATCCCTGGCTATTAAAATAATGAAATCAGCACAACTTAAACTACCTCCCTCTCTTCGTCACCTTTTCTCTCCCCACTATTGTTCGTTTTATACTTTCTTGATAGCAGGCGAGAATTAGAAAGAATGTAGGTGCTTGGTACTTTTACTGACATATAAGGGAGATTTTCTTGCTTAGGAGGATGGAAAGGAGATGGCTTTCACTTTGATAATGGAACCAAACGTATGGCCTGGTCATGAAGGAAGGACAAGCTTCTAACCCAAGGTTATTTTCATGAGATATGAAAGGAAAAATATCAGCTCCAGGTGTGCTGGCACAGAGTCCCAGCTACTCAGGAGGCTGGGGCAAGAGGATCATTTGAGCCCAGGAGTTTGAGTCCAGCTTGGGCAACATAGCAAGACCTATCTCTAAATAAATCAATAAATAAAGTATTCAGTACTATGTGGAACTGAATTTTGAGGAAAGTCTAGTAGGGGAGAGATATGTAGCTTTTCTTCAGCATCCAACACAGGATTTAAATCTGTGGAGAAGGTGGAGTTACCTCAGGTTTTTTATTTCCTTCTGAATGTCATAAGTAGATTTGGACCTAAGGCTGTCCAATTCCAGAGAGCAGTATAAAATGGGGAAATCACTTTTGCCCTAAGATTAGACTGCAGCTTTGGTTTCACCCTGCTTGTTCATGCAGTTCCTGCAGACGTTGACCTTCTAGACTGTCTGCCTAGACCACACAGGCCTCGTGTCTCCTATTCCTCAGCTCACTTCTTAAAATGGAACTTCCCTTCTCCCACATCTTATAGGACCTGCGTCACCTCTTTAATTGTATATTAATGAGCTCTTCTGGTACTCGACGTCTTACCTTTCTATTAGTGTCCACCAGCCTCCTGATTAGCCACACTCCTAGTCTAGTCCTCACCAGACCACCCCGTCATATCACCGCTTAAATCCCAGAGTGCCAGTTGAGAAAGTAGAAAGCCAGATGAGAATGTTGCTCTGAAAACCAAGAGGGAGATCTGTGTGTGTGTAGGAAGTTGTCCCTTATAGGATTGGCCAACTTTTTTGGTAAAGGGTCAGATAGTAATTACATTAGACTTTGCAGGCCCTCTAGTCTCTGTCACTACTACTCAGTTCTGCCATTGTGTCAGGAAAGCAGTCATAGACAATGCGTGAGCAAGTGAGCTTGGTTGTGTCTTGCTCTGTCGCCCAGGCTGGAGTGCAGTGGCTCTATCTTGGCTCACTGCAACCTCTGCCTCTCAGGTTCAAACAATTCTCCTGCCTCAGCCTCCAAAGTAGCTGGGACTACAGGCATTCACAGCCACGCCCAGCTAATTTTTGTATTTTTAGTAGTAGAGATGGGGTTTCACCATGTTGGCCAGGCTGGTCTTGAACTCCTGACCTCAAGTGATCCGCCTGCCTCAGCCTCCTAAAGTGCTGGGACTACAGGCATGAGCCACAGCGCCCGGCCCAAAAACCATTCTTAACTCCCAGGCTGTAATGAAAAAGAAGATGAGGCAGATTTGGCCTGTGGGTCATTGTTTGCCAATGACTGGTCTATAAAACTAAATGTTAAAAGCTGAGGTAAGATCAATGAGAATCATAATGGACAGAGATTCTTTAGTTTGTTTGTTTGTTTGTTTACAGAGAAGATATAAGATCCTTAATGAGCTCTACAAAAATATTTTGGTGTTTTTTGTTTGTTTGTTTGTTTGTTTTTTTGACACAAGGCTCGTTCTGTTGCCCAGGCTGAAGTGTAGTAGCATGATCCAAGCTCACTGCAGCCTCGAACTCCTGGGCTCAGGCAATCCTCTTGCAAGTCCTAGCTACTCGGGGATTGCTCAAGTCCTGAGTAGCTAGGACTATAGGCATGGCATGCACCACTATGCCTGGCTAATTTTTTTCTTTTGTAGAGATGGGGGTCTCGCTATATTGACCAGACTGGTTTCAAACTCATTCCTGGCCTCAAGTGATCCACCTGCCTCAGCCTCCCAAAGTGTTGGGATTACAGGCATGAACCACCAAGCCTGACCCCAAATTATTTGTTAAATGAGCCCTGTCTCATGGATTTGGGGATCTTACCATTTACCCCAACTCAGGCATATCCAGGTACCAGAATGAAAAAGAAGGAACACCTGAGCATCTGATCCACTCAGCTTCTTTGTCTTTCTTTCCGAATAAGCCAGAAATGCAAAAGAAACTGGCAGAAGATTGTTTTCTCTTAGTCTGGTCTCATCCGATTTATTTTAGCCTCAAGGAAGACAGGACTTCCACATAGTCTACAAAATATTAGAGAACTGTTCTTGGTCTGATTGTGCTTTATCAGTTGTTTGTTAGTTTAAACGGATAACCTGAGCTGATTTTTAAAACACCGATTTTACTTGGAATGTGCCAAAACTGTCATTATGCTTTTTATTATGTATAACTTTAATGACTATAGTAACTATCTGGAGAACACTGAGCAGGTCGTTATCCAGACATCCATTGTTATAATCATTGCCACATGCTAGACTTGTTTTTTTAAAATAACCTTTTTATTTTAGAACAATTTTACATTTACAGAAAAGTTGCAAAAATATTATAGAGTTTCCATATAACCCTCGCTCACTTTCCCCCAATGTTAACATTTTTACATTCTATGGTACAGCTGCCAAAATAGGAAACCAACATCGACACGATACTATTAACTAAACTCTAGTCTTCATTTGTATTTCACCTGTACTAGACTTTTGATAATAAAATCAGTGTTAAGTTGTTACAACTGGGCTGCCATTTTATAATAAAGCAGGCATAAAAGATCAGTAATTAGTTTAGTCTCTAAACTAAATTAGATTAAGAGTAGGTTATGTGACCAGGGGCAGTGGCTCACATCTGTAATACTAGCACTTTGGGAGGCTGAGGCGTGAGGATCACCTGAGGCCAGAAGTTCAAAAGCAGCCTGGGCAACATAGCAAGACCCCCATCTCTACAATAAAAATTTTAAAAAATTAGCCATGTATGGAAGCACACATCTGTAGTCCCAGCTACTCCAGAGGCTAAGGTGGGAGGATTGCTTGAGCCTGGAAGTTCAAGGCTGCAGTTAAAGGTTGGGAGTTCAAGACTCCTTGACTGTGTCACTACAACACTCCAGCCTGGGTGACAGAGTGAGATCCTGTCTCAAAAAAAGAAAGAAAGAAAAGAAAAGACAAAGAAAGAAGGGAGGGAGGGAGGGAGGAAGGAAGGAAGGAAGGAAAGAAAGAAAAGAAAGAAAAAGCTTATGAATGCTCATCTGACAAGCTAATTAATTTTCTGCATTTTACTGATTTAAGTATCCACTTTCTTACTCCATGTAGAGACAACAACAATAGGCCAGGTGCAGTGGCTCACGCCTGTAATCCCAGTTCTTTGGGAGGCCAAGGCAAGTGAATCACCTGAGGTCAGGAGTTCGAGACCAGCCTGAACAACATAGTGAAACCCCGTCTCTACTAAAAATACAAAATTAGCTGAGCATGGTGGTGTGTGCCTGTAATCCCAGCTACTCGGGAGGCTGAGGTAGGAGAATCACTTGAACCATGGAGGCAGAGGTTGCAGTGAGCCAAGATCGTACCACTGCACTCAAGCCTGGGCAACAGAGCAAGACTCTGTCTAAAAAAAAAAAAAAGGAGCAACAACAAAAGCCATTGCCTACTGATTCTTCTTCTCTCTTAGTCTCAAAGTCCGCTACTCCTCATCCTAGGCTTAATTCTTAACGCAGATGTTGTTTTCTCAATAGCGACATGTTCCCTGAAGGGAACGTTCACCTGCCATTTGGGTATTACAAGGAGTTGAATATGCTTTTCTCTTTTGATGCTTAAAAAATTAGATACAGATCTTTCAAGCAAGCAAAACAGACTAATTAGCTCTGTGAAGCATTATGGCTAGAAATCAATGTGTGTTGTCTGTATTTGACCTGTGAATAGGGTTTCTAATAGTCAACTTTAAATTAGCTGTAGAAATGGGGGAGATAGGACTTTATCATGGATAAATAACATCCTACAACTTCATAATAAAGAAAGACAACAGGCTGGGTGTAGTGGCTCATGCCTGTAATCTCAGCACTTTGGGAGGCCGAGGTGGGCGAATCACGAGGTCAAGAGATGGAGACCACCCTGGCCAACATGGTGAAACCCCGTCTCTACTAAAAATACAAAACTTAGCCGGGCATGGTGGCACGTGCCTGTAATCCCAGCTACTCAGGAGGCTGAGGCAGAAGAATTGCTTGAAGCCGGGAGTTGGAGGTTGCAGTGAGCCAAGATCGCACCACTGCACTCCAGCCTGGCGACAGAACGAGACTCCGTCTCAAAAAAAAAAAAAAAAAAAAAAAAGACAATATTCTGCTTCTTTCTCCATCAAATCTTGTCTCTAGGTCACTAACAAGCAAGATCATTTTTGCCTTTTACCTGCATTCCTTCTTCTGAATAGCCTCTGGGTGTGGTTTTATTAAAACTGCAAAAGCCGGAAGAACTATAACTGGAGGATCAAAATGAAGCAGTTCATGAAGCAGACATCCTCATGGGTTCTCTCACATAAAGAGTTTCTCTCCATCTTCTTACAGATACGTGAAATTCCGGTAATAAGGGACAAAATGGTTAAGCTCTTGATTTGAGACTAAGGATGGAGATGGGGCCATTTAGAATGCCCAGATTCAAGAGGCAAGTAGAAAGGAGAGTTGACGAAGGGTCCCGAGCAGGGACAGCTGGAAAAGCAGGTGAGTCAGAAGTGAACGATGCCCTGGCAGGAGGAACGGATTTCAAGATGGAGCTCAACAGTATGAAATATGCCAAAGAGAGGAGCCTGGCCTCTGTTGAGTTTCCCAGTCGTGAGGCTCCAGATGGTGCCAAGGTGAAGTTGTGTGGATGGCACACCACAGTCCAGTGAGGCCCACTGAGAGGGAGGAAGTAGAAACAGCAGTGTGGACTCTGCTTTGAGAAAGTGGGCTGTGAGAAAGAAAGAGACAGATGGTGGTAGCTGGAGATGAACATAAAGTTAAGAGAACTTCTCTCCTTTTTAAGAAGGCTATGTAAGGTTGCTAGAAAAAGGAACCCATGTATAGGAAGTCGGAAAACAAAACTAAAAACTCAGGAAGAGGGAGAGGAACTAGAAGAAGCAAGTGTCATAATGACTTTCAAATGGTTCAGTTTTTAAAAAACGATATACAGAGCGTTAAATAAATTTGTCAAGATGATGACAGTTGTTGAATCTAGGCAGAGAGTATACAGGCTTTCATAATAATATTCTTTCCATTTTCATATACATTTGAAAATTTTCAAAACAAAGGGGATGTGACAAATCTGTGGACCAGCCATATATGGTTGAAAATTTTCTTTTAAAAATATTGAGAGGTATCCAAATATAATGTGAACATAAAATTGCAACTGAAAAGTTATGATTAAATGTTCACAGCCATACCTAATCTAATGGACTGCAGATAATATTGTGTTATAGACCTATAAAAATTGTTTCACTTGAATTTTTGTATTGCAGTTTATTTAAACTAAGAAAAAAGGTCATGGCCAGGTGTGGTGGCTCATGCCTGTAATCCTAGCAATTTAGGAGGTCCAGGTAGGCAGATCACTTGAGGTCAGGAGTTCGAGACCAGCCTGGCCAACCCTGTCTCTACTAAAAATACAAAAATTAGCTGGACGTGATGATGCATGCCTGTAATCCCAGCTATTTGGGAGGCTGAGGCATGAGACTCTCTTGAACCCAGGAGGTGGTGGTTGCAGTGAGCTGAGATCGCGCCATGGCACTCCAGCCTGGGTGACAGAGTGAGACTCTGTCTCAAATAAATAAATAAATAAGTCATAATATTTTCACACAATATACACTTAGTTCTTTAAGTGACAATTGTCACAGATAGCAGAAAGACTTAAGGAATGCTGCACTTGTAATCCATACAAAATACCAATGTTTTGGGTGATACATAACGAAATATCACAAACACTTTTCAAAATATCATAGTAGCCAATATATAGGGAATGACTTTGGTGAGCATAGAAGTTTAGAAAAGAAAACAAATCACACTGGAACTATCTGATTTCTTTAAAAATCACTGAACAAGAAAAGGTACATTGAACTTCACATACCGATTTTATATAACTTCTGTACAGTACCTTGACTTAAATCCAAGAGCAAAAGTTAAGACTCTCCTTTAGTTTTGGTAAACAACTACAAGGTAAACTTGGATGACCTTTTCCCCTGGATTTTACTGAAAATAGTCTTTTACATTTTTTATCTAAAAGAGGGCAGGTTTGGCACTTTTATACCGATGTCACCAGTGTTAATGTTTCTTGGACTCTTGGGAGGGTTTATATTCTATACAGCTGATACAGCATGGGCTGCTAGGTTCCTGTAAAGCCAACCTTTGTTTTTTTCAGCTTATTTTGCACATTAATTTGTGTAACAAGCTCATTCTTGTTGGTCTCTGATCTGGTTTGACTCTGTGTCCCCACCCAAATTTCATCTCAAATTGTAATCCCCACAGGTCAAGGGAGGGACCTGTAATCCCCACATGTCAAGGGAAGGAGGTAATTGGATCATGGGGGAGGTTCCCCCAGGCTGTTCTCATGATAGTGAGTGAGTTCTCATGAGATCCGATGGTTTTGTAAGGATCTCTTCCCCCTTCACTCTTAGCTCTCTCCTGCCACCATGTAAGACGTGCCTGCTTCCCCTTCCATCATGATTGTAAGTTTCCCAAGGCCTCCGCAGCCATATGAAACTATGAGTCAATTCAATGTCTTTTCTTTATAAATTACCCAGTCTCAGGTATGTCTTTATAGCAGTGTGAAAACAAACTAATACAGTCTCTAATACCATTCTCCCAATATCATTTCTACAAGAATAATGTGAGCCACATGGAAGATGAAATCCAGTTCACATTTTCAAAAACACTTGCCTAATGTTTCCACAAATACTCAAATTAGATCTAAAACACCAAGTTCATTTTCTGAAGAACCCACACAGAAGACAAAATATGTTATTATGTGAGGTCTAGAAATCAGTTTGTTGTCCTATCCTCCAATTAATAATCCTTCTTCTAGAAACTTACAAACATTTTCATCTCTCTTAAATACCAAGTGGAAAGTCTCCCTGATGATTTGCTGTTGTGTGTCTTCACTGTAGAGCTGGTGGAACTTGGAGAGCTGTGGCTTCCTGTGGTTGTTGAAGGTGACGGTCATCTTGATCCTGGCTGGGCAGTGCTGGAGCAGCTTCCCCACCTGGGGATCTCACTGGCTATCCTTCTCCTCAACTTGGATGTTTAGTTGTCTTTTTATTTCTTTGTTTATTGTTGCTATTGGCTTTGTTTGTGGGTTTATTTCTTATTTTGGGACTTTTAGCACATAAAGTTGGAGATAATGAATGGGAACAGAATGGGAAAGAGTGGATATAATGATACACCACATACCCATCACCTACTTTCAATAATTACCTACACTTTCCCAGTCTTCTTCCATGTATTCCCCATACTCTATTGTCTATTTTTCTGGAGAATTTTGAAGTAAATCTAATATATCATACCATTTTACTTGTAATTATTTTAGAGGATATCTCTAAAGATAAGGGTTTTTCTCATTTAAAAAACACAGCCACAAGTCATCACCACACCTAAAAAATTTTATTGGGGTAAAGTTTTTTTGTTTTTTTTTTTTGAGACGGAGTCTTGCTCTATTGCCCAGGCTGTAGTGCAGTGGTGCGATCTTGGCTCACTGGAAACTCCGCCTCCTGGGTTCACGCCATTCTCCTGCCTCAGCCTCCCGAGTAGTTGGGACTACAGGCACCCACCACTGCACCCGGCTAATTTTTTGTATTTTTAGTAGAGATAGGGTTTCACCGTGTTAGCCAGGGTAGTCTCGATCTCCTGACCTCGTGATCCGCCCGCCTCAGCCTCCCAAAGTGCTGGGATTACAGGGATGAGCCACCGAGCACGGCCTGGGGTAAAGTTTTTAATGTCTTCAATAGTTCTTCATATTATTTTGGCTGAATTTTCTGATATTTTTAATTGAACTAATACAATATTGAGGAAATAATAAGTATCTATACTTACGCAAAGGCCTTTAAGAAACTGAAGTTTAAAAGGAAACACTACCTGTGATAAAAGATAAATAATGGCACTGGTGCCCAGAAAAAATAAAAAATTAAAGGAGTCTTTTATATAAAATCTTTAAAACATTTGACATGCCAATATCAGCAAGAGTGTGGGAAAACAAATATTCTCATAGTGAAGCAGTGAGAGTGTGAATTGGATAGTGTGCCAGTCAGACGGCATGTTGAAAGGGTAACTGAAGGAAGTTTAACAAAAAGATTAGTTATAGAGATATACTCAGGGTTAGGGGAACCTGCAAGGGCTGGTGAAAGATCCAGGGACAAGAAACTGCAGGAAACAGTTTCTACCCGATCTGACTGACAGGGCAAAGGGAGAGAGCTTTTCTTGAAACATGGTGGGGACTAGGTTTGGTGGCTCATGCCTGTAATCCCAACACTTTGGCAGGCCAAGGAAGAGGATTGCTTGAGTCCAGGAGTTTGAGACCA
Organism: Homo sapiens; assembly: GCF_000001405.40. Taxonomy (NCBI): domain Eukaryota; kingdom Metazoa; phylum Chordata; class Mammalia; order Primates; family Hominidae; genus Homo; species Homo sapiens. The sequence continues at coordinate 24,752,970 of NC_000006.12, forward strand.
GCCTGGGAAACAGGGAGACTCTGTCTCTACAAATAATTTTTTAAAAACTTAGCTGGATGTAGTGGCAGATGCCTGTGGTCCCAAATACTCTGGAGGCTGAGGCAGGAGGATCACCTTAGCCCAGGAGGTCAAGGCTACAGTGAGCTGTGATTGCACCACTGCACTCCAGCCTGGGCAACTGAGAGAGACCCTGTCTTATTAAAAAATAAAAATATGTTTTTAAAAAAGGAACATGTGGACTTAGTAGCCACTGGGGAGGAGCTGCTTAATGGAAGCTGGCTTCTGATAAGGGAATGTAGCCATTGCGAAACAGAGGCCTGGGGCTCTTTCCTTCTGCCTTCCCATCTCCCACAGAGGTCCTGAATGGACACTGGATGCTAGAGATTTATAGCCTCCTGGAGTACAGAGCAGGGTCAGGACAGGTAGAGTGTGTATCTAGAGAGGAAAACATGATCCAACACAAAGGACAATTTGATGTTATCTGCCAGAGTTTTGAATGAACACCCTTGAATCTGCAATTCTACTTCTAAGAATTCACTCTACAAACTCAAATGTATGTAAAGTTGGAAAGTTTGGAAGGGAAGTATTTTATGTTCGTTGAGAGCTTACTATGTAGGAGCATCAAGCAAGGTACTCTCCATTTAATCCTTACAAGAACCCTATGAGTTTGGCACTATTATTACCCCTATTTTACACTTTAGGAAGTCAAGGTTGGTAAAGCTCAGACATTTACCCGTGCTCACAGTTAATAAGTGACAGCACAGGTATTTAAACCCAGACAATCTGACTCCAGTATCTGAGCTACAAGGAAGTTCATAGCAGCATTGTTTGTGGAAAAAAATAGACTGAATACAAACTTAAATAACTGTGGTTTGGGGATCTGGTAAATAAATTATGGCACATCTACACAGTGGAATACTATGCAGCTTAAAAAATGGAATAGGCCAGGTGTGGTGGTGCACACCTGTAGTCCCAGCTACTTGGAAGGCTGAGGCAGGAGGATCACCTGTGCCCAGGAATTGGACACCAGTCTGGGCAACATAGCGAAACCCCATGTCTCTAGAGGGAAACAAAACAAAACCGAAGAATGGAATAGATCTACATATACTGATAGGGAAATGTCTCCAAGATACCCATGTGGGGAGGAAAAGGTGCAGAGCATTGTGCAGTCCATGCACCCATTAGTACATAAAAATGAAAGGTGCATTTTAATTTAATCTCTCAGCAGAAGGACTGATAATTAAGGGACAATTTTTCAGTGTATACCTTTTAGCATTGTTTTAATATGTGTATTACTTTGCAATGAATACATGTAATTAAATAAAAAGCCACATACATACACATACAAATGTGTGTAAAGTGTCCGGAACAGAATAATAACAGCTAACATTTATTGAGCACTGTTGTAAATTTTTATATGTATTATCTCGTTGAGTTATTCAAAAGAGCTCTATTAAGTAGGTATTATTCTTACCACCTTGTATTGGTCTGTTTTCATGCTGCTGATAAAGACATACCTGAGACTGGGGAATTTACAAAAGAAAGAGGTTTATTGGACTTACAGTGCTACATGACTGGGGAGGCCTCATAATCATGGTGGAAGGTGAAAGGCACGTCTCACATGGTGGCAGACAAGAGAAGAGAGCTTGTACAGGGAAACATTCCCTTATAATACCATCAGATCTCGTGAGACCCATTCACTATCACGAGAACAGCATGGGAAAGATCTGCCCCCATGATTCAATCACCTCCCACTGGGTCCCTCCCATGAGATGTGGGAATTCAAGATGAGATTTGGGTGGGGACACAGCCAAATCATATCACCCTGATTTTAAAAATGGAGGAATGTGGTCACAAAGAGATGAAAGAATTTGTCCAGTGTCACCCAGCCAGTCTAGCTCCAGAGCCAGTGCTCATAATTCCCTCTCAATAAATGACTACTATTGTTTTTAATGATTTGTCCAAAGCAGTATTAACTTTTTCAACAGCTGCATTGTAGAGCTGGTTCCTTTTAATGCATAATCAATGAAAACTTTAGTTTTTTCCATCCTATACTTCATCTTCATTTCAAAAAGAAACTTTAAGTTTTTTGTTTGTTTTATGAGTTGCAACCAAGCCTGGTCACTACCCCTCTGGTTTTCAGAAAAAACAAAAAAAAACAAACAATAAAAAAAAATTGTTTTAATCTAAAAATATCCTTTACATTTATTCTAGTCAAAATGTCAACCTGTTGACATTTGAGACTGAGATTCCAGCCTGTGGAGGTAATTGTGAATCTTTAGTGAAGCCATTATATTAGCTATCCCTCCTAGTTTTGGGTAATCTTTAAACCTGATAAGCATGCCTCTGTGCCAGCATATAAATTACTGGTAATGTTGCCAAACAGGACAGTGATAGGGCAGAGCTTTGTGAGATGTCACAGAGACTCTTGGTCAAGTTGTTCTTGATGTATCAATTCATTAACCCTGTTCAGATTGTCCAAACTGCTGAGTCACCTATCACATTTCTTCATCTTGTCTCCAAGGACAACATGATAAGTTTTGCTCACCATTTTGCTGGAATTATTTCTGTTATTCATTGATTTACCACCATAACTGTGCCTCCCTACCCACCCCCCAGCCATTTTTTTTTAAAAAAGAGTCTCAATTGAAAGGGTTTGCTCACAGAACATATAGGGTGGCTTCTATTATCATCTCATCTTACATAAGTCCTTGCAAAGTGCTTGTACAGTGGTGTTTGTTCACAATTTACCAACAGCCAATTCCAAGTTTACTAATTCCAATTTTGATTAAACTTTCTTCTCTTTTTAAAAATTTTTGAGGGCTGGGAGTGGTGGCTCATGCCCATAATCCCAGCACTTTGGGAGGCTGAGGTAGGCAGATCACAAGGTCAACAGATCGAGACCATCCTGGCCAACATAATGAAAACCCATCTCTATTAAAAATACAAAAATTAGCTGGGCATGGTGGCACGTGCCTGTAATCCCAGCTACTCAGGAGGCTGAGGCAGGAGAATCACTTGAACCTGGGAGGCGGAGGCTATAGTGAGCTGAGATCGCACCACTGTACTCCAGCCTGGGCCACACAGCAAGACTCAGTCTCAAAAAAAACAATGTTGAGTTTTTCCCCCTCAGTCTTTTGGTTTCTCTTTATGTGTCCTATAATTTCTCAGAATAATTATGGTGACCCAGAGCACATATACCTATTTCTTTAGTATTCTAGGTGTTACCAGAAAGGGGTCCCTGATCCAGACCCCAAGAGAGGGTTCTTAGATCTCATGTGAGAAAGAATTTGGGGCGAGTCAACACAGTATAGGGAAAGCAAGTTTGTTAAGTAAAGGAATAAAAGAATGTGTCCATAGACACAGCAACAGCGTGGGCTGCTTGACTAACTATACTTTTAGTATTTCTTGATTATATGCTAAACAAGGGGTGGATTATTCATGAGTTTTCTAGGAAAGGGGTGGGCAGTTCCCAGAGCTGAGGGCTCCTCCCCTTTTTAGACCATATGAGGTAACTACTTCACGTTGCCATGGCATTTGTAAACTGTTATGGCGCTGGTGGGTGTGTATTTTAGCATGCTAATGCATTATAATTAGCTTATAATAAGCAATGAGGACCACCAGAGGTCACTGTCATCGCCATCTTGGTTTCGGTGGGTTTTAGCCCGCTTCTTTATCACATGTTGTTTTATCAGCAACGTCTTTGTGACCTATATCTTGTGCTGGCCTCCTATCTCATCCTATGACTTAGAGTGCCTAACCTCCTGGAATGAAGTCCAGTAAGATTCAGCTTTACTTTACCCAGGCCCTATTCAAGATGGAGTTGCTCTGGTTCAAATGCCTCTGGTGTAGGGCTGTGTTTTGTCTAGTTCTAGACACTTAAATTCATTTTTCAAATATCTGCATTGTTATTTGATACTCTTATATACTCTTTTTTTTTTTTTTTTTTTTTTTTTGAGATGATGGGAGTCTCGCTCTGTCACCCAGGCTGGAGTGCACTGGCTCCATATCAGCTCACTGCAACTTCCACCTCCTGGGTTTAAGCGATTCTCCTGCCTCAGCCTCCTGAGTAACTTGGATTACAAGCGCCTGCCACCATGCCCAGCTAATTTTTGTATTTTTAGTAGAGACGGAGTTTCTCCATGTTGGCCAGGCTGGTCTTGAACTCCCGACCTCAAGTGATCCGCCTGCCTTGGCCTCCCAAAGTGCTGGGATTACAGGTGTGAGCCATCACACCTGGCCTATTCTTATATACTCGTTTATTGAGTTTCAATTTTTTTCTTTGCTAAAACTGCAGATTACTAAATATTGCTTTATAAAAAAGATGAAGGAAAATAAATGGTTATTTTCCTTGCTCATTGTTATCTCTTAGCATTTATGCTAACTGCATCAAAACAGCAGAGAATACTGCTCATCCTGTTTATTTTTTAAAATTCAAATGTAATTCAAATGTAGTTTTAAAAGCCCTTTCCCTCACAGTAGGTTGAAGAAGAAACAAGAGAAAGTCTTTCTTTTCCAATCTCCATCTTTGCTCCTGTCCTAGAAGAGGCGCCGCTAATCTGATTAGGTTCTAAAACAGTGAATGGCACACTTCTGCTACAGTGAGAGGTCACTAAAGTGCACTTTTCCCTTTTACTTCTCCTGGGACAGCAGGTGCCTTCTAGGCAGAGACATTTGCTCTTTTTTCTCTCCTCTATTTCTCTAAACCTTCAGGAATCCTCAATTCTGCTGGGCAGAAAGACTCTACTTATGTCCTGAGCCTAAATTTTGTGCTGCAGCATAGCTTAACCAGGATCCCTAAAGAGGCAGTTACAGGAACCTACTTGAAAATAAAGGGGAACCTGCTATGGTGTCTTACATGCTGTTATATCTTGCAAACCTCCTTCTAGAACCTCAAAGGAAGTGGAGATGGCTGGGCCGAGGCAGGATTTGGGCATTCTTGAGTCCCCAGCCGAGGGCGTCTGTCGACGAAAAGAGTCAAACTCCGTAAAATATTTGAAGAGATTTATTCTGAGCCAAATATGAGTGACCATGTCCTGTGACACAGTCCTTCCTCAGGAGGCCCTGAGAACATGTGCCCAAGGTGGTCGGGGCACAGCTTGGTTTTATACATTTCAGGGAGGTGTGAGACATCAATCAAATACATTAAAGCTATACATTGGTTCTGTCCAGAAAGATGGTACATCTCAAAAGCAGTGGTGGAAACCAAAAGTTTTATCAGGCAGATGAAGCCTCCAGGTAGCAGGCTTCAGAGAGAATAGATTCTAACTGTTTCTTATCAGACTTAAGGTCTGTGTTGATATTAATGGCAGAGAGGTGTAATGAGGCATGTCTAACCCTCACTTTCTGTCATGGCCTGAACCAGTCCTTCAGGTTGAATTTTAGAGTGCCCTGGCTTAGGAGGCCATTCAGATGGTTGGGGGGCCTTGGAATTTATTTTTGGTTTACACCTCCTTCATGAGCATGTGAACTGAGCTATCGCTCAGAAGTCCCCATACAATGCTCTGCTGTTGCCATCTTGAAGTTATCAATATTTTTTGCTTAACAAGGGGACCCAAATTTTTATTTTGCACTGGGTTCCAAAAATTATGCGGCCAGTGCTAACCTAATCCTAATAATTAACTGCACTCAATCCTACCATTACTTCTAAAAAACACTTCCTTTTAAGGAGGAAGATTTAAGTTTCAGTTTGTTCTTGGTTTTAGCTTTTCAAACACTGTTCATGTAGGTTTTGGGAAATATACTCTTTCTTTCATCTTTTGTATAAACCTTTTACATTTCTGAACTCCTAAGAAAACTTTGTACTCACATTGAGATTTTTCAAAATTTAAACTAGAGCTTGCTTTTCTAATTTTCTTAAACACTTTTGGAGTCTTAAGTCATGGGGTAGATTTTGCTTCTTTTCATTGAATTTTTAAAATCTGTTTGCCAAAGGTGTACTTCATACCTAACTCATAAATTCCCAAAAGAAAATGCATTGAGCAAATATATAACACAAATAAGAAATCATGTAATTTCCCCTAATTTTCCCTTCATCTGAAGGTACCTGTCTTAGTTATTTTCATAAGTCTATGTAGCTACACCTTGCTTGCCACTAGAACTCCCTCTTCATTCAGGTAGGAGGAAAATGATTCACAAACCAATTTCTAAATTATTTATCCAGTCTTTCTCAAGAAAATAGCCTTTCTTGGAATGGTAGAAAGTAACTTTACTTGGCCAGATGCAGTGGCTCACACCTACAATCCCAGTACCTTGGGAGGCTGAGGTGGCAGATCACTTGAGGTCACAAATTTGAGACCAGCCTGGCCAACATGGCAAAACCCTGTCTCTACTAAAAATACAAAAATTAGCCCGGTGTCATGGGCGTGCCTATAATCCCAGCTGCTTAGGAGGCTGAGGTAGGAGAATTGTTTGAACCCTGGAGGTGGAGGTTGCAGTGAGCCGAGATCCAGCCATAGTACAAGTGAGTGAGACTCCATCTCAAAAAAAAAGGAAAAAGAAAAAAAAAAGAAAAGAGACTTTACTATCTCTAATGGATGTATTATCTAGAGTAAAGTTTAGCAAAATACAGTCTTCAGGCCAAATCCAGCCAAGGCCTGTTTTTGTACTGCCTGGGAGCTAGGAATGCTTTTTATGTAATTTTAAGGCTTGTAACAAATGAATGAACAAAGAGTATGCGATTCAGAAAGTCTAAAATATTTACAATCTGAATTTTTACAAAAAGAAGTTTGCTACCTCCTGATTTAGAGAGCAGTAACAATTTGCCTTCCCTCCCCACTGAAGTCATAGTAGAAAAAAATTACCCTAAGCTATAGTTAAAGAAACTTGTGGTTGTTAAATTAAATTTATAGGAGCCCATTGATTTAGACTGGGCTCCTTCACCAGGCCTCAGTAGATCAAACCAAAATGGAGTCACTTATGCTAAAATTCCAGGCCACCTTGGCCAGGCGCTGTAGCTCAGGCCTGTAATCCCAGCACTTTGGGAGGCAAAGGTGGGAGGATCACTTGAGCCCAGGAGTTTGAGACCAGTGGGGGCTATATAGGGAGACTCCGTCTCTACAAAAAATGAAAAAATTACCCAGCTGTGATGGTGCACACCTGCTGTCCCAGCTACTCGGGAGGCTGAGATGGGAGGATCCCTTGAGTTCTGGAAGCCAAGGCTGCAGTGAGTGGAGATCACGCCACTGCCCTCCAGCCTGAGTGACAGAGCGAGACTGTCTCAAAAATAAAAAGTAAAAATAATTCCACACCACCAAGACAAAATCAAGTTGTTTGCTTGACCTTCCAAGAAATCAGGAAATCCAAATCCCCAGATAGGCCAGTTTTAGCTGGCATGACAAGGAAGTCCCCTCTGCTTTAACCTTTACAAGGAAAGTAACTGTGAAACAACCAGTCTCTGTTCTTTGTTTCTGCTATCTTTGGCTATTTATTTATTTATTTATTTATTTATTTATTTATTTGACAGTCTCACTCTGTTGCCCAGGCTGGAGTGCAGTGGCACAATCTCGGCTCACTGCAACCTCGGCTTCCCGGGTTCAAGGATTCTCCCACCTCAGCCTCCCGAGTAGTAGCTAGGATTGTAGGTGTGCACCACCACGTCTGGCTAATTTTTGTATTTTTAGTACAGATGGGGTTTCACCATGTTGGCCAGGCTGGTCTCCATCTCCTGACCTAAAGTGATCTGCCCACCTCAGCCTCCCAGATTGCTAGGATTACAGGTGTGAACCATCGCTCCCCACCTCTTCAGCCTTTTTCTGTAAGTAATACCCAGGTTGCAGAACTGTATTCTCTGAACTTCTGGTTCTAAGGGCTGCCCAATGTGTAGACTGTTCTTTGCTCCAGTAAACTGTTACATTTGTTTTGTCTAAAGTTTTTCTTTTGTTGTGGTCTTCAACACTCACTGGGCCCTTAATCCCATAGTTCCTGGTTCTTTCTCCCTCTCTCCCCAGCAGCCATTTCTACCAAGTTGAAGAGCACTGCATTGCACTCTCCGTTCGTGGCAAGCCTACAGTCCTAACTACTAAGCTTTCTAGGTGAAACGCTTGTGGTTTGCACTGCTTGCTATAAGCCAACCTGGCTGCCCCAGTCAGGAGTCAAGGCAGCCCAGCTCAAAGTGAGTTCCTCCCACTCAGAGAGGTCCACAGGGAACTGTACCCAATGGGGATGCTTGTTGCAGTGAATATTGGCTGACCCCTCCCGTCAGACTTTCTTTTAGTGAGTACAAATGTTCATGAGATCTCCTAAAGGGAGCTCTCCAAAACCCCGCTAGGAGATCAGAGCTGGCACCAGGAGCAGAAAGGCCGGGCAGCGAGAGCAGACACCCCCGAGCCTGCAGGGATGGGGCGGGGCCAAGGGGGGTATCCCATGCCCCCAAGGGGAGCGTGGTTCGGGGGAGGGAACATCCCAGGCTCCCGAGGGTGCAGGCTGCAGAGATGCCCAGGTCCTGAGCCTGGGAGGGCAGCCACAGCTGCACCGGCAAAGCTCCTGCCCCACCAACTCGGAAGGGTCGGAGTTCCTGCTTTTCCCCGGCTCCTGCTTGCTCCGTGAAGTGGAAGGCCTAGGTCTGCAGCCACAGGTTGGGTGGTTGCAGCTGCACCCAAGTGGGCAGATCCTGCCTCTTCCTGGCCTCCTCCAAGAGAACAGGGAGGCTTCCATCCACAGCCACAGTTGGGCAGCTGTAGCCCCGCCCAGGAGGGTGGGGCTCCCACCAGTTGCATGGTGTCTGCAGCCCCGCCTCGCCTCCCTGCTGCAGCCAGTGACAGCAGCCACTGCCATCACTACTGCCTGAAAACGGTCTTTTGCTGGTCAATTCTGCACAATTGCAGTGGTTACTGTCTTCATATATGTGTGTCATTGTTTGGATGTTTGATCCCTTCAAATCTCATGTTGAAATTTGGTCCCCAGTGTTGGAGGTGGGGCCTACTGGGAGATGCTTGGATCATTAGAACAGATCTCTCATGAATAGATTAATTGGGTGGGTGGTGGGTGAGTGAGTTCTCACTCTATAGTTCCATCAAGAGCTGGCTGTGAAAAAGAGCCCAGCACCTTCTCCTCTCCCCTACCTTTCTCTTTCTCACTTCCTCTCTCACCATGTGATCTCCACACAGCAGATCTCAGCTTCACCTCCACCTTCCCCATGAATGGAAGCAGCCTGAGGCCCTCACCAGAAGCAGATGCTGGCACCATGCTTCCTGTGCAGCCTGCAGAACTGTTAGCCAAATAAATCTCTTTTCTTTGTAAATTACCCAGCCTCAGGTATTCTTTTTTTTGAGATGGAGTCTCACTCTGTCACCCAGGCTGGAGTGCAGTGGCGCATCTCCGCTCACTGCAACCTCCATCTCCCAGGTTCAAGTGATTCTCCTGCCGCAGCCTTCTGAGTAGCTGGGATTACAGGCACCTGCCACCATGCCTGGCTAATTTTTGTGTTTTTAGTAGAGATGGGGTTTCACCATGTTGGCCAGGCTGATGTGGAACTCCTGACATCAGGTGATGCACCCGCCCTGACCTCCCAAAATTCTGGGATTACAGTCGTGAGCCACCGCACCTGGCCTATTTCTGCTTTTATGCACTAGATGCAAAATAAACAATGAAAGCATGGAGACTGTAAAGGTGGAGAAAGAGAACTTGAGTTACTTCAAATCTGTCATTTTGCATGTGACCACTTGGGATATATATCGTGCTTAAAATTTAAAACAAAGAGTGTGAACTGAGAGTTGTGATATTTTGTTTGGAAAGTAAAAATTTTAGTTCATACTTGAAATATTTTACTGAGTTTGAATAAAGTTGTTAATAGTAACATTTGTTATTGTTGTTTAAAACTAATGACTCAGGCCAGGATCGGTGGCTCACACCTGTAATCCCAGCACTCTGGGAGGCTGAAGCGAGTGGATCACCTGAGGTCTGGGGTTCGAGACCAGCCTGACCAACATGGAGAAACCCCGTCTCTACTAAAAATACAAAATTAGCCGGGCGTGGTGGTGCATGCCTGTAATCTCAGCTACTTGGGAGGCTGAGGCAGGAGAATCGCTTGAACCCGGGAGGCGGAGGTTGCAGTGAGCCGAGATCGTGCCATTGGCAACAAGAGCAAAACTCCATCTCAAAAACAAAACAAAACAAAAACCAAAAAAACAAACTAATGACTCACAAACATGTTCATATCAGTAGTATGATTTAGTATTATTCCCTAAATTTTATTTTTTCCTGTAACACAGAAGTATTAATGCATTATTATTTTCTTTTTTATTGCAATTTTTTTTAAAGAAATAAGGTCTTCCTCTGTCACACTGGAGTGTAGTGGCATGATCATAGTTCACTAGAGCCTCAAACTCCTGTGCTCAAGGGATCCTCCTGCCTCAGCCTCCTGAGTAGCTGGGACTAGAGGCACACACCACCAGGCCCAGCTTGTGGTTTTCTATTAAACAATTTTTTTACTCACATAATATATGTATAGAGTTCAAAAACAGAAAAATGTCACTTTCTGCATTTACTTTCTGGAATTTTATTATTTTCTTCATGATTATTTCTGAAGATAATTTTGTCATAGAGTGGAGGTTTTTGTGTTAAAAATTATCCCCTGGGTGGGTGTCTAATAAGCTCAGCACACCTCTGGATATCCTTCCTCCAGTCCACCTGTTTTTATACTCCTGTGCTCTCCTGCCTTTTCAAATGCCACACTTGTTCCACAGCCTTATCTGCCTCTCCCTCACCACCTTCAACCTTTCCCTATCTCGTGGCTCCTTTCCAGCAACAATTGAACATGCTCAAGCATGTTTAAATGTTTTCCTCTCTTGACTTTTGCTTCACTGCCAGATTTCTTTAAAGGGGTTTCTGTATTTGCTGACTCCATAGGTTCACTCGCTACTGTATCTGCAATCCACTGCAGTGTGATCCTTGCACCCATATCGCTGACCTTCTCTTACAAAGTCCAAGAGCAACTTCTTATTAATAAAGTGACTTTTTTTCCATATTTACTGTTTCTTGACTTCTAACAGTTGATTTTTTTTTTTTTTTTGAGACAGAGTCTTGCTCTATTGCCCAAGCTGGAGTGCAGTGGTATGATCTTGGCTCACTGCAACCTCCGCCTCCCTGGTTCAAGTGATTCTTGTGCCTCAGCCCCCTGAGTAGCTGGGACTACAGGTGTGCGCCACCACGCCTGGCTAATTTTTGTATTTTTAGTAGAGGCAGGGTTTCGCCATGTTGGCCAGGCTGGTCTCGAACTCCTGGCTTCAAGTTATCTGCCCGCTTCGACCTCCCAAAGTGCTGGGATTACAGGCCTTAGCCACTGTGCCTGGCCTGCTTATTTCTTAAAATCCTCACATGCAAGATGCCACACTCTCCTGGTTTCTATTGCCTCTCGCGATCCTGCTTTGCAGCCTCCGTTGCTACCTCTTTTTTCTCTGCCTGTCTTTTAAGTATCAGTGGTCCTCAGGATTGTCCTGAGCCCTCTTACCTCCTTCTCCACAGTCTCCCTGAGTGATCTCCTTCACCTTCAGAGTGAGGACAGCAAGGATTCAAGAAGTGGAGCGATCTTTCCAGGGTCACATTATGATAGCACCAGGGTAAGGGTCAGAATTAGTTCATTCTGTTTAATGTAAGTCTGTTGTGAAAGACGTGGTGCTGAGCCTTGGGGATACAGACGCAAATAGGATGCTATCCTTCTCCCACCAACTTTTGCAACCTGCAAGCCCTCCCTCTCTTCTTCCATTTCATCTGGCCCCCGCCTGTTTAGCGCCTACTTATCCTTCACATGTCAGTTTAGATGTCGCTTCATCTGGGAAACTTTTCTACCTACTTCTAAGACTTCCTTCTCTCAGGTCCTTCATACCTTTTACCTACTCTCTTGCATTTCTCACATTGTCTTCTAATAACAATTAAACATACTTTTCTGTTCTTCCCCACTGGGCCTCCCTTTCGCCTCTGGTTGAGCTGAGAAGAGTAACACAAACCATGCCACTAGGACCCACACCAATGCTTCCATTCTCCCAAGAAGGCCAATGGCCAGGGCAATCGACAGTAAGTTCTTGAGGGCAGTAGGACTGTGTCTGTGGCACCATCATACCCTCAATACCTAGCCCCCTACCTGGCAAATGGTAATTGCTCAGAAGTTGTCTGCTTTATAATGATTGAATGAACCACATGACCATGTGTCCGCAATTGGTGGGTTCTTGGTCTCACTGACTTCAAGAATGAAGCCACGGACCCTCACGGTGAGTGTTACAGCTCTCAAGGCAGTGTGTCTGGCGTCTGTCCCTTCTGATGTTCAGATGTGTTCGGAGTTTCTTCCTTCTGGTGGGTTCGTGGTCTCGCTAGCTCAGGAGTGAAGCTGCAGACCTTCGCGGTGAGCATTACAGCTCTTAAAGCAGCGTGTGTGGAGTTGTTCATTCCTCCCGGTGGGCTCGTGGTCTTGCTGGGCTCAGGAGTGAAGCTACAGATCTTCACAGTGAGTGTTACAGCTCATAAAAGCAGCGTGGACCCAAAGAGTGAGCAGTAGCAACATTTATTGCAAAGAGCAAAAGAACAAAGCTTCCACAATGACGAAGAGGACCCTAGCAGGTTGCCAATGCTGGCTTGGGCAGCCTGCTTTTATTCTCTTATCTGGCCCCACCCACATCCTGCTGATTGGTAGAGCCGAGTGGCCTGTTTTGTCAGGGCGCTGACTGGTGCGTTTACAATCCCTGAGCTAGATACAAAGGTTCTCCACTCCCCATCAGATTAGTTAGATACAGAGTTTCCACACACAGGTTCTCCAAGGCCCCACCACAGCAGCTAGATACAGAGTGTCGATTGGTGCATTCACAAACCTTGAGCTAAACACAGGGTGCTGATTGGTGTATTTACAATCCCTGAGCTAGATATAAACACTCTCCACGTCCCCACCAGACTCAGGAGGCCAGCTGGTTTCACCTAGTGGATCCCGCGCCGGGGCTGCAGGTGGAGCTGCCTGCCAGTCCTGCGCCGTGGGCTCGCATTCCTCAGCCCTTGGGTGGTCGATGGGACTGGGCGCTGTGGAGCAGGAGGTGGTGCTCGTCGGGGAGGCTCGGGCCGCACAGGAGCCCATGGAGTGGGTGGGAGGCTCAGGCATGGCGGGCTGCAGGTCCCGAGCCCTGCCCCGCGGGAAGGCAGCTAAGGCCCGGCGAGAAATCGAGCGCAGCACTGGTGGGCCGGCACTGCTGGGGGACTCAGTACACCCTCCGCAGCCAATGGCCCGGGTGCTAAGTCCCCCATTGCCTGGGGCCAGCAGGGCTGGCTGGCTGCTCCGAGTGTGGGGCCCACCAAGCCCACGCCCACCCGGAACTCCAGCTGGCTCGCAAGCGCCGCACGCAGCCTCCGTTCCCGCTCCTGCCTCTCCCTCCACACCTCCCTGCAAGCTGAGGGAGTGGGCTCCGGCCTTGGCCAGCCCAGAAAGGGGCTCCCACAGTGCAGTGGGGGGCTGAAGGGCTCCTCAAATGCCACCAAAGTGGGAGCCCAGGCAGGGGAGGTGCCGAGAGCAAGCGAGGGCTCTGAGGACTGCCGGCATGCTGTCACCTCTCAACTATATGCTAAATGTTGGAATAGAACTTTGAGAAATGTCATCTTTCCCAGGCAAATAAAAAATTATAGAGTAGGAGAGTTATTCTTTTTGGAGGTGGACAAAGGGACTAGCTGATTTCTGGAGGTCCCTACCAATCCAATGATTCTGAGTTTGATTTAATATATTCCTTGTGTGGGGAAATAGTATCATTTTTTTCTTTTTTATTAAAATTCCGAAGAACATTACATTCTTAGTAATGTTTAATGAAATGAAATGTTTAATGAAACATGTTTAATGTTTAATGAAAGTCTAGTTTGCTCAGTAGGTGAGAAAGATCAATATAGGTTGTTAGATGAATGAGTCTTTCAAATTAAAGATCTGCTTTAATTACATTAGATAGCATTGCCACCTAGTGGGTAGTACAAAATTCTTCACGGAACTACATGCCATGAATATTTCTTGGTAAATTATTGTGAATAAGGTTATTAACGTTCTGAAACTGAATCTAAACCGGCTAGTTCAGGAAGAATTCTGTTGGCCTGCTATTTACTGTACGCAGGAGTTCCAGCTAACTTCTTATCATGAAGTCAGCAGAGATTTCGGATAAGAAAAGTTCAAAATTTCTCCGAGACTTTTGTCCTTATAATAAATCCCACTAAGGGGGTTACAGAATTATGTGTTCAAAATATACTTGAATAAATTTTTTTTTTTTTTTTGAGACAGGGTCTCACTGTGTTGTCCAGGCTGGAGTGCAGATCACTGAAGCCCTGCCCTCCTGCCTCAGCCTCCAGAATAGCTGGGATAAAGGTGTGTGCCACAAAAACTGGCTAATTTTTGTATTTTCTATAAAGACAAGGTATCACTATGTTGCGCAGGTTGGTCTTGAACTCCTGGGCTTAAGCTATCCTCCTGCCTTGGCTTCCCAAAGTGCTGGGATTACAGGCATGAGCCATTGCACCCGGCCCTTGAGTAAATTACTTTCTCTGTGTGGTTACATTATCAATTTGCTACACAGTTAGAATTGTTTTAGGGTTTGCTGTTTCATCCATTCTTATTTAATGTTTTCGAACATTTAAAAATAAATATTTCAAGCATGGAGAAAAACTAAAGGTTTTTTACACTAAACACCTGTATACCCACTGCCTAGATTCTACCGTCAACATTTTAATATATCTTCTTTATTGCATCTACCTATACATTCCTGTCTCTATCCATCCATCTTATTTTTATTTTATTTATTTTTTTTTTTGAGACATTGTCACGCTCTGTCACCCAGACTGGAGTGTAGTGGCGTGACCTCGGCTCACTGCAATCTCTGCCTCCTGGGTTCAAGCGCTTCTCATGCCTCAGCCTCCCGAGTAGCTGCGATTACAAGCACCCGCCACCAAACCCAGCTAATTTTTGTATTTTTAGTAGAGATGGGGTTTCGCCATATAAGCCAGGTTGGTCTCAAACTCCTGACTTCAAGTGAGTGATCCACCCACCTCAGCCTCCCAAAGTGCTGGGCCCATCTTATTTTTAAATAAACATTTCAAAATAAACTGCATTTTGGCCAGGGACAGTGGCCATTTACTTTAAAAACCGAATCTGGAATCTAAGAAAAATTAACCATTTTGGGCCAGGCGTGGTGGCTCATGCTTGTAATCCCAGCAACTTGGAAGGCTGGGGTGGGCAGATCACCTGAGGTCAGGAGTTCGAGACCAGCCTGGCCAACATGGGGTAATCCCGTCTCTACTGAAAACACAAAAATTAGCTGGGTGTGGTGATGAGTGCCTGTAATCCCAGCTATTCAGGAGACTGAGGCAGGAGAATCGCTTGAAGTTGGCAGAAGTGGCCGAGATCATGCGACTTCTGTCAGCCTGGGTGACAGAGTAAGACTCTGTCTCAAAAAACAACAACAACAACAACAAAAAAACCCCCTGCATTTTACAAAACATTTAATAGTTCAAAAGTGAAAAATTAGGTTGGGCGCAGTGGCTCACGCCTGCAATCCCAGCACTATTCCCCCATCCTATTCCGCACTCTCTTAAGCAACCACAAACATTTTCTATTTTTCATTAGTTTCAGATGTAGCCTTTCTCTGTGGGTTTTTGTAGTTGTTGTTGTTGGTGGTGGTGATGGTGGTTAGACAGAGTCTGGCTCTGTGCCCAGGCTGGAATGCAGTGGCACCATCTCAGCTCACTGTAACCTCAGCCTCCCGGATTCAAGCAATTCTCCTGCCTCAGCCTCCCGAGTACCTGGGACTAAAGGTGTACACCACCACACCTGGCTAATTTTTTGTATTTTTAGTAGAGGCAGGGTTTCGCCATGTTGACCAGGCCGGACTTGAACTCCTGACCTCAAGTGATCTGCCCACATCGGCCTCCCAAAGTGTTGGGATTACAGACATGAGCCACCATGCCCGGCCATGTGTTTTTTGATTTTTGTTTTCCAAGACGGAGTCTCACTCTTTCACCCAGGCTGGAGTGCAATGGCACAATATTGGCTCACTGCAACCTCTGCTTCCTGGGTTCAAGCAATTCTTCTGCCTCAGCCTCCCAAGTAGCTGGGATTACAGGCGTCCACCATCATGCCCGGCTAATTTTTGTATTTTTAGTAGAGACAGGGTTTCACCATGTTGGCCAGGATGGTCTCAATCTCTTGACCTCGTGATCCACCTGCCTAGGCCTCCCAAAGTGGTGGGATTAGAGGCGTCAACCACCACGCCCGGCTAATTTTTGTATTTTTAGTAGAGACGGGTTTTCGCCATGTTAACCAGCCTGGTGTCAAACTCCTGACCTCAAGTGATCTGCCCACCTCGGCCTCCCAAAGTGCTGGGATTATAGGCATGAGACACTGTGCCCGGCATTTTTTTTTTTTTTTTTGAGACAGAGTTTCACTCTTGCTGCCCAGGCTGGAATGCAATGGCACAATCTCGGCTCACTGCAACCTCCGCCCCCCGGGTTCAAGAGATTCTCCTGCCTAAGCCTCCCAAGTAGCTGGGATTACAGGTGCCTACCACCATGCCCAGCTAAATTTTTAAAAATTTTTAGTAGAGATGGAGTTTCACCATGTTGGCCAGGCTGGTCTCGAACCCCAGACCTCAGGTGATCCGCCCGCTTTGGCCTCCCAAAGTGCCGGGACTACAGGCGTGAGCCACTGCGCCTGGCCTTTTTTTTTTTTTTTTTAAATAAGCAAATACATATACATATTCTCCTTTCTTTCTTTCCTTCATTTAAAAACTTTTTTTTAGAAATAGGGTCTCTCTGTGCCATGCAGACTGGGGTGCATTGGCACAGTCATAGCTCACCGTAACCTCAGACTTTTGGGCTCAAGTGATCCTCCTGCCTCAGCCTCCTGAGTAGCTGGGACTACAAGCACATGCCACTGCACTTGGCTAATTTTACTTACTTATTTACTTTGTTATTATTATTATTATTATTATTATTTTGTAGAGACAGGGTCTTCCTATGTTGCGCAGACTGGTCTCAAACTCCTGGCCTCAAGTGATACTTCTGCCTTGGCCTCCCAAATTGCTGAGATTACAGATGTGAGCCACTGTGCTTGGTGTCTTATGTCTTTCTTATGTAAGAAGTAGAGGCCAGGTGCAGTGGCACACGCCTGTAATCCCAGCACTTCGGGAGGCCAAGGTGGGCAGATCACGAGGTCAGGAGATCGAGACCATCCTGGCTAACACGGTGAAACTCCGTCTCTACTAAAAATACAAAAAATTAGCCAGGCGTGGTGGCAGGTGCCTGTAGTCCCAGCTACTCGGGAGGCTGAGGCAAGAGAATGGTGTGAACCCAGGAGGCAGAGTTTGTTGTGAGTCGAGATGGCACGACTGCACTCCAGCCTGGGCAACAGAGTGAGACTCCATCTCAAAAAAAGAAAAAAAAAAAAAAAAGAAGCAGAATAGTATGTATGCTCTTCCACTCTGCTTTGTGTGTGTGTGTGTGTGTGTGTGTGTGTGTGTGTGTGAGATGGAGTCTCGCTCTGTCGCCCAGACTGGAGTGCAGTGGTAGCTGGGACTAAAGGCGCCCGCCACCATGCCTGGCTAATTGGCTAATTTTGTTTTTTGTATTTTTGTACAGACGGTTTCACCGTGTTAGCCAGGGTGGTCTCGATCTCCCGACCTGGTGATCTGCTGGCCTTGGCCTCGCAAAGTGCTGGGCACTCTGCTTTTTTCATTTAAGGATGTATCCCAGAAATTTGTTCATCTCAGAGATCTTAAATTTTTTTCATGACTTTATACTACTACCTTGTGCCGATATACCATAATTTATTCAACTCATTGCCTATAGATGTGCGATTAGGTTAGTTCCAATATTTAGGTATTATAAATAATGCTACAGTGAGAAAGTCTAGAGTAAATTCCTCGAAGTGGATTTGCTACATCCAAAGTCAATGTGCATGTCATTGTAGAAATGCCTTGTCAGGGCCAGGCGTGGTGGCTCATGCCTGTAATCCCAGCACTTTGGGAGGCCGAGGCAGGCGAATCACTTGAGGTCAGGAGTTCGAGACCAGCCTGGCCAACATGGTGAAAACCCATCTCTACTAAAAATACAAAAAGTTAGCTGGGTGTGGTGGCAGGCACCTGTAATTCCAGCTACTCGGGAGGCTGAGGCAGGAGAATCTCTTGAACCTGGGAGGCAGAGGTTGCAGTGAGCCGAGATCATGCCATTGCACTCCAGCCTGGGCAACAAGAGTGAAACTCTGTCTCAAAAAAAAAAAAAACAAAAAAAAACAACAAAAAAAACGCCTTGTCAGATACAGACAAATTCCCTTCTACAGGGCTTTTAACATTTGACACTCCCAGTAGCCATGTATATGAGTGCTTGTTTTCTCCCAGCCTCATCAGTAGAGTATTTTATTAGTTTTCTGTTGCTCTGTAGAAATTTCCACAATCTTAGTGGCTTAAAACAAAACATGTATTATCTCATACTTTCTGCGCCACAGGAATCTAAACAAAGTTCAGTTGGACCCTGAGCTCAGGGTCTTACAGAGCTGTAAACAAAGTGCTGGCCAGTGCATTGTCATCTAGAGGCTTCATTGGAGAAGGATCTGCTTCTAAACTCATTCCAATTGTTGGGAGAATTCATTTCTTTGGAGACATAATACTCATGGCCGCTTGCTTCTTCAAGGCCAGTAAGAGATACATCAAAAAAAGTCTAAGCCCTCTGTTGAAGGACATCCTAATGATTACGTCAAGGCCAACAGGATAATCTCACTTTCGATAATTTAAAGTATACCGATTTGGGGCCTTAATTACAATTATAAAATCCCACCACCTTTGCCTTATTGAATAACCTAATCATAGGCATAATCAGAGGTCAGAGATAATGGGTGGCATTTTAGAATTCTATCTACTGTAAGTATGTTGTCAAGCTTTTCTATAGCTGCTAGTCTGATAGTTGAAATAGTTTTTCAGAGTTTTAATTTGCATGTCTCTTATTCTCAGTAAAGTTGAGCATGGTTTTGTATGTTTAAGGACCATTCCTCTATCGTTTTCTCTGAACCGTCCATTCCTGTCTTTTGCCGATTTATCTATTGGGCTGTTGGCTTCTCCCTCTCAATGTTTTATAGCTCTTTAAAAATTAGGGAATGTAGTCTTTTATGTGTAAAAGAAATTCCCTATATTTTCTCTTACTTTATCATTTGTCTTTGCTTATGGAAATCATCCGATTTTTAAAATACAGACAATTTCCATTTTAAGACAATGTGTAGGCCACAATTGTGTATGTGAAACAAAACATATTTAATGCCCAGGGGCCACCTTCTAGACCATCTTCAATCCTTTAAATAATTCTGCACTAAAATAATCCCCTGAAGATCCTGAGTATATTATTCTTTTTTTTTTTCTTTTTGTTTGAGACGTAGTCTCACTCTGTCGCCCAGGCTGGAGTGCAGTGGCGCGATCTCCGCTCACTGCAAGCTCTGCCTCCTGGGTTCACGCCGTTCTCCTGCCTCAGCTTCCTGAGTAGCTGGGACTACAGGCACCTGCCACCATGCCCGGCTAACTTTTTTTTGTGTTTTTAGTAGAGATGGGGTTTCACCATGTTAGCCAGGATGGTCTCGATCTCCTGACCTCGTGATCCACCCGCCTCGGCCTCCCAAAGTGCTGGGATTACAGGGTGAGCCACTGCACCCGGCCAATCCTGAGTATATTATTCTTAACATCATCTGAGTCTCAAGTCCCAAAACCTTCATTAGTAATGTGTTTCATCATTTCACTTCTCTTAGCTGTGCTTATACTCATCAAAGAAATGGTTTGTCAAAAAATAAATTGGTGCAATGTAATTATTATTTATCCATCTGAATAAAAATAAAAATAAAAAAATTGGTGTAAATATTTGTGGTTGCTAAAGTTTTGTTTTGTTTTGTTTTGTTTTGTTTTTGAGATAGAGTCTCACTCTGTCACCTGGGCTAGATTGTGGTAGTGTGATCTTGGCTTACTGCAACCTCCACCACCTGGGTTCAAGCTA
This sequence comes from Homo sapiens, assembly GCF_000001405.40. Taxonomy (NCBI): domain Eukaryota; kingdom Metazoa; phylum Chordata; class Mammalia; order Primates; family Hominidae; genus Homo; species Homo sapiens. The sequence continues at coordinate 24,772,941 of NC_000006.12, forward strand.
TTCTCCTGCCTCTGCCTCCTGAGTAGCTGGGATTACAGACGCATGCCACCATGCCTGGATAATTTTTGTATTTTTAGTAGAGACAGGGTTTCACCATGTTGGCCAGGTTGGTCTTGAACTCCTGACCTCAGGGTGATCCGCCAGCCTCAGCCTCCCAAAGTGCTGGGATTACAGGCATGAGCCATGGTGCCTAGTGGTTGCTGAAATTTTTATGGCTAAACATTTTCCAGTATTTCTACCTCCTTATCCCATCATTTAATCCTTTTTAAATTAATATTTTAAAAATTTTATTATTGGCCAGGTGCAGTGGTTCACGCCTGTAATCCCAGCACTTTGGGAGGCCAAGGTGGGCAGATCACACGATCAGGAGTTCAAGACCAGCCTGGCCAACATAGTGAAACCCTGTCTCTACTAAAACTACAAAAAATTAGCTGGGTGTGGTGGCGGGCACCTGTAATCCCAGCTACTTGGGAGGCTGAGGCAGGAGAATCGCTTGAACCCGGGGGGGGCAGAGGTTGCAGTAAGCCGAGGTTGCACCATTGCACTCCAGCCCTGGTGACAGTGCAAGACTCCGTCTCAAAAAAAAAAATTATTATTGAAAATCCCAAACAGATATAAAAGTAGAGGGAGTGAATAAAAAATCTTCATGTACTCATCCATACTAGCCTCAGCAGTTATCAACACAAGGCCAATACTGTTTTATTCGCACCAGTGGTTCTCAACTGGGGATGATTTTGCCCTGCGGAAGGTTATCTGACAAGGTCTGCAGACATTTTTGGTCTTCACAATTGGGATGTACTCCTGGTAGCTAGAGGGTAGAGGCCAGGGATACTGCTAAACAGCATACAATGCCCAGGACAGCCCCCACCACGAACAATTTGCCCAGTCTAAAATGTCAATAGAGCCCATACTGAGAAAGCTTGATTTATACCTTTTCCCTTGCTTCTCTCAATAATTATTTCAAATAAAATATATGGTATAAAATTTCATCTGTAATTACCATTTATAGGTAGAAGCTATTACAATAAAACCCACAATATTGTCATTACAACTAATCTCTTTTTTTAACCCATTGCTCATCAGGTAACCTTAAACAACTCATATCTTACCATCCCAAAATATTCAGTCAGTGTTCAAATTTCCCTTGGGTATTTTTTTAAATACAGTGTTTAGTTCAGACGAGATCCATACATTGCATTTGGTAATATGTCCCTTATTTGTACTCGATAACGCCTTCCTTCTGCTTTTTATTTTTAAAATATTTTAAAATTAATTTTTTTTTGAGACAGGGTCTCCCTTTGTCTGTAGTCCCAGCTACTCGGGAGGCTGAGGCAGGAGAATCGCTTGAACCCGGGAGGCGGAGCTTGCAGTGAGCCGAGATCGCGCCACTGCACTCCAGCCTGGGTGACAGAGCGAGACTCCGTTTCAATTAAAAAAAAAAAAAAGAAGGAAAAGGCTAGACGTAATTATTACCAAGGTGTTTCTGCTCCTTCAAATTGCAACAGCAGTTGTAATTTCAGTGCCTAGAACAGTAGTAATTGGCACGTATAAGGCGCTCAATGAATAGCTGCAGGATTAACTGATAATCGGTTGTCTCCTGAACAATTCCTACCGCACCACACCATAGTCAAAACACAAAAAGCCAAAATATAAAAGCCCCTAATACAACTACGAGTCCGTGGAGCCAGGGCTTTACACAAATATATGTCGTGTACTACATATTAATATATATGCACATACAATATTTTGTTCTTCTGGTGCTAACGACTAATGGAGGCAAATCTTTCTCCCTTTCGTAAAGGGCTAAAACTTTGCATTTTAAGGAAGTTCCAAGAGCAGGGTCGGAGGGGAGGGTCAAAGGGCACAGGCCTCCCAGCCCGCAGAAAACCCCCACGGTCCTCAAGTACTCGCTACCGTTGACCGCGCAGGCGCAGGAAGGGGCGGGGCCGAGGGAAGAGGCGATTCGCGGGATCCAGAGGCCCCGCCCCTCGTCTGCGTCAGTTGGTCACGTGGTTGTTCGGAGCGGGCGAGCGGAGTTAGCAGGGCTTTACTGCAGAGCGCGCCGGGCACTCCAGCGACCGTGGGGATCAGCGTAGGTGAGCTGTGGCCTTTTGCGAGGTGCTGCAGCCATAGCTACGTGCGTTCGCTACGAGGATTGAGCGTCTCCACCCAGTAAGTGGGCAAGAGGCGGCAGGAAGTGGGTACGCAGGGGCGCAAGGCGCACAGCCTCTAGACGACTCGCTTTCCCTCCGGCCAACCTCTGAAGCCGCGTCCTACTTTGACAGCTGCAGGGCCGCGGCCTGGGTAAGGGCGAAGGGGTTGTTGAACGGTCGCGGGAGCCGGGGCGGGGTTGGGAGGTGAGTCGAGGGACTGCCCCATTGGCTGGGTCGGTTTTGGCGCGCTCTCACTTCCGCGCTTCCTATTGGCTGGCTGGCGCAGTTCCCGAGGCGCGCGCCGCGGTTGGTAGGCTCGGACGCGCGGGGCCACACTGCCCGCCCCCTAGCCTGGCGCTGGGCCTCCGGGACAAGTTGGCTGGGTCCGGGCTTGGGGACTGCAACGCGGGTAAGGGACTCAGCCTGGGCTTGCCAGCTGTGGGGATGAGGCGAAGCATCCATCCTCTTGGCAGTTAAGTGGCTGGTCCTGATCTGAGGGATCTGCAAATTTGGCTCATGGAAAGAGGTGGCTGAATTCTGCGTCTCCCATTAAACGGATACTGGCGTTGTTGATACGGGTTTCGCATGGACCCTGTCCTGTGCCAGGGTTTTTAATCTAGCTATTAAAGGAACTGGAGAATAACAAGTAAGGGTTGCAAGGTCGCTGACAGGCGTGGGAAACTTGTGAAGGATTAGAATGCTAAGTGGCTTTCAGCTTTTTTCACACTAAGGTACGTTTTACGTCGCAACCTAGGACACAGCTATCTAACCAAATGAGACGTGATGGAAGCAATGTTTCTCGTCTCTTCAATTCCATTCTGTTCAGTTGCATTTTTCTAAGCAGTGTTGCTCATGACTCACTAATTTCGAGATCACGGCCCGCGACCCGCAGTTTGAAGAACATTGCGTAGGGTCTGTTTACTGGGGCCCGAACACCATTTTCTTAACATGAAATAGAGTAGAAAATAGCAGGATGCCCGCACAAATTAGATTGTTTTGTTTTCTAAGCTTTTTTTTTTTTTGAGACGGAGTCTCGCTCTGTTGCCCAGGCTGGAGTGCAGTGGCAGGATCTCGGCTCACTGCCACCTCCACCTGTCGGGTTCAAGCGATACTCCTGCCTCAGCCTCCCGAGTAGCTGGGACTACAGACGAGCACCACCACGTCCGGCTAATTTTTGTATTTTTGGTAGAGATGGAGTTTCACCATATTGGCCAGGCTGGTTTCGAACTTCTGACCTCAGGTGATCCGCTTGCCTCGACCTTCCAGCACTTTGGTGATCATGCAGGTGATCCGCCTGCCTCGACCTCCCAAAGTGCTGGGATTACAGATGTGAGCCACCACGCCCGGCCTTTCCTAAGCTTTTTTGTTTGCACATGTGTGTGCACGCGCCAGGACACAAGGTAAAATGTATTAATGTTAGAAGCCACTGCACTGAGTAAAGGCATGGCCACAAAAATTAGGGACATCTATCGACGAGGCACAGGCGCAGACACGGCAGGGGCCAATGGGTAGTGGGCAGTGGGCAGTGGGCAGTGGAGCAGCAGTTCAGATGCTGAGTTTGGCCCAGTGGTCTAGTCAACCGCATTACATAGATCCCTTTCTACCTTTTCCCTCTTTCTTGCTTGTTAGTCCTTCAGTTCATGTTACTGGTTAAACATTTCCTACAAATGTAAATGCATGATCTCATTTGACCAGATATTAAGTCTGTGTTAAGTTATTGTCAGAGCCCAGTTTATTATACCTTAAATCTGTCTTTGAATCAGGAAAGTTAAGATGCTGCTCTTTAGGATGGACCTGGGCATACCCTAGTATCTGTTTATTTTGCTTTTTCTGGTGACTATTTAATCCAGGACAATATGTTTAGAAATTTTAAACCAGTTTTAGAAATTGGTTTAAAATACATTAATTTCATTTTTTCAGCTATAATTATTATGTGTGTATATATGTAAAATATAGATATCAAGAGTCATTAACTTTAGTCACCTTAGTCATTGACAGGGCTGAGTTTGGATTAAGAGAGAAAAAATAATAGTTCTACTGTACAATAGTATAATTTTTATGATTGTAAGTATTTTAAACCTAGACTCCACCTTCGGGGGTGCAAACCATATTGTTTTTTAATTACTAGTCTTCTGTGCTTCACCATCTACATAATGAATCCCAGTATGAAGCAGAAACAAGAAGAAATCAAAGAGAATATAAAGGTATGTGATTGAATAACTTTAATTTTTTTTTGTAGAAAGCATGGGGCTAAAAGTATTTTGACATAATTTATCCAAATTTAGCCTGGCTATAATTTCTGTAAGCCTTGAGTTAGTCAGAGGATGAGTAACAATAGAGAACATTTTTAAAAAACTAATTACGGTTGAATATTAAGTCTGACCCAAGAATATGGGTTGTCTCTCTTATTTTGGTCTTTCAACAGTATTTTGTAGTTTTCAGAGCATGAATTTTACACTATTTATGTTAAATTTTTTCCTAAGTATTCTTTTTGAGGTTACTGTGAATGGAATTGTTTCCTTAATTTCATTCTCATTTGGTCATTGCTACTGTATAGGAAAATAATTGACTTTTGTGTCTTGATTTTGTGTCCTGAAACCTTGCTGAACTTAATAGTTCTAATTGTTTTTTAGTAGATTCTTCAGGATTTTCTTTTCTTTTTGTATTTTCTCTGTGAAGATTCCAGAAGTATCTTTAGGATTTTCTATGTATGAGATTATTACTGCTTTGTTTCTACTCTTATATTTCATGAAATGTTATTAAAATCCATTGTGTATATCTTCAGAATTAAGAGTCTTTGACCACAGACATGTTTTGCATTATATTACACATTTTTCTAGAGTATACCATATTCATTACCATCTAACCTATTTGATTTGTGATACTTTTTCAATCCCTATATGATACTTTCACTGGAAATCTTATTCCAAGTATTTACTCTTATGACAGCAGGACAGAGTTTGTTTAGTTTTGAGTTTATACTTCTGACTAGATTCATATTTATGGTTCTAAGTTAATTTACAATTTAGCTAGGTCCTTCCACACAACTTAAATTATATGAATACCTTGGGAATTGGATCACATCTTCAGGTAAACTATCAATTTGCGGTTTTAAATAAATAAAGAGCCAGGTGCCCATGGTGGCTCATGCCTGTGATCCCAGCTACTTGGGAGGCTGAAGTAGGAGGATTGATTGAGCTCTGGACTTTGAGAACAGCCTGGGCAACAAAGGGAGACCCTGTTTCTAAAAAACCATAATTAGCTGGGTGTGGTGGCACCCACTGGTAATCCCAGCTACTGGGAGGCTGAGGTGTGGGAGGAATTGCTTGAGCCTAGGAGTTTGGGCTTTGGTGAATTATGATTGCTTCACTGCACTCCAGCCTGGGTGACAGAGTAAGACCCTGTACCTAAAAAAATTTTTTTTATATTAAGTAAATTAAATTGAGTACCTAAAAGCCATTGATAAGTATAAGCAAGTACCTTTTGATGGGTTTTTTGTTTGCCTTGCTTTTCTTAGGATTCTTACAATATTTTTCTTGAATAAGAATGTCAATTGACATTATATTCGCATTGACAATTTGTGAATTTGATTCCATTAGCTTCCATTTAGGATGATGGCATCTTCCCACTGTGCTTTGTGTGTGATTATTTAAAATTTTTGTTATGAAATTTTTGAAATATTTAAAAGTATTTTAATAATTTACTTCCCCAGCTTCAGCAATTACCGCTATATGGCCAATCTGGTTTCATCTATGTCCTTATTTACTCCACTTTTCCTTCAGTGGATTAATTTGAAGCAAATCACAGCCAAATAATTTATATATTTCCAGCAGATTACATTTTAAAGAAAGTCTTGTGTTTACTAGCTACAGTGAAACTATCTTGAATATAAAGGATACTAGGTTCTGTTTGGTTTTGGTTCTACCTCCAAAACTGAGACCTTGGGTGGGTTAGTTAGCATTTCAGCCTTAGTTTACTCATCTGTAAATTGGGAGAACTGGACTAGAACTAGATCCTTGTGAGTTGCATGCAAAATTCTGTGTGAATGTGCTTTTATGTGAATTTTTTTGGGGAGAGGATTCACAGAGTATTAAATAGTTTTCCAAAAAGGTTAAGACCCATTAATATACAAGAAACTTTCTGGCTTTAAGAGTCTATTATTCCAATGCATACTCTATATACAGAAAATAATAATAGTAATGTTACATTGTTTTAGGCAAAAGTCTATATAGCTTATATAAATAAAAGTTAAATCTTGGAAATGGTCTTTTTTTTTGGTGACAGTTACTTAGCTGGCTTCTTTGACCATTATTAACAGAAAGCATTTAAATAACACCTCTTGTTAGTAAGGTTCCAACGTTACATTTTCTTTTATTTGTCTGGAGACTGTTGACTAATCTATAATCTAAATTATATCTGAAATGTTGATGTAATATTTGTCCTCACAGTAGCTGGCATTTGTCCTTCAGTTAAATGGTGAGATAATAATCAGCAGTAGAAACTTTACCGTGGGAAAGGTGAACTCTTATCATGTGAAGTACAGTGTGGAATCAGTAACTTTCTCACGCTGGTATGGTATCATGTTCTTGCTAACCTTGTTTGAGTATTCACCATTGTTTGCTATCCCATGGTGGCAGTATAACTAATGATATTTTGCAAAAATAGGAGAGAACTTTCAGATCATGAAATATACAGGAAGTTGTTTACATATTACAAGGAAGGCAATATTTTCACCAAAACAATAGCTTGGGCATTTTAGAGTATTTTAGTATGCCTCAGGCACTGACATTTTAGCCACCTTCTAATGAATGGGCTTGAAGCAGAACTGCTTCTACTATCAGGTAATGGTTGAGGGGGGATGTCTATTACACATGTACTTTGTTTTGTGTAAAGTATGTTCTGGAAAGTTACATTCTTTTGGTGAGTACATGTAAGTATTTGAGGGATATTCATGATTTAAGGAGGCCTGAAATGAATCTTTTTGATTAGGGAAAGAAATATTTTGCAGTGTAAATGATTAACCATTTCTTCCAGTTTACCTGTTTGGTGAGTTCATACCATAAATGTTACGATGTTTGGTTTTATAAAAGAGTACCTGTAAGTTTTTAGTTTCTGTGTGGAAGATTTTTTCAGAGAGAATACAGATAGCCTTCTTGTATTAGAATTTTGTCATATGTGGTTTGAAACTGTTCATTGGAGCTGAGGAATTTTGTTACGTTTGTTTTAACTAGATATGATTAACAAAATGACCATAGCAAGAGCATGCATTGAAATGAGAGAAGTTACGTGTGTTTGTGTCTAGTTTGGGTAATATGATTCATTCTTAAGAATTCTTCAAACTTTATTATAATTTTTGGAAATAACAAGTTTGTCAGTTGATTAAACCAGTGTCTTGTTCATAGGCGACCTTACGCAATTATATAGCAGACCAAATGTTTGTGTTGTTAGTGTTCCTTTTCCACCCCTAAATTATAGAAGGACTAAGAGTAACACTCCATACAGAAACTCAGTAACTAAATAACCATATTGCAACTCAGTAACAAGATAATGAATTATGCTGACTTTTTAGAATAGTTCTGTCCCAAGAAGAACTCTGAAGATGATTCAGCCTTCTGCATCTGGATCTCTTGTTGGAAGAGAAAATGAGGTATGCACTATATGGCTAAAATGGGGTACTGGTGATACAGTGTCTACATCGAAAACATTTCTACTATTTTCTTGGTCAGAAACACGTAAATTGTTGAAATTTGGAAATAATTTGGGAATCACAATTATATATTTCCCAAAGAAGTGATTTTGGTTTTAATTGTTCAATTTAAGAAGTTCGTCGGGTGCAGTGGCTCACGCCTGTTATCCCAGCACTTAGGGAGGCCGAGGTGGGTGGATCGCCTGAGGTCAGGAGCTTGAGACAAGCCTGGCCAACGTGGTGAAACCCCATCTCTACTAAAAGTACAAAAAAATTAGCCGGGCGTGGTGGCACACACCTATAATCTCAGCTGCTTGGGAGGCTTGAGGCAGGAGAATCACTTAAACCTGGGAGGTGGAGGTTGCAGTGAGCCGAGGTCACACCACTGCACTCCAGCTTGGGTGACAGAGCGAGACTCTAAAATAAAAATAAAAATAAAAAATTTTTTAAAAAATAAATAAATAATTTCAGCTAAGCTCTTGACCCCAGTCTAATCCAAAATAATTGTTGCAAATAAAATTCCTAAAATGTTACTATATGTTTTGGTAGAATTTTTAATTGTATAACTTTTTTAAAGATCCAGAGATGTGAAAAAGTTAGATATGCGTACTCTTTTTTTAATACATAAATGAAAAACCACCTAATTTCTTGTTAATTAAATCAAAGTAAATACAGTTGATAAGTGTTTTCATTATAGCTGTCCGCAGGCTTGTCCAAAAGGAAACATCGGAATGACCACTTAACATCTACAACTTCCAGCCCTGGGGTTATTGTCCCAGAATCTAGTGAAAATAAAAATCTTGGAGGAGTCACCCAGGAGTCATTTGATCTTATGATTAAAGGTATGAAAAAATAGATAACTTTTGTCTTAATTTTAAATTATGATATAAGGAAAAATTTGTTAATACTATTATGAATTCTGCCAATTACTGTAATCTGGGGATAGTATAACAGCACTATAAATGTTTTTGTATGTGACCATTTGTTTGACAAGATCCATGTGTGGATGAAATGTTAGGAAAAGGAGGCCCAGTGCAGTGGCTCACACCTGTAATCCCAGTAGCTTAGGAGGTTGAAGCAGGAGGATGGCTTGAGTCTAGAAGTTTGAGACTAGCCTGGACAACACAGTGAGGCTCTCTCTGTATGAAAAAATTAGCTGAGCATGGTGGCTTGTGCCTGTATTCCCAGCTACTCAGGAGGCTGAGTCAGGAGGATCACTTGAGCCTAGGAGTTTGTGGCCGCAATAAGCTATGTATGATAGCACCACTGCACTCCAGCCTGGGATACAGGGCAAGACCCGGTCTCTGAAGGAAAAAAAAAGGGTAGGGGGAAAGGATAGTTATTAATATGACAGCTCTGATAATTGGATTGCCTTGTAGGGGTTTACAAGACTTGGAAATAGGCTTTTTAGAAGAAAAATGTTTAGATAATGAGTTCGAGGTATGAAAGGAATTTGAATATTCCAGGAGAGTATGGCATAAGGAAACCAATAAAAATATGGATGAAGAGTAAAGATGAATGAGAAGAATTATGCCTATAATAAGTACTAGTTTTTAATAGAATGGTAGTATACATCAGAAGAAGAAGCAACTGATGTTTTGTAAGCATTATGGAAGATTATTATTTCTGTATGAATTATGGGTCATTGAATGTTAAGTACTGATGATAAAATTGAGGCCTAGAGAAGTTAATTGACTTGCTGAAGGTCACAGTAACATTTGGACTCATTTTGAATTGCCTTGAAGACAGGAAGAAGAGAAATAGATGGTAGGATTTTTATTAGGCAAAATTAGGAAAGGTTGACTGGATAGAAATAAAGCAGCTCTTTAAAAATATTGTAGATTGAAGAGCAGGATTTGTGACACTCATATCTGATTAGGTTAAAAATTAAATCAAGGATTAGTTAAAATAAACTGCTAAAGTTAAATATCAAGACAAATAACTATATATCATGTTGGTAATATAACCACAGGTGGAACACATTATCCTTGTAACCCTCTGCGATACATGGTAAAAATTAAAATAACTGCGAAGAAATCCCAAACTTTATTACATTTGTTGTTTGAACTTTATTATATTTGTTGACAGTGGTATTAGTGTAATTTTGAAAAAAAAAAAAAAGTTGTGTATATTTTAGGACTGAGCAAATGAATAACATGTTGAAGTATTACATTTCCTAGCACTGCCCCTAAACAGGTAGAAACAAACTACACCTCTGTAGAAAGGAGCACACCGTGTATCCAGTTCTTGGTTTATAAACACTATTCTTCACTAAAGTTCCATGGAGAAATTGCTGATTCCAGGTCAGGGGCAGGGAAACTTTGGGTGATCATGGATTATCTTTTGACAGAAAATAAGGAAGTACTCAAAAACGGGTGGACATGTTGAAAGAACACATGTCATCTTGGAAGGATTCTCACAGACTACAGTTGGGAAAATTTGAGCATCAAAATGAATAACGTCAAGAATGGATTATAATACATTGAATAAAAAAGGATATATGAGTCTATACTGATAAATTTTCTTTTAAATTGGGGTAGGAAAAGTTTTTATTTACAGAATAATGCTAACTACTACTTGTAGAAGGAATTACATAAGTGAAAAAAAATTGGTTTTCCATCCACCGTAGAAGTAATAGATATAAGCCGGAAACATCAATCATCAATGGAATTAAACTTAGGTAAAAAGTTGTTGGAGGACAGGGTATTGACACAGTCTCAAATATTTTGCTCTACAGATCATTAGTTAATTACTAAGGGAAAAAGTTATCTTTACAAGGCAGAAATCTGATAGATAGCATCTTAATCAAATGATCAAATTTAACATCTCCAGTATCATGACAAATTGGCGTGTGCTTCTTGATGATATACTGAGGATACATACTTATATAGTATTCTTATACTATACTTATATAGTATTCCTGCCAAAAATGTTTAGTTTGAATCTAATCATGGAGACAGAAATAAAAAATTAAGGACAGTGTACAAAATAATTGATCTGGACTTTGTAAAAATGTCAGTGTTACATAAAAAGACACGACCTCACAAAACAAATGTATTGCAAAAATCTTTAATAATCTAGGTGGAAGATATATACGTATTGTACTTTTGTTGTAATTCTGAAGGATTGAAATCTTGGAAATGTTGGGGAAAATAGAATAATATTGATTTTATTTTTTAACTTTAATCTTTTAAAAATGAGTATTACTAAACAATATGGGGGTACTAAGATTGGAAATTTTTTTGAAACAAATTACTGGGTTTTGACAGTAATGATTTTTAAAGTTATATTTAAAATATTATTTTAGAAAATCCATCCTCTCAGTATTGGAAGGAAGTGGCAGAAAAACGGAGAAAGGCGCTGTATGAAGCACTTAAGGAAAATGAGAAAGTATGTATTGAGTATAATTTGTACCATTTTTAAAAATTCCAGGATTGTTTTGCTGCTTAGCATATTTTATTAGAGCAATATGGGCTAGCTTTAGTATTGGCTTAAGAAAAGTTTAAGTAAAAAGGCAGCTCTTGACAATTATACAAAATGAATCCCGTTGTGTTGAGAGTCAATTCTATGCTGCATGTCCTCCATGTTATATACTTGGAGGTATGTAATTTGATTTATAGCATAGCAAATCTATGGAATACTGAACTTTATTTATGTAATACAGCTTCATAAAGAAATTGAACAAAAGGACAATGAAATTGCCCGCCTGAAAAAGGAGAATAAAGAACTGGCAGAAGTAGCAGAACATGTACAGTATATGGCAGAGCTAATAGAGGTAGGTAATTTAATAGTTATCTGGTTCAAATTTATGTATTTTTCTATAAAGTTGAGGTAGTGTAGTGTGATCACTTTGAAGTGTTAGGGCTCTGGAATCAGATTTCCTGGATTTAAGACTTAACTTCCTTCCTAACACCATTAAGTTTGCTGGGTAGAGTGGGTTTATCCGGTCAGGGCTTCATCTTCCTCATCCACAAAATGAGAGTAATGATGCCTACCTTATAGACTTGTTATGAGAATTAAATGAGTTACAATAGATGGACAATTGCAAGGAGTACTTGCACAGAGTGAAAGTTCAGTAACTTAATTATTGTTATGAAGCAAAAGACCATATTTTTTGGTAGAGTTATTAAAAGGAATTATCCCTGGAAAATATGTATAGCAAATTATTTCATAGTTGACACATTTTAGATAGTTTTAATTTTAATACCAGCTTGACATTACTGTCATTTATAAAATTGATAATTTGTACAATAAATGAGTTTTGTGGTTTTATCTGACTTTAAAACATTTTGTAAGTAGCTAATATGTTTGTAAGAATTAGCCTGGTGTTGCTTTATCAGACTTGACCTTAAAAAGGTTTTAAGATTTATTTATTCATGTTTGCAAAAAGTTTTTCTTGCTGATAGGAAGAAAGTTTTTCAAATCAAAACTTCATGTAACTGAATTGTGACCTTTTACATTTGAGATCCATGATAGAATTAATATTTGAAGTTTTCATTTGGAGATACTGTGGTAGCTGTCTTAACTGCCTTAAAAGAATTAGTCCACAGCTGATTGGAAATGTAGAACACCTACTTGTCCTTGCAGCTGATTGGGGAAGTACCTGTTTATACTCTGAAATAATTTCAGTGCTTTTTAAAAAAAAAAGACAAATTATTAAACACTTTGACTTTGCTGACTATGATCTAGCATGGTAGAGACTTTGATATAATACTGTTTATAAATGAATTTATTGAGGGGCAAGATGAAAAAAATCTCATAGCTATATCAGTATGCTATACGGGTCAGCTATATCAGTATGCTGATCAGCTTAGGTTTTAACATTTTTACAATAAATTATTGGTTTATTCTTTAAAAGAGACTGAATGGTGAACCTCTGGATAATTTTGAATCACTGGATAATCAGGAATTTGATTCTGAAGAAGAAACTGTTGAGGATTCTCTAGTGGAAGACTCAGAAATTGGCACGTGTGCTGAAGGAACTGTATCTTCCTCTACGGATGCAAAGCCATGTATATGAAATGCATTAATATTTGACTGTTGAGAATTTTACTGCCGAAGTTTACCTCCACTAGTTCTTTGTAGCAGAGTACATAACTACATAATGCCAACTCTGGAATCAAATTTCCTTGTTTGAATCCTGGGACCCTATTGCATTAAAGTACAAATACTATGTATTTTTAATCTATGATGGTTTATGTGAATAGGATTTTCTCAGTTGTCAGCCATGACTTATGTTTATTACTAAATAAACTTCAAACTCCTGTTGAACATTGTGTATAACTTAGAATAATGAAATATAAGGAGTATGTGTAGAAAATTTGTCTGTTTCTATGCTTTTATGTTGTTCTCTTTCCATTCTTTTGCTAACTACCTTGGAGGAGACAAGGAGAAAACGAACTTAAAGTATTTAGACTGAGATAGCTGAGGTTTTTAACTCCCAAACTTTGTTGTACCTCAAGCTCATTGTAGACACTATTGATATTAACAAGTTGTTTTTGGAATGGAGCATGAGAATCTATTTTCCAAAAGCTTTTCAAGTGAATCTGATTAGACAGTGAGAGGCCCAACTGGCTAGCAGGATCAGACTCTTCTTGGAAGCTTAAAATGATGGATGATGGTGATAATCCTCAAGAAACAAAGTGAGGAGTGGGTAGAAGTTTGACGGAAAAAATCAGGAATAGCTGAAAATTATGGAGCTTTTCTATTTCACATATTGGTATAGTGCAAAGTATGTAAATATTGAAGAATAAGAGTAGGGTCAGATTCATTAGGGATTTCCCATATATACTAAGTTTTGAAGGAGGAAAAGTACAAACTAGGGGTATGTAGCATTGGAACTGAAAAAGTTCTGTGAGAGGCATACAAGTAGTTTTGTATAAATTGGCAATAAAGAGCAATGTCATGCTTTTATTTTTTTTCCTTTGAGACGGAGTCTTGCTCTTGTTGCCCAGGCTGGAGTGCAATGGCATGATCTTGGCTCACTGCAACCTCTGCCTCCCTGGTTCAAGTGATTCTGCCTCAGCCTCCTGAGTAGCTGCGATTACAGGTGCCTGCCACCACACCTGGCTAGTTTTTGTATTTTTAGTAGAGCCGGGGTTTCACCATGTTGGCCAGGCTGGTCTCGAACTCCTGACCCCAAGTGATCCGCCCACCTCAGCCTCCCAAAGTGCTGGGATGACAGGTGTGAGGCACCACGCCTGGCCTCAAGCTTTTGAAAGGATTGTTTTAGGTAAGCATCCTTATAGAACCTTAATTTTCTCTCTCTGTCACCCAGGCGGGAGTGCAGGGGTGCAATCTCAGCTCACTTCAGCCTCCACCTGATGGGCGCAAGTCATCTTCCCACTTCAGCCTCCCAAGTAGCTGAGACTACAGGTGCGTGCCACCACACCTGGCTAATTTTTTATATAGACGGGGTTTCGCCATGTTGCCCAGGCTGGTCTTGAATTCCTGGCATCAAGCGATCCGCCTGCTTCGGCCTCCAGAGTGTTGGGATTACAGGCGTGAGCCACCGTGCCTGGCCTTAATTTTCTTTAATACTGAGATAAAGCCTACCTCATAGTGTTATCGTGAAGATTAAAACCTTTAGTGTCTAGGCTAAGTGTCTTAAAAATGGAAGCTATTATTAATCTATAACAACATTGTCCAGTAGAACTTATTGGGATGATGAGAATATCTGCTGTACAGTATGGTAGCCATTTCTGTGTGGCTGTTTAGCACTTGAAGTGTGGCTAGTGTGAATGAGGTATGGACATTTTAATTTAAGTCACTACAAGAAGCTAGTGGCAATTACGTTAGTGTGGCTCTGTGTGTTTCAGGTGTGGATCACTAGCCTAAAGATAGGATTAATAGGTAAATTAATTTTAAAGGAATTGAAGAATATTCTGGATTAGAGCATGAGGAGACTCAGTTGAGAGGCCTTTAGCATGGTTAAGAAAGAAAATAGGTAAGTAGAATAGGGACTTGACAAATAGAAAGTATTTTTGTAAAATGCCAGAATTTGATGGTGGGGAGCAAAAGGAGAGGGAATTGAAGGGGATTAAAAAACTAAGGTAGTAGCTAAAACCATAAAACTTCTAGATTATATAGAAAAGTTCTTAGTGACTTTGGGTTTGGCAGAGAGTTCTCAAATAGGACACAAAAAAGCATCAACTTCAAATTAAACGTTGTAAATTTTAAAAACTTTTTGAAAGACAAGCAAATGAAAAGGCAAGAACAGACTGGGGGAACATATTTGCAGAACATAGCCAACAAAGGATTTGTATCTATAAAGAACTAGGGTATGTATGAGATGGAAACTAAGTGCATGAAAAGATGCTCAACATTAGTCATTAAGGAAGTGCAAATTAAATGACAACCAGATACTGCTACATACCTTTCAGAATTGTTTTAAGTTTGAAAAATAAAAACAACTCCATCGAGTGTTAAGGATGTGAAACATCTGAAACCCTCCTGCAGTGGTGGTGGCAGTGCTAAATGCTACAACTGCTGTGGAAAAGTTGAACAATTCCTTAAAAGTTATACATACACATTTTATATGACTCAGCCATTCCACCCCTGGGTATTTACCCAAGAGAAACGAAAGCATATGTCCACATGAAGACTAGTTCACACATTTTCATAGCTTTATTTGTAATAGCCCAAATATCCATTGGTAACTGAGTGGATAAATTATGGTATAACTATACAGTGGAATACTATTTAGCAATAAAAAGGGGACAAAAATTGGTACACGCCACATGGACGAATCTCAATGTTGTGTGAAAGAAGCCAGGTAAATACATACTGTATGCTTCTATTTATTTAAAATCACAAAACTACAAAGTATAATGAGAAAGCAGATTAGTAGTTGCCTAAGGGTCATGTAGGGGCTGTTTTGGGGGACATATTTTAAGCTTCTAGTCCCTGGGAACTGACCCTAGTGATGGAGAATTTGTAGGAATTTCCTGTGGAAGATGAGTCTGATTTTTAATTAGGTATCAAATGTTAGTATAGCATGTCAGCCGGGTGTGATGGCTACGCCTGTAATCCCTACACTTTGGGAGGCTGAGGCAGGCAGATCACTTGAGGACAGGAGTTCAACATCAGCCTGGCTAACATGGCAAAATGCTTTGTCTACTAAAAATACAAAAGATTAGTTGGGCGTGGTGGTGCACACCTGTAGTCACAGCTCTTCGGGAGGCTGAGGCACACAAGAATTGCTTGAATCTGGGAGGCAGAAGTTGCAGTGAGCATAGATTGCGCCACTGCACTCCAGCCTCGGCAACAGAGTGAGGCTCTGTCTCAACAAAACAAAAAACATGTCAATGAAAATACCTTGGAGAAGGGGTCAGGGAGTCAATCAAGCCTGGCCCATTAGAACAAGTTCTTTGAAGTTGGTTTAATAAAATGCAGTCGAGCTTCGTTAAGGAAATGGCAAATGGATAAGAATCAGTTGGAAAAACAGTATGCATGAAGCCTGGATTAGACTGAACTAATTTGTCAATATATTTTACAAGGCTAGCATAACTGATATCAAGATTTGAGGATGGACCAGCCAGGTGTGGTGGCTTATGCCTGTAATCCCAGCACTTTGGGAGGCCCAGGTGGGCAGATCACCTGAGGTCAGGAATTCAGGACCAGCCTGACAAACATGGTGAAAACCTGTCTACTAAAAATACAAAATTAGCCAGGCGTGATGGTGCATGCCTGTAGTCCCAGCTATTTGGGAAGCTGAGGCAGGAGAATTGCTTGAACCCAGGAGGTAGAGGATGCAGTGAGCCAAGGTCGCGTCTTTGCACTCCAGCCTGGGCAACGAGCGAAACCTCATCTCAAAAAAAAAAAAAAAAAAAAAAAAAAGAAGGTAATGAGGATGGACCGTAAGGTTGGAGTAGGGGAATCTAGAGCCTTATTAATACAGATTGAAAAATCATAAATAAAATGGCAAGTCTAATCTACTAAAAGATAAAACGATGACCAAGTTAGGGTTTATCTCAGGAATGCAAGACTGCTATAATATTAGTAAACATGAAGTTCTTTATATTAAAGGGGAAAAAGCATATCATCTTAATAGATGGTAAAATAGCATTGATAAAATTCAACACCCTTTCTGGTAAAAACCCTTGGTAAGCTAGGAAAAGAAAAGAATTTTAACCTGAAATAAACTATGCTACCCATGCTTAACATAATGCTTAATGGTGAAGCTTTGGAATTAGTTTCAAGGTCAAGAGCTAGAAAAGGATGGACCACAATTATTTCCAATTCTTTTGGAGGTGGATGCAATGAGACCAAATAAAGGATAATTATAGGAAGGGAAGAGAAAAGCTAATCCAAGAGCAGATAGAAATGAATTTTAAGACTACACCATGGGTAAGATATCTCCCCCAAATAAACTGACGTGTTATTAGAAGAAAGAATAAATTCTAGTGAGCCAAAACGCAACAAACGTCCACCACACTGCCTTACGGCCCTCGTAATTTTGGTTTGTTTAGAAAACTTCCTTGCCTATCCCACACCCTTCAAGATATTTCAGTTGACTTTTAGGTTGTAACTAATTAGGTTGTTAGGTCAACCAAGAAGGATAAGAATTGGTGTATACATATCTGAGCTCCTTGGGACCTCTGGATGAAATAATTCTTAAGGCATGTGTGTTGTGTGTTTACCAGATGGTTCCCCAGCAGGATTAAGCTTCCGTTTACCTACAGTGGCAGCTTTCTTCATAATACATCTTTTATTGGCTTTCTTCCCTTCCCTATTGCTAGTTCCCGAGATCACCTCCCAAATAATATCTTTCAAATCCTTAAGCAAATCCTCTGATTTGCTTCTAGCAAAACTCAAAAGTTGGGAGAGATGAACTTAGGAGGGACAGCAAAGGAAAACAAAATCACTGTTGTTAAAGCTTTGGTAAGCCAGCTTAAAATTCAAGGTTTACAGTAAAAATGCCTCAGCTCGAATCTGAACCTTGTATCTTACCTCCTTCAACTTAAAGAGGTTCCAGAGACCAAAAAGGAATTTGAATAGAACATATTATTAGACTACCTTATAAGCTAATCTTCTGTAGATAAAATGTTAACCAAAATTTCTGTAAACATTGTCACAGAGAGGCCTTCAGCAATTTCTGGTTAAACATGTTAATTGAACAGAGCCATTTAATTTCTGTCTTTCCCAAACATTATTAAAATGACAGTAAGCTGTAAAAAACATCATAATCCCGTGCTGACCAAGCAGAGTCAACAGAAGTTGAGGCAAAAGTCACAATGCAGGGAACAGAATAAAACAAAAGCAAACGATGTAAGTATGGCTAAGCAATTCCATTTCTAGAAATTTATTCAACAGATATGCTCACACATGTGAAATTACACATATTTAAGGTTATTCATTACAACTTTGAACTATCAAAATATTGGAAATAACTTAAATGTTCATCAGTATAGGACTGGTTGTATAAATTACAGTTCACCCTTGAACAAGGCAGCCATTAGGGAAGCCAACACCTGTGCAGTTGAAAATCTGCATATAAATTTTTCTTTTCTTTTTTTTTTTTTTTTTTTTGAGACAGTCTCAGCTCTGTCGCCCAGGCTGGAGTGCAGTGGCACCATCTCAGCTTACTGCAACCTCCGCCTCCTGGGTTCAAGAGATTCTCCTGCCTCAGCCTCCCGAGTACCTGTGACTACAGGCGCGTGCCACCACGCCTGGCTAATATAAATTTTCTTTGGCTATCTTCTGCTTTTAAAATTTAGATAATTTTTCTTTTTTCTTTTTTTTTCTTTTTTTGAGATGGAGTCTGGCTCTATCACCCAGGCTTGCGTGCAGTGGTGTGATCTTGGCTCACTGCAACCTCTGCTTCTGGCTTCCAGTGATTCTCCTGCCTCAGCCTCCCGAGTAGCTGGGATTACAGGCACACACCACCATGTTTGGCTAATTTTTGTATTTTTAGTAGAGATGGGGGTTTCACCATGTTGGCCAGGCTGGTCTCAAACTCCTGGACTCAGGTGATCTGCCCACCTCAGCCTCCCAAAGTGCCAGGATTGCAGGCGTGAGCCACCACACCTGACCTAGATAAATTCTCTGTTTTGAAATTGTTATTTGAGACGGTCTCACTCTGTCACCTGGAGTGCAGTGGCACAATTTTGGCTCACTACAACCTCTGCCTCCTGGGCTCAAGCGATCCTCCTGCCTCAGCCTCCCAAGTAGCTGGGACTATAGGCACACACCACCACACCTGGCTGATTTTTTTTGTAGAGATGTCTCACTATGTTGCCAAGACGGGTCTCGAACTCCTCGATTCAAGCAATCCTCCCATCTAGGCCTCCCAAAGTGTTAGGATTACAGGCATGAGCCCCACCCCACCCGGCTGAAATTAGTTTTTTATTTGAGGCAAGGTCTTATGTTTTTTAGGCTGGGCTCAAGTGATCCACCTGCTTCAGTCTTACAGGTAGCTGAGATTACAGGCATGCCACTATGCTCAGCCTTGCATATAATTTTTTACTCTCTCAAAACTTAATGATTAGCCTAATGTTGACTGGAAGCCTTGCTGATAATATAAACAGTTGATTAACACATATTTTGTATGTTATATGTATTATATCCTGTGTTGTTGTTTTTTTTGTTTTTTGTTTTTTGAGACGGAGTTTCGCTCTGTTTACCAGGCTGGAGTGCAGTGGTGCGATCCGCAACCTCCGCCTCCTGGGTTCAAGCGATTCTCCTGCCTCGGCCTCCTGAGTAGCTGGGACTACAGGCACACACCACCATGCCCGGCTAATTTTTGTATTTTTCGTAGAGATGGGGTTTCACTATGTTGGCCAGGATGGTCTCGATCTCCTGACCTCATGATCCACCCTCCTCGGCCTCCCAAAGTGCTGGGATTACAGGCGTGAGCCACTGCACCCGGCCTATATCCTGTGTTCTTACAATAAAGTAAGGTAGAGAAAAGAATTAAGCCGATCATAAAGAAGAGAAAATATTTTTTACTATTCATTAAGCAGAAGTGGTTCATCATAAGGGTCTTCATCCTCATCATCTTCATATTGAGTAGGCTGAAGGGGAGTCTCGGTGGCAGACTAGCTGTCTCGGGTGGCCGAGGCAGAAGAAAATCTTCATATAAGTGGACCTGAGCAGTTCAAACCCATATTGTTCAAGGGTCAACTGTATAGTACAGTCATACAATGAAATACTCTGAAGCAATGGAAAAGAATCAAACTCTTTAAGATGTAGAACAAAGTGTGAAATAAATTATGTATGTATAGAATGCTACTATATGTTAAAACAAGGACGACGTAAGGGATAGATGTATATTTTCTTATATATAGAAAGAATACTTCTGGAAAGATACAGAAGAAGCTACTTCTTTTCTTTTTATCCTTACATGAATTGATACATTTTAATTGGTTGCATATATGCTTCTTTTCCATATCTAATGTTTTCTTCCTGGAGTAGGAATCTCCAATAGCTGCAACACTCCTGGTTTTAGTGGAGATGAGGGACTTACCTGATTAGTGACTTTGGGAAGAATAGCCCTCAGGTGCTTGCCTCAGCTCTTCCCTTCTTCTTCTGGGGAGTGAGGGCTTGCACAGAGCACTGATGTTCTCAGCTGCTTCTCTTGGTTCAGGGACAGGCTGAAGTCAAATTACTAATCAAGTGAAGAATAAAGACATCACTGGACATGCAAATGCTCAAAACATTTACCTCCCCTTCATTCTTTCTCTGGAAACTACTGAAAAATTTTGAAATTAAAATGTTGGAATGAACCAGGAAAAGGGAAGAGAGAGTATACAGGAAACAGAGGCTTCAAGATGAGAGGGGTAATGGGGGGTCCTGGATGTTGAAGGGAACCCCTAAAATACTGTATTTGTTAGCTAAGGGCAGGCCCAGATTGGAGCAAGAGGATGGTGGAGCCGGAGCTGACAGTTACTCAGTGCATGATTGTGTTGAGAGATGTTAGACATATAGAGGAAAGTGTGGGAATAAAGTAGTGATAGGTATTCAGAAAACTAAGTAAAAAAACAAACTCCAGCCGGGCGTGGTGGCTCACGCCTGTAATCCCAGCACTTTGGGAGGCGGAGGTAGGTGGATCACGAGGTCAGGAGTTTGAGATCAGCCTGGCCAATATGATGAAACCCCATCTCTATTAAAAATATGAAAAAATTAGCCAGGCGTGGTGGCACGTGCCTGTAGTCCCAGCAGCTTGGGAGGCTGAGATGGGAGAATCACTTGAACCTGGGAGGCGGAGGTTGCAGTGAGCCGAAATCGTGTCACTGCACTCCAGCCTGGGCGACAGAGCGAGACTCCCATCTCAAAAACAAAACAAAACAAAAACTACAGAGAAAACA
Organism: Homo sapiens; assembly: GCF_000001405.40. Lineage (NCBI taxonomy): Eukaryota > Metazoa > Chordata > Mammalia > Primates > Hominidae > Homo > Homo sapiens. The sequence goes on from NC_000006.12 coordinate 24,794,087, forward strand.
GAGCTGTGGAAAGAAGGAAGTGTAATCATAATATCCTGTATGACTTAGCCTTGAAAAATATTGAATTAATCTTATTTGGTTTTAATGTATTTATTTATAACAGAGATGGGTCTTGCTATGTTACCCAGGGTAGTCTCAAACTCTTCGCCTCAAGCAGTCCTCCCACCTCAGCTTCCCAAAGTGCTGGGATTACAGGTGTGAGCCACTGTGCCCAGCTATCATATTTTTTAAATCAACAATTGTGACATAATTACATCGAGAGAGGAAGAGTAGGGCAGGTGAAGGTAGGCAAGATGAGTGTTAGAATGCCAAATTCCATCTGTCCTATTCAGAAGGAAGAACAAAAATCCCCAAAATTGAAAAAAAAAAGACAAGAATTAACAATGTATATAAATTATTTAGAAATATGAAGGTAAATAAATACCAGAAGAAACAACTGAAACAATTCAGATGATTCCCTCTGGGAGTGTAAATGGGGAAGGGACTCAGAGACTGCTGTTTCTCACTAGAGGCCTTACATTATTTGACTTTTTAAACTGTGTACGTGCATTACTTTGAAATAAAAACTTAATTTTAAAAGCATTAAAAGGCTGAATCTGGCGGCTGATGCCTGTAATCCCAAAACTTTGGGAGGCCAAGGCAGGAGGGAATGCTTCAGCCTGGGAGTTCGAGATCAGCCTGGGCAAAATAGCGAGACTCCATCTCTATTTTAAAAACGTGTGTGTAAACATATATGTGTATATATATATGAAAAAGAAATTAGCAAGGCATAGTGGCTTCCACCTGTAACTCTAGCTCCATGAGAGGCTGAGGCAGGAGGATTGCTTGAGCCCAGGAGTTCAAGGTTATGTATGATCTATGCCTCCAAATTTTCAGAAAGGCTAATTTGAGTAATAACAAAACTCTGGTCTCCCATTTAGCCAGCTCTACATGTATTAAACTCTTTTTCTATTGCAATTCCCCTGTCTTGATAATGTTCATAGCTCAGTGGTGTGAGCTATGATTGCACCACTGCACTCCAGCCCAGGTGAAAGAGTAAGAGGCTATCTCAAAAAAGAAAGAAAGAAAGAAAAAAGAAAAAAAGTAATTCCTGGCAGTAATTCAGTATCTAAATGGAACTTCCAGTTTCCAACCCTTAATGTATTCCTATCAACTAGATTCTAGTTGAGAAACTCTACATTCCATACTTCACAAAACCACAAAGTATGGAAATGTACAGTTGCTCAGCAGAACATAGCTTTTTCTGGTCTAAGATCTGAGAAAATTCCCCTCCAGATCCTTCTTAAGGAAACCCCATCTGATGATGTGATTAGCATCCTCCACAACATTCCTATCCCAAATACAAGTGAGGATCACGAATCTACACGACATTTTTTAAAATAGCCCCCTCTGTGCCTAACACTAAAGCACAGCTCAGTCAAAGCAAGTCTGTGAAAGATGAAAGTACATAATTCAATGTTATGGTTGCAACTGAAGCTAGAGGCAGGTGTAGTTAGAGAATCAGGTACATATCCCTTAGGCACTTTTCTGCCAATATTATTTTTTCGAATAAAACTTTTGATGAGGTTGGTTAACACACATAGAGTGCAGGTATTCTGTGGCAGATTATCTAGTAGACAAAACAGAGAGAATAACATCTTTTTATGAAAATCTAAGAGCCTACCTAACTTTAGGTGTCGGAACACACGCGCTCCATCTCCATCCAAACGTTTGTGCCAGTGGAGTTGCGGGCTGCTGCAGGTGGAGGTAGGCAAGAGGAGTGCTAATTCTAGTGCTAATTCCCAGTCAGCCCCATGTGCAACCAGATCATGCTCTGATAGCTGGAGAACCATCTCAAAAGCACCACCACCGGAGGTTCTGTACTGAAATAGGGCTGAAAGGATTCAGGTGGGTCAATAGTGCCTGCTGAAGGAGGCAGCCGTGGGTGGGGCTAGGATTTGGCCTTTCTGAGTGCCTTGGTTTAATATCATCTAGTAACTCCCAAAGTGCACCATTGCTCCTAACAGTTATATACATGATGCATCTTCTGATGAATTTCAGAATTTTATGAACTTAATTTTTATGAGGTCTTTTTTTTTCACTTTTAATAATTTTTTTTTTTTACTACACAGAAGCACAAGGTTAAAAAAAATTACCAGCATATTTTTTCCAATGGGAAATCAGTTGTAAAATACATATTTTTAATCAACTTCAAAAAAAGATATATTAGAAAATAAGAGTTTCATGATTTAATGGTAGACATTGGGGATAGACATTCTCTCTAGCCTTCGTATAATAGATGGCAAAAAATAATAATTCCAGTTCTGTAATTTTACAAGTATTCATGTAACTGCCCCATGAGTTCTTGCTCTTTGCCCAGACAGAGCAGATTTATCAAGACAGGGGAACTGCAATAGAGAAAGATTTTAAGACACATAGAGCTGGCTAAATGGGAGACCAGAGTTTTGTTATTACTCAAATCAGCCTCTCTGAAAATTTGGAGGCTAGGGTTTTTTAAGGATAGTTTCATGGGCAAGAGGCTAGGGAATGGGGAATGCTGATTGGTTCCATTGGGGATGAAATCATAGGGGGCTGGAACTTGTCCTCTTGTGCTGAGTCAGTTGCTGGTTGGTGACCATAAGATCAGAAGACCCAGCTTGGCAGTCTGGGTGGTGCCAGCTGATCCATCAGAATGCAGGATCTGAAAAATACCTCAAATACCAATCTTAGGTTTTTCAATACTAATCTGTAGGTGCAACCGGGGAGGTTGGAATCTTGTGGCCTCTGGCTGTATGACTCCTGAGCCATAATTTCCAGTCTGTGGCTAATGTGTTAGTTTTATAAAAGCAGTCTGGTCCCCAAGCAAGGAGGGAGTTTGTTTCAGGGAAGAGTCTAGGTAATCATCTTTGTTTCATAGTTAAACTATGAACTAAATTCTTCCCAAAGTTAGTTTGGCCTATGCCCAGGAATGAACAAGGGCAGCTTAGAGGTTAGAAGCAAGATGGCGTCAGTGAGGTCAGCTTTCTTTCGCTGTCAGATTTTTCTCACTGTCATCATTTTTGCAAAGGTGGTTTCATTCATATTCCGCATTGTATCTAACTGCGTGCTTTAACATCTTTATTTCCTAATGGGAAAGAATACACTCATGAGCAAGCTCAATGGGCTCTCTCTACGAGGTAATTTTAAACAGCATTTCTTTTCTGAAGTTTGATTATTGCAGTTAACTGTATGAAAATCTATACAGAACTCTTCAACTACAAAGGAAAACATCGATTTTTATTGTTTATTTCAGTTTTCCAGGGTAATACACAGAGAGCTGCAACATGTAACTGGATTTAGAGAAACTAATTCCTATGAAAACCAATTAGGAAATACAGCACCTCTGCAAAATTCTCTGTCCATCCAGACCAATTCTCAGCAGCCAACATTTGCAAATGATATTTTAGAGCACTGTGGTCTTTAAGCTCCTTGACGCAAGACAAGTTATTGCATGTCATGACAGAGAGAACGTAACAAGTCCAAAATTTAAGGAGGAGGTAGCTGTTTGTTTCACTTTTGATAGTAGACTCGAATCTGCCTTCAAAAAAACTAATGAGAATAGGAATAAATTGCAGACTTTTGGCTCTTTTCTGGCTGACAGGGTTTAAGTAACACCAACATGCCACACTCTGGAGCAGCAGGATCTTTATTTTTGGTGCCAACTCCTCATCTTGCAACAAGTGAGCCACTTCTTCCATGTACTCAGCTGCAAAGTTCCCAGCAGGTGGTCCTCCTGTAAAACAAGCATTTGCATTTCCAGAAGTATTTGGTGTATCTATTAGCTAGTAACACTTTGGAATGCTTATATGTTCATATTCTTGTTGCCCTGTAGAGGATACTTTGGATACTTTGAATTTTCCTGTCGTTTTCCCCCACCTCCCACGCTGCTGCCATGAAGACCAGAAAGTGTGTGTTGATAAGCAAGCAGTGATATGAAAAACCTGGGAAGGTCTCTGCTTGCTGGTCTCCTCCCTGGTTCCTTTAAGCAAGCACCCAGGAGTGAGTATTTCTTTCTTTCCTTTTTTTTTTGAGACGGAGTTTTGCTCTTTTTGCCCAGGCTGGAGTGCAATGGCACGATCTCAGCTCACTGCAACCTCTGCCTCCCGGGTTCAAGCGATTCTCCTACCTCAGCCTCTCGAGTAGCTGGTATTACAGGCATGCACCACCATGCCCAGCTAATTTTTTGTATTTTTAGTAGAGACGGGGTTTCACCATGTTGATCAGCTGGTCTTGAACTCCAGACCTCAGGTGATTCACCCACCTTGGCCTCACAAAGTGCTGGGATTACAGGCGTGAGCCACCGTGCCTGGCCAAGAGTGAGTATTTCAAGGTGAATAAAACCTGGTTGTGTTCGCTTAGCAAATATCCCTCATCCAATGAAATGTTATCAGAATTTTAAGATTACAGCTAAGAAAAATTACTAAACTACAGTGTTATAAAATGAGTGTCGTGAAACACTCATTTTAGCACAGCCATTTAGATCAGTACCTGTGAAGGCCAGCAGTCCAATTTTCTGGGCAGCTTGAGCTCTCTTCTCAATGGGTAGAGATTCATTCATCAACACTTGGCCAAGTACAACAATTTTTTCCTCATGAAAATAAGTCTCAGCTGAAGGGATTTTTTTTTCCTTCTTCTTAACAAAAAAGCCCTTAACAGTGACACGCCAGAATTTCTGGAGACGCCGACACAGCCCCGCAAAATACCCATACATCTTAACCCAAATTTGCGTACAAGAAAATCGGCTGTTAGCCATTGTGTAAAAAGGCCAGTGGTCCTTCAGGTACACCACTGGCAGTCACAGGAGTTCACAGTCAAGAACTCTGGAATGCATCACTTAGCAACACTGTGGAATGGAATATACAAACCAGGGGAAAGCAATATATGCCTAAATTCTTCAGCTTGTCATTGAAAGCCTTCTACTATTTGGACTAAACAATTTTACTTTCATTTCTCTGGTGTACAAAACCTCAACTTAAACTTGTTTCCCGTAATGCGCATGAATCTCACTACTGTCTTTGAACCTTTGCTCAGGCAGGGTATATTTGGAACTTGCCCGTTCTAGTCTGATTATTCCCACATGTACTTTGCTTCTTTCCATTGATCTTTCATAGTATTGTTACCTCTTTTGCTTGTTTGCTACCCAAAGAGAGTTCTCTACATCATAGATTTATCTTATTTTGCTGAGAAAATAGAAGCAATGAAAAGAGAACTTGCATAACTCTTACCAGTGCATCCACCCACCTATCTGCGTCTACGGTACCCATAGACTCTGTCTTTCCTCCTGTTACTGTGGATACCCTCTCTGTTTGTGCAGTAGATGTCAATCAGCTCCTCTCACCTCACTCAAGGATGTTGCTCTTCGGTTCTTCTCTTATCTTGGTAATTTTTCCATCTCAACTGGACCCTTTGCATTATCAACAAACACGCTGTGCTTTTTTTCTCATTAAAGAAAGAAAACTCTCTTGACTTCATATGCTTTCTTCCCACAGCGACTGCACATTCACTTCCCTGCTCTCCTTTACAGTACAGCTCTTTAAAGAGCTGCTATACTCACCATCTCCAGTCTTTCTCATTCTTTCTTGGATGAATTCCAAACAAGATTTCAACCCCATGACTCCACTGACATTGCCTGTCAGGGTCATTGAATTGTCAGTCTTTGACATTTGACACTCCTTTCTCTCTGAAACACTTTTCACCCAGCTTCTAAGATACCACACTCCTAATTTTTCTCCTCCTGGCCACTCATCATTTTCCTTTACTGGTTCCTCTTCTTATGACCTCTAAATATTGGAGGGCCCAAGGCTCATCAGTCTTTGTATGTGTTCTTCTTTTCTTTTCTTTTCTTTTTCTTTTTCTTTTTTTTTTTTTTTGAGTCATGGTCTGTCTGTGTCCCCCAGGCTGGAGTGCAGTGGCATGATCTTGGCCCACTGTAGCCTCGACCTCCTGGACTCAGGTGATCCCCCCACCTCAGCCTTCTGAGTATCTGGGACCACAGGTGCACACTACCATGCCCAGCTAAATTTTTTGTAGGGATGAGGTTTTGCCATGTTGCCCAGGCTGGTCTTGAACTCCTGGGCTCAAACAATCCACCAACCTAGGCTTCCTAAATGCTGGGATTACAGGCGTAAGCCACCATGCCCGGTCCTTTTTTCTTTATCTATACTTCCTAGATAAGATCAAGCAGTTTATGGCTTTAACTATTACCCATATGCTGAAGACTCCCAGTTATATATATTATATATTATATATATATTAATTATATGTATATATAATTTTTTTTGAGACATGTTCCCCTGTTGCCCAGGCTGGAGTGCAGTGGCCCAATCATAGCTCATTGCAGCCTTGATCTCCTGGGCTCAAGTGATCCTCCTGCCTCAACTTCCTGAGTAGCAGGGACTGTAGGCCACCACACCTAGCAAATTTTTAATTTTTTTTTTTTTAAGAAATGGGGGTCTCACTATGTTGTCCAGGCTGTTTTGAACTCCTAGCTTCAAGCAATCCTCCCACCTTTGCCTCCCAAAGTGCTGTGATTATAGGCATGAGCCACTACGCCTGCTCCAATTTTATATCTTTAACTGGATTTCTCACCTGAACTCCAGACTCGTATTCAGTCACAAGCTTGATATCCCCATTTGAATGTCCAAGACGCTTTTCAGTTTTAACATGTCCAAAACAGAGTTCCAGGTCTTCCTCCCTAGACTGGCTGCCTCTCAGTTTCTATATCTTGGAAGATGGTATTACATCCTTCTAGTTGTTCAGGTAAAAAATTCTAGATTCATCCTTGGCTTCTATCTATCTCACATCTCATTTTCAACTTATCAATGAATGTACTGGCTCTACTTTAAAACATATCCCAAATTTGAGACATTCTACAGAATATACCTACATATGCTCTTCAAATATTTTAATGTGTGAAGGCTTAAAAAAATTGGGGTTACTCTGCTAGATTAAAAGAGCCTGAGAGACATGACAACTAAAATAAAAATGTAGGCCGGGTGCAGTGGCTCTCACCTGTAATCCCAGCACTTTGGGAGGCCAAAGCATGTGGATCATCTGAGGTCAGGAGTTCAAGACCAGCCTGGTCAATACAGTGAAACCCTTTTTCTACTAAAAATACAAAAATTAGCCAGGCGTGGTGGTGCACGCTTGTAATCCCAGCTACTCAGGAGGCTGAGGCAGGAGAATCACTTGAACCTGGGAGGTAGAGGTTGCAGTGAGCTGAGATCATGCCATTGCACTCCAACCTGGGTGACAAGAGTGAAGCTCCATCCCCAAAAAATAAAAAATAAAAAAATAAATGGCCAGGCGCGGTGGTGGCTCATGGTTGTAATGCCAGCACTTTGGGAGGCCGAGGTGGGCGGATCACCTGAGGTCAGGAGTTCAAGACCAGCCTGACCAACATGGCGAAACCCCGTCTCTACTAAAAATACACAATTAGCCGGGCGTGGTGGCGCATGCCTGTAATCCCAGCTACTCGGGAGGCTGAGGCAGGAGAATTGCTTGAACCCAGGAGGCAGAGGTTGCAGTGAGCCGAGATCGTGCCATTGCACTCCAGCCTGGGCAACAGGAGCGAAACTCCATCTTGAAAAATAAATAAATAAATAAAAATAAAAATGTAATCCCTGCTTGGATTCTGTACATAAACACGTGTGTATGTGTCTCTCTGTGTGTGTGTTTGTGTATGCTATAAAGGGTATTACTGGGACAATTGGGAAAAACAGACCTTCCTTGTCCAATAAGGTAGCCACACATGGCTATTTGAAATGTGACTAGTCTCAGTTGAGATGTGCTGTGAGTGCAACATGCACCCTGGACTTTGAAGACTTAGTAGGAAAAACTGTAAAATATTTCAATAATTTTTATATTGATCATATTTTGAAATGTTTTACATTAGGTTAAATAAAATATATTATTATAATTAATATCACCTGTTCTTTTTTCTTTGTCTTAAGTGTGGGTACTAGAAAATCCAAAACACCAAGCATGGCCTCTTTTCAAGGCTTTTGTACTTACTGTTGTGCAGGGGAGAAAACATCATTTCTTTTTTTCCCCTTTTTACATTTTTAGTTGAGACACTGTCCTGAAAATAAAAGTCAGATTAACAAAAGAAAAATAAACGGAAGTTTATTAATGTGTGTTGTACCCAATGTGCAGGAGAGACTTCAGTTCCAAAGTATTTCTCTCTCTAGGCAGTGGCTTAGGGGCTTTGCTTAAATAGCATTTTAACTAAGAGCCATGAATCCTATCTAGTGACAAGACAAAGAAAAGACCATCTTCAGGCTTCCGAAAGGTGAGAAAATGCCTGAAGGTAAGTTGATGGGAAGAGTAAAGTCTGTTCCTGGGTCCTCTGGCAGTGCTGTCTCTGAGCTCTGGTTATGAGCTGACCAAGGCAGAAAGGAGTGGCAGAATATGTCCCTGTTTTAACCTTTTCACTATAATCTCCAGCATTTTAGAGAGGAATATTTTAGTTGCCTCCAGTTGCCTCTGCCTGGAAGGTTCTTCCCAGAGATAATCCACGTGACTCATCCCAATAGCTCCTCGGGTCATTCCTCAAATGTAATTTTCTGTGAGGCCTTTGCACTCCTTTTTTTTTTTTTTTTTTTTTTTTTGACACAGGGTCTTGCTGTGTCACCCAGGCTAGAGTGCAGTGGCACGATCGTAGCTCACTGCAGCCTCAAACTCCTGGGCTCAAGCAATCCTCCTGCTTCAGCCTCCCAAGCAGTTGGGACCACTGGTGCACGCCACCACGTCCAGCTGGTTTTTAAAATTTTTGTAGAGATGGGAGTTTCAGTATGCCATGCAGACTGGTCTTGATTTCCTGGCTTCAAGGGATCCTCAGCCTTGGCCTCCCAAAGTGCTGGAATTACAGGTGTGAGCCACTGTGCCGGCCCCTGACTACTCTCTTTAAACTTGTGATCTTTGCTTTCTCCCTGTGTCTGTCTTCACCCCACCTTGTGCAATCATTTTTCCCCTTCTCTGCTTTGTTGTCTTCGCTTTGCCAGGATATAAGGCCTGGGAGGGCAGGGATTGTTGTGTCTTTTATTTTTCTCTACTACTCTATTTCCAGTGCCAAGAACAGTCCTTGGCATACACCTCGTTCATAGTAAGTAAGCAACAAATACTTGTTGAATGCATGAGAAGTTAGAGTTCTAATTTTTAGCAAACAATTATTATTCCTTGAACAAGGTGTACTTAGGACTGTCTCAAAATCAAAAGATAATATTTGTTTACTAAGAGGTACTGTCTCCAGGAAAAGTCAGGGATAAAAGTATTTTATTTGAGTTTTTCTGATACAGCGAGAAGTACTGGCATTTTTCAGTGAACTAAGGTTTACAATTTTACTTTACAATTTTGTAAAGTAACTAAGGCAATTTAGTTAAACAGTATAGTAGCAAACCTTATAGAGGAAAATGTTTGTACCACTGACTCAGTAAAAGCAATCACTGGTATTTAACGAGTCACTTGGTAAATACTGTCAGAGTTGAAAGTCAAGGGCTTCTTTGTGATGATGCTGGTGGGGTCTGAGTGGGAACAGAACATACACAAATCAGTGAAGGCACTTTTTATTTTTTTTTCCCCGAAACAGAATCTCACTCTGTTGCCCAGGCTGGAGTGCAGTGGCACGATCTTGGGGTAAGCCACCATGCCTATTTGCCCTCAAGGAGCTCACAGTCTCTGCTCATAGATACAACAGTGAAACTTAGCTGTTTTCTCTCCAATTAGCTTTACAACAAACTGAGATTTATTATCTCTATTTAGAGATAAAGGAATTTCAAATTGAAAATAAAAGCACGAGCTGTGGTGGCTCACACCTGTAATCCCAGCACTTTGGGAGCTCGAGGCGGGCAGATCACCTGAGGTTGGGAGTTCGAGACCAGCTGATCAACATGGAGAAACCCCATCTCTACTAAAAATACAAAATTAGCAGGGTGTGGTGGTGCATGCCTGCAATCCCAGCTACTCGAGAGGCTGAGGTGGGAGAATCGCTTGAACTCGGGAGGCGGAGGTTGCGGTGAGCCGAGATCGCACCGTTGCACTCCAGCCGGGGCAACAAGAGCAAAACTTCGTCTCAAAATAAATAAATAAAATAAAATAAAGGTGAAAATGAGGTGCAGTGTGTTCTGTAAATACCAACTCAGAAAGGGCATGTGAAAAAAAATAACATCAGACTGCACATGATGCTAGTAATTCAAAAATAATTTTTATTTTAACTTACATGACTGAAAGATCAATGAATACAAATGCCACACAACTAAAAGCACCCCTCAACCAAACATAAAATACAGAAGTGAATACAAAAGATCTGGAATTAATTACTCATGCAATAGTCAAAATAAAAAATAAAAAAATGACAAACCAAACACAAAATCCTGTAACATCTGTGTTTGACTTTCTATAAAAAGAACCATTTCAACCATTTAACATAAGCTATAGGCTATACCTCCTAACTACAGACTGTACAATGTACCTTTAAAGTGAAGGATGTATGAATATATATAATATTTATAAATATACAGATATGTACACGATAAGTTCACAGTTGAAAGAACCATTTGCCAGAAGCCTGGCAAACAATTTGCACTTTGAAATGAAATGAGTCCTTTTTAAAAGTCTTGCTAAAATGTAAATATTTAAAATGACATCTAAATGATACAAACACGTCCATAGTACAGTTGATATTCCACAGTTTAAATTACACTCACATATATTGTTTTGATACCTTGGCATACCCCACCTTGTACACTCTTTAGAGGAAGAAAAGATATTTTAATAAGAGCTACTGAATGGTCTTGTACTTTGCTTAATGAACTTGCATCTCTGATACTGAAGCAATAATGGGACCTGATGTTTGAACTATTTGGCCAGGGAATCCTACCAGTGAGTGATTTCCCTGGGGGCAGTAACCACCCCTCAGGATGTCCTTCTTTCTAATCCCACGGTCATTTTTACAGAAGGAGGGACCACTTTAAATGTTCCTCCACTCCTACTCCATTAGGATTTCTCTGACTTCTAGGTTCCTCCACCTCAAAGAGCATCACAGGTTTGTGAATCTACAGCTTTTGGTTTTGATTTGTCTTAGCAGCAAAACACCCCTATGGTAAGAATATCATAAAAAATAGCTCTCATTAATTAAAAAAAAAAAAGCATAAGCTTTGAGTTTTTTGTTTAAGTGTATAGGCATAATCTTAATGTAGTTCTTAGTCATTTACTTATCATTTTTCCATAATGGAAACATGATTTGGGAATTTTCAGGATGGGGAAAAGAAACAAAATAAATTATGGGAGTTTTTTGTTTTTTTTTTTGAGACTGGCTCTCATTCCTCTGTCACATGGGCTGGAGTGCAGTAGTGTAATCTCAGCTTACTGCAACCTCTGCCTCAAGTGATCCTCCCACCTCAGACTCCAGAGTAGCTGGGAGCACATAAAATTAAAACATCTAAACTCTCCTAATGGGTCATTTTGCCAGGTTCTGCAGGCAAACTTTTATTTGAAGATATTCTTTTTTGTGCTTTGTATTGAAAGTAAAGTTAGGTAGCTAAGGGGACTACTCAACCCTGAGAACACGACCGAGAAAAACTGCAAGGCATATGATGTTTGTCGAAGTATCACATGACTATTTCAAGCTTATAGAGAAACTTGCAAAAAAGTACAAAGATGGCTATTTTTAAATTTCATACATATTAAGATAAGATGGACTCTTTCACTGAGTATTATTAGACACAATCGACGATGTAATATATTTGAATTATACCATAGCCCTATTCTATATTGGCCAAAGGAAAAGTAGATAGGTACTGTGAAACGAGACTCTGAATTCTTTCTATAACATGTTTTTTTAGTTGTTGTTGTTGTTTTGTTTTTTGAGACAGGGTTTTGCTCTGTCACCCAGTCTGGAGTGCAGTGGGGCAATTATGGCTCACTGCAGCCTGAATCTTCTGGGCTCAAGCAATCCTCCCACCTTAGCCTCCCAAGTAGCTGGGACTACAGGTGCATGCCACCACGCCTGACTAATTAAACTATTTTTTTTGTAGAGACAGGGCCTTGCTATGTTGCCCAGGTTGGTCTTGAACCTCCTGGGCTTAAGCAATTCTCCTGCGTTGGCCTCCCAAAGTACTGGGATTACAGGCATGAGCCACTGCACCTGGCCTACATTTTTATTTCAGTTGTCGTGTCTCTCAGGCTCTAAACAATTTCCAGCCCAAACCACAGCACCATCCTGATGAAAAGGGCCAGATATTAAGACAGCTGTTAGGCAGTTAACCTGTAATTAAAAGGCTGTGGCAACTTCAGTTCCATGACGACCTCCGACTTTAACACAGTCTCGAGGAAATTTGTCCAATTGTTCATATGCCAGCCGCCCATCTTCTCCTAAATACAGAACATTAAACATGAATACCAATTCAAACAACGTTTTTATTAATTACTCAAAGTAACATAGTGCCATTTGTTTAGGGATGGGTTGCTATAATATGCTATGCTAACTTTTGGTAAGGAAAAGTTATCTTTTGTTATTCCTAATTATGTCATTGTTTTCCAGGTAATGCTTAGAACAACCAAGAACTTTTGAGCTAATTAATGCCAGAGACCAAAAGAATGCCAGGGTATGAAACAGAGTAGAAGTCTTATGGCCATTTGATGTTGATGATTTCATATAATCGATTTATTTTAGAGCAATTGTATGGATTATATTTTAAGTACATTAGGGATTTCAATATGGCTAATGCACTGAACTTTTACATAACTTTTACTTGTATACATTATATATCGATACATCTAAATGATATGTGGTAAAATCAATCTTAGGCTTTCAAACTTCAGCTAAAAATTACTTTTTACTATGTAAACATACAGAGATGCCTTCTACCAGCCACCAGCTAGTTCAGTTTTGTCCGTAACGCCACCTTGAACAGTTAGGATGCAATTGCAAATAATTTTAATGTTTTGTTCTATTTTTCTACTTTAAAAAATGATTTAGAAAATGAGAAAATAAAATGCAAAGACAAGTGATAAGAAGCAGGCTTTCATACATGTAATGCAAGTGAGACAAAGATGGAAATAGTTGTGCCTAATCAGAAGTTCAGCTGGGTGTGGTGGCTCACACCTGTAACCCCAGAACTTTGGGAAGCCAAGGTGAGTGGATCACTTGAGGTCACGAGTTTGAGACCAGCCTGATCAACACAGTGAAACCCCATCTCTACCAAAAAATACAAAAAAAGAGTTAGCTGGGTGTGGTGGAATCCACCTGTAGTCCCAGCTACTTGGGAGGCTGAGGCAGGAGAATTGCTTGAACTCGGGGGCAGAGGTTGCAATGAGACGAGATTGCATCATTGCACTCCAGCCTGGGTGATAGAGAGAGACTCCATGTTTAAGGTAGGCTAGGCTAAGCTATGATGTTCTGCAAGTAAGATGTATTAAGTGCATTTTTGACTTAACAGTATTTTCAACTTACAACGGGTTTATTGGGATGTAACCCCATTGTAAGTCAAGGAGCAGCTATCCTCAAAATTGAGTAAACTTAAAACTTCAGTTCCTCCATGGTGGCAAAGGTGAACAGCCCAACAGCCATTTAGGATGGCTGCTGTCATACTGGACAGTGCGCATATAGAACAATCCCATCACCATGGAGGGATCTGTTGGACAGCTCTAGGTTAAAATGTCGAAATCATTCCATACTAGTTGGTAAATAGTTGCAGCCCTGAGTCCTTTAAGTGCCCGCAATGACCTTCTGCCCTTTGTCATAGGGCATTTTATCAATTCCTATTGAAAATACTATCCTCACTATATTAATTCAGTCATTTGTGTAAGAGAAAAATGTGCCAGTATTTGTGTATTAGGGTCAAAGAAGATTCATAATATTGACTTCAGGGGGGTCTCAAACTTTATATTAGAATCACCTGGGAGGCTTCAAAAAATCCTTAAAAAATCCTGATGCCAAGGAACACTTAGACCAATGAAAGCAGAATCTTTGGGAGTAGATTGTTTAAGCTTCCCTGGCAAATGTGCAGCCAGTGTTGAGCACTGCACACTGGTGGTGTGAGAGGGCCCAGGGCTGATATGAGCAGTGTGCATGAAGAGCTAAGGTGAAGCAGGTATGGTGATGGCTTCTGGAGATGCTGCTGTTTGCACAGCTCCAGTGAGGCCCGGGGCACATTCTGTAGGATCAGCTTCCTTAGGTTACACTGGAAATAGAAGCTTCGTTGGCTATGCTTTATAAGCGCCTGGCTTACCTTCATGGTTATTTTAGAATATGAAGGGATAAAGGAGTTTAAACTAATAATACCTTGGTACATTTTTAGAGAATTAAATAATTTCTATGCCTAATACAACCATAAGGAATAACTTTTATTCTTTAAACAAATATATACTGGCTAAGATTTCTGTGGAAGAAATCATATATTCAATAGCAGAATGAAGCCTTGTTAAACCCATAATTGTAAGAAAGAGGGCCTAACAATAAATGGGATTTTCACAGTGATTATAAATGCCATGAGATTCTTCTTCATGTTGTTAAGTTAGTATCACTAAACAAGGGTAGCTTTTTTCTAAGCTGCAGTATTGATTGGATTATGTCTGAGGATTTCTAGGAGCATAGTTTTTATACTTTAAGATTGTGTTGTTGAAGTAAAATTATTTATAATAATTATTTATACTTTTTTCTTTTTTTTTTTTTTTGAGACAGAGTCTTGCTCTGTCACCCAGGCTGGAATACAGTGGCATGATCTCAGCTCACTGCAACCTCCGTTTCCTGGGTTCAAGTGATTCTCCTACCTCAGCCTCCCAAGTAGCTGGGACTACAGGTGCACCCCACCACACCTGGCTAATTTTTGTATTTTTAGTAGATACATGGTTTCATCATGTTGGCCAGGCTGGTCTCGAACTCTTGACCTCAAGTGATCCACTCACCTTGGCCTCCCAAAGTGCTGGGGTTACAGGGGTGAGCCACCAAACCCAGCTATTTATACTTTTTAATACAGAGTTAAGAAAGGCTTTCCCCACCCTCCCAAGTCCCCAAAAAAGAATAAATGTATAATGCCTGCTAGGCATGAACCTTCATAAAATAAAGTGAAGAGGAAGGATTATCTGGATATTTCAGAATAAAATAAGTACTCCAATTCTTTTCTTAGGTATCAGGGCTCAGATGGGCAGAGGCCACAGGGCAGTCAGAGGTTAACCTGGGAGTCAGGGTGAGGCTGAGATACCTGGGGATTTACAGCATTCCCTGGGATGCATCTCTGGTACCTCACCCAATTTCTGTCCTCCAGGGAATGTCAACCCCACCTGGCAACACAGCCTGGATTCCTATTGCCTTTGCTTTATGGTTTGACTTCTGTGTTCTTGATTCTAAATAGTACACAGACTGATCAATCCATATAGAAAGTCTCCAGACAATATAGTTCACTCTCAGCATCCAGACAGAACAAGGAGTTGGGGTGAGATAGACACTGATCAGTTCTTCGTACTCTGTGTGTGAGAAGACAGCCTACAGCGGGGAAACTGCTAAACAGGGTACATGAAACTTCTCCTTACTGGAGAAGGGAACATCTAAATGGGAACATCCGTTAGAGAGTGCCAGAAGCAAACAATCATGTAAACAACAACAATAAAACTCACCCAGAGACAAGAGGGTTTCTGAGGCCACATTTCTGATTTCTTCAGTATCAGATTGACACAATGTCACCAGCATTTTAATGCTTTCAGTAGCCTATGGGGGAAAAATAGGTTAAATCGTGTTTTGACATTTAGGTCTAGAGTACCACGAGACTTGGCATTTCACAACTGGTGGGAACTTTAGCCTCACTTTGTTGCCCAGGCTGGAGTGCAATGGAGCAATCATAGCTCACTGCAGCCTTGACCTCCTGGGCTCAAGCAATTCTCCTGCCTCAGCCTCCTGAGTAGCCAGGACTGATTTTTAATTTTTAACCTTTGGTACAGATGAGGTCTCACTATGTTGCCCAGGCTAGTCGAATTCTTCTGCCTTGGCCTCCTAATGTGGTGGGATTACAGGTGTAAGCCACTGTGCCCGGCCAGCTGGTAGGAATGCTAAAAACCACTTTACCTATGGGGTCAAACCTAGCTGAGTGTCTGAAACCCAATATTCCTGGGTGCCACTCCGGATGCACTATATCAGAATTTCCTGGGATGGGGCCCAGAGTTCTTACTTTCAGGAATTCTGATGATCAGCTAAATTCCTCATTCCACAGCACACTCCTGGTCTAGAGGAGTGAAGTGACGAGCTTGCTTTTCCAGAGTAGAATCCATTTTCCCTGGTTCTTTCCACTGAATCTCACTGATTCCAAAATGGCTCTAATTAAAAAATTCTTACTATTTAGTTTATATGCTAAAATAGAGGAGGAGGTAAAGGCCATTAATGACAATTCTTCTATTTGTTTGTTCCACAAATATTTATTGAGCACTCCATGAACCAGACTATTCATAAGGCATGAGAGATTCCACAGTAAACCAGACATGGTTCTGGTCCTCAAGAATTTACAGTCTAGTGGATTCAGAGTATGAAAACCCATGCAGATCACTGTATCCTTATGTCTTTATTTACTTTGTCTGTATCACAGACATCTGTCACTGATATATCACTGGATATCAGGAAAGCACCCAAATAGCAATCACTGTGGGCTTTCTATTTGGGCACCTGAAGGTAATTTTTTTTTTAACCAAGTAACAAGGCAAAATTTCCTACAGCTGTTTCTTTTTTTTTCTTTGAGACAGAGTCTCATTCAGTCACCCAGACTGGAGTACAGTGGCGTGATCTTGGCTCACTGCAACTTCTGTCTCCTGGGTTCAAGCGATTCTCCTGCCTCAGCCTCCTGAGTAGCTGGGATTACAGGTGTGCGCCACCACGCCTGGCTAATTTTTGTGTTTTCAGTAAGGATGAGGTTTCACCATGTTGGCCAGGCTGGTCTCAAACTCCTGACCTCAGGTGATCCACCGGCCTCAGCCTCCCAAAGTGCTGGGATTACAGGCATGAGCCACCATGCCTGGCCCTAGAGCTGTTTTTGATCACAGGCCATTAACTTTTTCTTTTGAGGTATTAATTCCTTTCTTTATCAGGCCTGCAGCTCTTTTCCAAGATTTTGGCAAGTTCTAAGGTGTGGCCTTCTCTCATTCTTTTTTTTTTTTTTTTTTTTTTTTTTTGAGATGGAGTCTCTGTCGCCCAGGTTGGAGTGCAGTGGTGCAATCTTGGCTCACTGAAACCTCTGTCTCCTGGATTCAAGCGATTCTCCTGCCTCAGCCTCCCCAGTAGCTGGGATTACAGGTGTGTGCCACCATGCCTGGCTAATTTTTTTTGTATTTTTAGTAGAGACGGGGTTTCATCATGTTGACCAGGCTGGTCTCGATCTCCTGACCTCAAGTGATACGCCTGCCTCAGCCTTCCAAAGTGCTGGGATTACAGGCATGAGCCACTGCACCTGGCCTTCTCTCATTCTTTTCTCAAGACTGATTTGTCTTATTTTTTTGTGATGAAAGTAGGTCAAACATTACATCTTGCCATTGAAAGGGAAACATCCATGTCAGGAGTTCCCATTCGTTTAGTACTTTTTTTTTTTTTTTTTTCTTTTTTTTTTTTTTAATTATACTCTAAGTTTTAGGGTACATGTGCACATTGTGCAGGTTAGTTACATATGTATACATGTGCCATGCTGGTGCGCTGCATCCACTAATGTGTCATCTAGCATTAGGTATATCTCCCAATGCTATCCCTCCCCCCTCCCCCGACCCCACCACAGTCCCCAGAGTGTGATATTCCCCTTCCTGTGTCCATGTGATCTCATTGTTCAATTCCCACCTATGAGTGAGAATATGCGGTGTTTGGTTTTTTGTTCTTGCGATAGTTTACTGAGAATGATGGTTTCCATTTTCATCCATGTCCCTACAAAGGATATGAACTCATCATTTTTTATGGCTGCATAGTATTCCATGGTGTATATGTGCCACATTTTCTTAATCCAGTCTATCATTGTTGGACATTTGGGTTGGTTCCAAGTCTTTGCTATTGTGAATAGTGCCGCAATAAACATACGTGTGCATGTGTCTTTATAGCAGCATGATTTATACTCATTTGGGTATATACCCAGTAATGGGATGGCTGGGTCAAATGGTATTTCTAGTTCTAGATCCCTGAGGAATCGCCACACTGACTTCCACAATGGATGAACTAGTTTACAGTCCCACCAACAGTGTAAAAGTGTTCCTATTTCTCCGCATCCTCTCCAGCACCTGTTTCCTGACTTTTTAATGATTGCCATTCTAACTGGTGTGAGATGATATCTCATAGTGGTTTTGATTTGCATTTCTCTGATGGCCAGTGATGATGAGCATTTCTTCATGTGTTTTTTGGCTGCATAAATGTCTTCTTTTGAGAAGTGTCTGTTCATGTCCTTCGCCCACTTTTTGATGGGGTTGTTTGTTTTTTTCTTGTAAATTTGTTTGAGTTCATTGTAGATTCTGGATATTAGCCCTTTGTCAGATGAGTAGGTTGCGAAAATTTTCTCCCATGTTGTAGGTTGCCTGTTCACTCTGATGGTAGTTTCTTTTGCTGTGCAGAAGCTCTTTAGTTTAATTAGATCCCATTTGTCAATTTTGTCTTTTGTTGCCATTGCTTTTGGTGTTTTGGACATGAAGTCCTTGCCCACGCCTATGTCCTGAATGGTAATGCCTAGGTTTTCTTCTAGGGTTTTTATGGTTTTAGGTTTAACGTTTAAATCTTTAATCCATCTTGAATTGATTTTTGTATAAGGTGTAAGGAAGGCATCCAGTTTGAGCTTTCTACATATGGCTAGCCAGTTTTCCCAGCACCATTTATTAAATAGGGAATCCTTTCCCCATTGCTTGTTTTTCTCAGGTTTGTCGAAGATCAGATAGTTGTAGATATGCGGCATTATTTCTGAGGGCTCTGTTCTGTTCCATTGATCTATATCTCTGTTTTGGTACCAGTACCATGCTGTTTTGGTTACTGTAGCCTTGTAGTATAGTTTGAAGTCAGGTAGTGTGATGCCTCCAGCTTTGTTCTTTTGGCTTAGGATTGACTTGGCAATGCGGGCTCTTTTTTGGTTCCATATGAACTTTAAAGTAGTTTTTTCCAATTCTGTGAAGAAAGTCATTGGTAGCTTGATGGGGATGGCATTGAATCTGTAAATTACCTTGGGCAGTATGGCCATTTTCACGATATTGATTCTTCCTACCCATGAGCATGGAATGTTCTTCCATTTGTTTGTATCCTCTTTTATTTCCTTGAGCAGTGGTTTGTAGTTCTCCTTGAAGAGGTCCTTCACATCCCTTGTAAGTTGGATTCCTAGGTATTTTATTCTCTTTGAAGCAATTGTGAATGGGAGTTCACCCATGATTTGGCTCTCTGTTTGTCTGTTGTTGGTGTATAAGAATGCTTGTGATTTTTGTACATTGATTTTGTATCCTGAGACTTTGCTGAAGTTGCTTATCAGCTTAAGGAGATTTTGGGCTGAGACGATGGGGTTTTCTAGATAAACAATCATGTCGTCTGCAAACAGGGACAATTTGACTTCCTCTTTTCCTAATTGAATACCCTTTATTTCCTTCTCCTGCCTGATTGCCCTGGCCAGAACTTCCAACACTATGTTGAATAGGAGTGGTGAGAGAGGGCATCCCTGTCTTGTGCCAGTTTTCAAAGGGAATGCTTCCAGTTTTTGCCCATTCAGTATGATATTGGCTGTGGGTTTGTCATAGATAGCTCTTATTATTTTGAAATACGTCCCATCAATACCTAATTTATTGAGAGTTTTTAGCATGAAGGGTTGTTGAATTTTGTCAAAGGCTTTTTCTGCATCTATTGAGATAATCATGTGGTTTTTGTCTTTGGCTCTGTTTATATGCTGGATTACATTTATTGATTTGCGTATATTGAACCAGCCTTGCATCCCAGGGATGAAGCCCACTTGATCATGGTGGACAAGCTTTTTGATGTGCTGCTGAATTCGGTTTGCCAGTATTTTATTGAGGATTTTTGCATCAATGTTCATCAAGGATATTGGTCTAAAATTCTCTTTTTTGGTTGTGTCTCTGCCCGGCTTTGGTATCAGAATGATGCTGGCCTCATAAAATGAGTTAGGGAGGATTCCCTCTTTTTCTATTGATTGGAATAGTTTCAGAAGGAATGGTACCAGTTCCTCCTTGTACCTCTGGTAGAATTCGGCTGTGAATCCATCTGGTCCTGGACTCTTTTTGGTTGGTAAACTATTGATTATTGCCACAATTTCAGAGCCTGTTATTGGTCTATTCAGAGATTCAACTTCTTCCTGGTTTAGTCTTGGGAGAGTGTATGTGTCGAGGAATGTATCCATTTCTTCTAGATTTTCTAGTTTATTTGCGTAGAGGTGTTTGTAGTATTCTCTGATGGTAGTTTGTATTTCTGTGGGATCGGTGGTGATATCCCCTTTATCATTTTTTATTGTGTCTATTTGATTCTTCTCTCTTTTTTTCTTTATTAGTCTTGCTAGCGGTCTATCAATTTTGTTGATCCTTTCAAAAAACCAGCTCCTGGATTCATTGATTTTTTGAAGGGTTTTTTGTGTCTCTATTTCCTTCAGTTCTGCTCTGATTTTAGTTATTTCTTGCCTTCTGCTAGCTTTTGAATGTGTTTGCTCTTGCTTTTCTAGTTCTTTTAATTGTGATGTTAGGGTGTCAATTTTGGATCTTTCCTGCTTTCTCTTGTAGGCATTTAGTGCTATAAATTTCCCTCTACACACTGCTTTGAATGCGTCCCAGAGATTCTGGTATGTGGTGTCTTTGTTCTCGTTGGTTTCAAAGAACATCTTTATTTCTGCCTTCATTTCGTTATGTACCCAGTAGTCATTCAGGAGCAGGTTGTTCAGTTTCCATGTAGTTGAGCGGCTTTGAGTGAGATTCTTAATCCTGAGTTCTAGTTTGATTGCACTGTGGTCTGAGAGATAGTTTGTTATAATTTCTGTTCTTTTACATTTGCTGAGGAGAGCTTTACTTCCAACTATGTGGTCAATTTTGGAATAGGTGTGGTGTGGTGCTGAAAAAAATGTATATTCTGTTGATTTGGGGTGGAGAGTTCTGTAGATGTCTATTAGGTCTGCTTGGTGCAGAGCTGAGTTCAATTCCTGGGTATCCTTGTTGACTTTCTGTCTCGTTGATCTGTCTAATGTTGACAGTGGGGTGTTAAAGTCTCCCATTATTAATGTGTGGGAGTCTAAGTCTCTTTGTAGGTCACTGAGGACTTGCTTTATGAATCTGGGTGCTCCTGTATTGGGTGCATAAATATTTAGGATAGTTAGCTCCTCTTGTTGAATTGATCCCTTTACCATTATGTAATGGCCTTCTTTGTCTCTTTTGATCTTTGTTGGTTTAAAGTCTGTTTTATCAGAGACTAGGATTGCAACCCCTGCCTTTTTTTGTTTTCCATTGGCTTGGTAGATCTTCCTCCATCCTTTTATTTTGAGCCTATGTGTGTCTCTGCACGTGAGATGGGTTTCCTGAATACAGGACACTGATGGGTCTTGACTCTTTATCCAACTTGCCAGTCTGTGTCTTTTAATTGCAGAATTTAGTCCGTTTATATTTAAAGTTAATATTGTTATGTGTGAATTTGATCCTGTCATTATGATGTTAGCTGGTGATTTTGCTCATTAGTTGATGCAGTTTCTTCCTAGTCTCGATGGTCTTTACATTTTGGCATGATTTTGCAGCGGCTGGTACCGGTTGTTCCTTTCCATGTTTAGCGCTTCCTTCAGGAGCTCTTTTAGGGCAGGCCTGGTGGTGACAAAATCTCTCAGCATTTGCTTGTCTATAAAGTATTTTATTTCTCCTTCACTTATGAAGCTTAGTTTGGCTGGATATGAAATTCTGGGTTGAAAATTCTTTTCTTTAAGAATGTTGAATATTGGCCCCCACTCTCTTCTGGCTTGTAGGGTTTCTGCCGAGAGATCCGCTGTTAGTCTGATGGGCTTTCCTTTGAGGGTAACCCGACCTTTCTCTCTGGCTGCCCTTAACATTTTTTCCTTCATTTCAACTTTGGTGAATCTGACAATTATGTGTCTTGGAGTTGCTCTTCTCGAGGAGTATCTTTGTGGCGTTCTCTGTATTTCCTGAATCTGAACGTTGGCCTGCCTTGCTAGATTGGGGAAGTTCTCCTGGATAATATCCTGCAGAGTGTTTTCCAACTTGGTTCCATTCTCCACATCACTTTCAGGTACACCAATCAGACGTAGATTTGGTCTTTTCACATAGTCCCATATTTCTTGGAGGCTTTGCTCATTTCTTTTTATTCTTTTTTCTCTAAACTTCCCTTCTCGCTTCATTTCATTCATTTCATCTTCCATTGCTGATACCCTTTCTTCCAGTTGATCGCATCGGCTCCTGAGGCTTCTGCATTCTTCACGTAGTTCTCGAGCCTTGGTTTTCAGCTCCATCAGCTCCTTTAAGCACTTCTCTGTATTGGTTATTCTAGTTATACATTCTTCTAAATTTTTTTCAAAGTTTTCAACTTCTTTGCCTTTGGTTTGAATGTCCTCCCGTAGCTCAGAGTAATTTGATCGTCTGAAGCCTTCTTCTCTCAGCTCGTCAAAATCATTCTCCATCCAGCTTTGTTCTGTTGCTGGTGAGGAACTGCGTTCCTTTGGAGGAGGAGAGGCGCTCTGCGTTTTAGAGTTTCCAGTTTTTCTGTTCTGTTTTTTCCCCATCTTTGTGGTTTTATCTACTTTTGGTCTTTGATGATGGTGATGTACAGATGGGTTTTCGGTGTAGATGTCCTTTCTGGTTGTTAGTTTTCCTTCTAACAGACAGGACTCTCAGCTGCAGGTCTGTTGGAATACCCTGCCGTGTGAGGTGTCAGTGTGCCCCTGCTGGGGGGTGCCTCCCAGTTAGGCTGCTCGGGGGTCAGGGGTCAGGGACCCACTTGAGGAGGCAGTCTGCCCGTTCTCAGATCTCCAGCTGCGTGCTGGGAGAACCACTGCTCTCTTCAAAGCTGTCAGACAGGGACACTTAAGTCTGCAGAGGTTACTGCTGTCTTTTTGTTTGTCTGTGCCCTGCCCCCAGAGGTGGAGCCTACAGAGGCAGGCAGGCCTCCTTGAGCTGTGGTGGGCTCCACCCAGTTCGAGCTTCCCGGCTGCTTTGTTTACCTAAGCAAGCCTGGGCAATGGCGGGCGCCCCTCCCCCAGCCTCGTTGCCGCCTTGCAGTTTGATCTCAGACTGCTGTGCTAGCAATCAGCGAGATTCCGTGGGCGTAGGACCCTCTGAGCCAGGTGTGGGATATAGTCTCGTGGTGCGCCGTTTCTTAAGCCGGTCTGAAAAGCGCAATATTCGGGTGGGAGTGACCCGATTTTCCAGGTGCGTCCGTCACCCCTTTCTTTGACTCGGAAAGGGAACTCCCTGACCCCTTGCGCTTCCCAGGTGAGGCAATGCCTCGCCCTGCTTCGGCTCGCACACGGTGCGCACACACACTGGCCTGCGCCCACTGTCTGGCACTCCCTAGTGAGATGAACCCGGTACCTCAGATGGAAATGCAGAAATCACCCGTCTTCTGCGTCGCTCACGCTGGGAGCTGTAGACCGGAGCTGTTCCTATTCGGCCATCTTGGCTCCTCCTCGGTGGTATTATTGTTCCGTTTAGTACTTGTTTACATTCTAGCTCTCTCCCTGCTCACGACACCTCCTTATGACAATCAAAACTGGTTCTCTGCTTAATAAAGAGAGCTTGCGGGGAAGGATCTGGGAATTCAGTGGCATACTGAATTTAGTACTTCTTTTCAAATCTTATTTGTCCTTGCTTTTTGTTGTTCACAATAAAAATGAGTGAAATCACCATACATCTCATCTCCCTTTTAAAATAAGATATACTTTCCTTTTCTCTCTCTCTCTCTTTTTTTTTGAGACAGAGTCTGGCTCTGCCACCCAGGCTGGAGTACAATGGCACAATCTTGGCTCACTGCAACTTCCTGGGTTCAAGCAATTCTCCCTCCTCAGCCTCCTGAGTAGCTGGGATTACAGGCACCTGCCATCATGCCCAGCTAGTTTTTGTATTTTTGTAGAGATGAGGTTTCACCATGTTGGCCAGGTTGATCTCAAACTCCTGACCTCAGGTGATCCACCGGCCTCGGCCTCCCAAAATGCTGGGATTACAGGCATGAGCCACTGTGCCGGCTAATAAGATGTACTTTTCTAATACTGACCTAAAGGCAAACTGGTTCCCTTGGGCTAGTGCAAAACATGATTGCTTTCTGCCACTTATTGACTTTAACAAAACAAAGTCACATGTAATTACTGTTTAAGGGAGAAAAATACTAAAACTAACATACGGTGCAAAGAAGACAAGAAATACTGCTAAAAAAGTACTTTCAAACATGAAAGAAAAGCTGTTATATACACTCAGCTTAGCCTGGCTCCAAGCTGAGCTGCCAGGGGAGCTCCAAGGCTGGGCTTTACCTCAAGGATTTTCAGAGCCAGGCAAGCTGCTTTCTGGAGCTGGAGGTTTGTCTTTGTTAGTGCTTCACAGTAATAGAGCAAGGCCTGAAAGAGAAGGAGGGACCTCATGAAGGCATTTTGGTTTGTTCGTAGTTTAAGAGGTATACCTCATTCTTACTCTCTGAGATAAACTATAGCATATAACCTACACATTTTGCACTACCTTCAGAGCAAGAAAAAAAAAGCCATTGAAATTCATATTAATTAAAAGAGTCGTTTATTCAATAAATTGATCCCTTATGTTCTCCTAGATCTACTATGACTCTAGGAGAACATAAGGGATCAATTTATTGAGTAACATAATGACCGTGGGCTTTTATTGGCCACCTAAAGGTAATTTTTTAAACCAAGTAACGAGGAAGGCAAAATTTCTCAGAGCTGTTTTTGATCCCAGATCATTAACTTTTTCTTTTAAGGTGTTAATCCCTTTCTTTATGTCCCATCATAAAGGCCTGCAAGCTCCTGCCCCTTGTCTCATGTGTCATTCCAAGATTTGAAATATTCTCCTAGAGTCCATGACTCTAGGAGAATATAAGGGATCAATTTATTAAATAAAATTGGGAGAGAGTTATGATTCTGGCTTTTAAGGAGCCCTTAGATGTAGTAGAAATGCTAAGACTGTTTAGAAGGAACTGAAGAGAAGAAATGTATTAGGTCCCATAAGAAATCTACAAGGTAAGTCAGTCACTTGGAGAAGAGACATCTTACGGAGTGCCAGGGTAAGTTTCACAAAAATGTTTGAACTGGAATGGAAATGATGGCTTAGATTTCAGTAGGGAAGTTGATTGAAAAAAAGGTATTCAGTCAGAAATAAGGAAGACAGGAGGAGGCAGTACATTCCAGTGAGGAGGGTGGTAATGTCAGTTTGAGATTTGCTGAGTTTGATACATGGCAAATGAATGCTCTGTTTAAAAAATCTCTGCATAAAAGTACATTATCTTTTTTTTTTTTGAGACAGAATCTCGCTCTGTGGCCCAGGCTGGAGTGCAGTGGTGTGATCTCGGCTCACTGTAACCTCCATCTCCCGGGTTCAAGAGATTCTCCTACCTCGATTACAGGTGCCCACCACCACGCCCAGCTAATTTTTTTTTTTTTTTTTTTTAGTGGAGACAGGATTTTACCATATTGGCCAGGCTGGTCTTGAATTCCTGACCTTGTGATCCGCCCACCTCGGCCTCCCAAAGTGTTGGGATTACAGGCGTGAGCTACTGCACCCGGCCAATTGTCTTATTTTTACCAAGCTAATTTCTTCCTAAATGGTTGATAAAATGTGTAGTACTTAACATTAATTCAAATGAATAAGAATCACTATATGTCATATTGGTTCATAGGAAACTTAATTACTCTTGAAGAGAATTGAGGGTGGAAAGAGAGGACTAACTTTTGATTTTGTTGGGCTATATTGTGCATTTCTTGCTATTTGTCTGAATTACTTTTATTTTCTATTTTTATTTATTTATTTATTTTTGGAGATGGAGTTTCACTCTTATTGCCCAGGCTGGAGTGCAATGGCACAAACTTGGCTCACTGCAACCTCCGCCTCCCGGGTTCAAGCGATTCTCCTGCCTCAGCCTCCCTAGTAGCTGGGATTACAGGCGGATGCTATGATGCCCAGCTAATTTTTGTATTTTTAGTAGAGACAGGGTTTCACCACGTTGGCCAGGCTGATCTCAAACTCCTGACCTTGTGATCCGTCCGCCTCGGCCTCCCAGAGTGCTGGGATTACAGGCGTGAGCCACTGCACACGGCCCCTGTTTTCTCAGTTTTATAGGACAATTCCATTTAAAAAAATTGAAAATATAATTTATATACCATAATATTTAGACTACAGCATGTATAATTCAATGGTTTTTAGTATATTCACAAATCATCCCCATCATCTGATTTCAGAATATTTTCATTACCCCAAAAAGAAATCCTGTACCCATTAGTAGTCATTCCCAAGACCCTTTCTCTCCAGTCGCTGGCAACCACTAATCTACTCTCCATTACTATGGATTTGCCTACTTTGGACATTTCATATAAATGAATTCACACAATATGTAGCCTCCTATGTCTTGCTCTTTCATTTGGCATAGTATCTTCAAGGCTCATCTAGGTTGAAGGATGTATTAGGATTGCATTTCTTTTTATGGCCAAAAAATATTCCATTATATGGCTAGACCACATTTTATTTATTCACCAGTTGATGAACCTTCAGATTGTTTCTACTTTTTGGTTATTATGAATAATGCTGCTATGAACATCTGTGTACAAGGTTTTTTTGTGTGGACATATGGTTTAACACTCTTTTTTTTTTTTTTTTTTTTTTTGAGAGAGTCTCTCTTGGTAACCCAGGCTGGAGTACAGTGGCACCATCTCAGCTCACTGCAAACTCCGCCTCCTGGGTTCAAGCCATACGCCCACCTTAGCCTCCTGAGTAGCTGGGATTATAGGTGCCTGCCACCACACCCGGCTAATTTTTGTATTTTTAGTACGGATGGGGTTTCACTATGTTGGCCAGGCTGGTCTTGAACTCCTGACCTCAGATGATCTGCCCTCCTCAGCCTCCCAAAGTTCTGGGATTACAGGCGTGAGCCACCGCGCCCAGCCAGTTTAACACTGTTTTTTTTTTTTTTTGAGATGGAGTGTTGCTCTTGTTGCCCAGGCTGGAGTGCAATGGTGCAATCTCGGCTCACTGCAACCTCTGCCTCCCGGGTTCAAGCGATTCTCCTGCCTCAGCCTCCCAAGTAGCTGGGATTACAGGCATGCTCCACCATGCCCAGCTAATTTTTTGTATTTTTAGTAGAGATGGGGTTTCTCCATGTTGGTCAGGCTGGTCTCAAACTCCCGACCTCAGGTGATGCGCCCGCCTCGGCCTCCCAAAGTGCTGGGATTACAGGCGTGAGCCACAGTGCCCAGCTCTGTGGCTTAACACTCTTAAAGTTTTAACACTCTTAAAGGAAACAAAGATATGCAGTATAGGTTATTACAGCAAGAACAAAAGCAGTAACAGTAACTAGCTCTTTACTAGACCTAAATAGTTAGAGCCTGGGCTTTGGCTTTTGAAAACCTCTCTCTGGCTTGCCTTTTGGCCTCTACTCACTTGAGGGTGAGCAGCCAAAAGGGGAGGAAATAAGCCTCAATCCACAAGTGGGCAGCTACACAGGGACTAGCCTCCAGTACAAAAGGAACAAGGTGACTGTCCCTGAAGTGCCACTTGCCATCAACCCCCTCCAAAGCTACCATTTCCAGAGGTGGATATACACCAAGGTCATCTTTAGCATTTCATCCCTATTGAAGCATTGTTATAATGCAAACATGCCCGAGAGGAAGGACAATTTAAGTTGTGATCACCCATTTAAGTCTTGGAATATGTGGTTTTGGTAAGGGGTAAACCTATGGTTTGATAGTTAGCCTTCAAGTCCCTTGATATGAGTAAAAGAGGGAAATGGCAGGAGTTCAAGGCTGTAGTGAGCTATGATTGCACCACCTGGGTGGTGCATGTCCAGCTTGTGTAACAAAGTAGGATCCCGCCATTAAAATCCAAAACAAACCTGAGAGACAGAGAAATGGGCAGGGGAAAATAGAGAGGAGTCTTGTGCTGAAGTTCATCTACTTTATAATTTTAACAAGGGCTGGCCCTGGAGGTCAGAAACCAATCGATGGTGTCTGTGCAAAATGCTGAGTCATAATTCATTTAGTTTGATTATGTTGGTGGAAATATTTGTCTCCCTCATTTCAGGAACACAAATATTGTAACCATGTGTGTAAATATATCTGAAAATATCAATTCACTTGTCCCATGAAGAGATGACTAGGTACTTGTTAGGTGCCAAGCTAACATGCTAGGTGATAGGGCAAACCTGTCTATGTTAACTTCAGAGATGATAGCTGACCCTGTTAATTTTGGGGTTACTGAATAGGTTGCTCACTTTACGTATTTATTTATTTTTATTTATTTATTTATTTTTTGAGACAGAGTTCTTGCTCTTGTCACCCAGGCTGGAGTGCAATGGTGCGATCTCAGGTCACTGCAACCTTCGCCTCCTGAGTTCAAGCAATTCTCCTGCCTCAGCCTCCCGAGTAGCTGGGACTACAGGTGCCCACCACCACGCCCAGCTAATTTTTTGTATTTTTAGTAGAGATGGAGTTTCACTATATTGGCCAGGCTGGTCTCGAAGTCCTGGCCTCAGGTGATCCACCCGCCTCGGCTTCCCAAAGTGTTGGGATTACAGGCGTGAGCCACTGCGCCCGGCCTATTTATTTATTGTTAAATGCCTGTTGAGTCATAAGGTTGCTCACTTTAGTTTGAGTGGTTGCCTAAGAATTGGTGGCTGCTTAGATTCATAACAATTCCAGGAAGCAAACAGAAGGCACATTATAAAGCCAGAAGCCCCTGTCACCATGCAGAGGCCACCAGCATCTCCTCTGACCAGTCCTGGATAATTAAAGAAGCAACCACATCTGAATGCAACAGTATAGTTGGAGGACAGTGGATATTTCCTACTTGTCTAGGTGTGGGGAAAAGCATAAAATAATGAACCAACACACACAACTTTTATTTTGTCTCAATAGCTATGATCCTTGAAGCAAGGTTCCGGGTTTACAGTGACACCAGCTCTCACAGAGGCATTTTTGTGTTGCTTTAGTGCTTTGCATCTAGTTTTAAGAACTTAATGTAATAACTTTTGCTATTCCATATAAGAAAATATGGAAAGGGTTCAGGCTTTGGGAGTCAAACATTTCTAGGTAGTAATCCAAATTCTGTTACTTAACTAGTCTTAGTCAAGTTTAACTCCTTGGAGGCTCAGTTTCCTAATCCATAAAGTGGGATCATAGCATCGACCTTGTTAGAGATAAGACAGCTAAGTGATGCTGCACGGTGCCTGGTGTTTAGGAAGTACACAGTACTTGACAGGTATTATTTCTTGTTTTTCTGACTACTGGAAACTCTTCAAGGGTAAGGACTGCTTTTCCTTTATTTCTACAGTGTCCACAAAACCCTCCATATAATACCAGGGACACAGTAGTCACATAATGAAGGTTTAGTCATGAAATATGAATTTGAGGGAATAAACATGAGAGCTGAATTGGAATAACAAGAGAATATTTCACCTGTGGCTAATGCCCTAAAAGTAAAAGATGCATATAGAATAGCCAAAGGAAGGCTATGTCTTACCTGTTGTTATTTCTTTTTTATTTTTTTATTTTCTGAG
Source organism: Homo sapiens (assembly GCF_000001405.40). NCBI lineage: Eukaryota > Metazoa > Chordata > Mammalia > Primates > Hominidae > Homo > Homo sapiens. The sequence goes on from NC_000006.12 coordinate 24,823,779, forward strand.
ATGGAGTCTCGCTCTGTCACCCAGCTGGAGTCCAGTGGCGCAATCTCGGCTCACTGCAGCCTCCACCTCCTGGGTTCAAGTCATTCTCCTGCCTCAGCCTCCTGAGTAGCTGGGATTACAAGCATGTGCCACTAGGCCTGGCTAATTTTTGTATTTTTAGTAGAGACAGGGTTTCCCCATGTTGGCCAGGCTGGTCTCAAACTCCTGACCTCAGGTGATCCACCCACCTCGGCCTCCCAAAGTGTTGGGATTACAGGTGTGAGCCACCGCGCCTGGGCCCCTGTTGCTATTTCTAAGGGCACATTTCGAACACTGGCCCCTCAGTGTGACTAAAGAGTATCACAGACCTGCTCCCCATAAACTGCACACTCAGATGCGTATATATCCTGCTACCAGCATGTTCACGATTCTTTAATTTTCCTTCTCTCTTTTTGGTAGGAGGTGAGAGTGGTCAGCCCACAGAACAGCTTTTTGAGCTAATTCCACTGAAAGATCATAACTGTGTAGCAAAGAACTACATAGAGTTCACCCTTTTGGACCAAAATGGCGTTAGAGTGGATTATTTTCTTGTGAGTACACAAACGTTCCATTACATATTAGCTTAGGCAGTGCCTTAGACAAGTTAAACAAACGGAGTTCAACATGGGACCTTTTCAAGGACAAGGAGAGGCCATGTTTAACTTTCTTGAGCTGATCTGGATTTTGATGAGAGTTAGTTTTTAGAATGACAGTATAAATTGTAAAGGGCTCCCAGGGGACCAATTCCTCTTGTATGAGCCAATGTACTTAAACTACAGATTCCTGTTCCATCTGGATGGCTATTGAATTAAAGCTGAGGGAGAGATAAATTACCTCTTCCCTGGAAGTAAGAGTGATGGCTTTTAAAATTAAAAATATTCCAGCTCTTTCAGCCAATAGTTAGATTACTTGACCCCAAACTGCTCATAAGACATGCCTGTGTGCACACACATATACACACACATATGTTCACCATAATATTTTTAGAGTTGGACACTATACAAATGCCCACCAATACACAGTAAGAAAATAAATTCTAGGATATTCATACATGGACATGCCATTCATCCATAAATATAATGAAGTAGATCAATATGTTCTATCGAGGAAAGAAAATAACCATGATATATTACATTTAAAAATCCATTATGAAATAGGATAGTGTGATCTCATTTTAAAAATTATGTATGTTAGCATATATATAGATACAATCTGAAAGAAGAGGCAGTATGTTATTAATAGTTTTCTCTGGGGGCTGGACTTAAGGGGTACTTATCTATATTTCTTTAGTTTTGATTGCTTTATGGAGCACACATTATTAATACGCAGAAAAATTATTTTTATAAAGGAATAAATGCTAAAATATTAGTAGTAAATGATAGGAAATTAAACCAGCTTCTGGCTTGATGGCCATGGTTTAGTGTCTTACCTTTTCCCTGAAATGCTGATTTTTGGAGGCTGCTGCCAAGTAAAGCGTCACAGCCTCACTAACTTCGTTGTCCTCTCTGGTTAATAGCAGAGCCAGAGTCCTGAGTACTTCCTGCTGGGCCAGGAGGTTGCTGGGAGCAAGGTCACTCATGGTTTGTAGCAGTTTTTCATCTCTTAGTGATTGCAGAGTCTGAACCATGGAAACTGGAGGGTAAGAAGGAAGGAGATTTCATGTTCTGACATGCTAAAGTAATCAGCTCATTACAAATATAAATAGAACTCAAGTACATAAGAAAGTATAGTATAGTAACTCCAATACATATGAAAAATTAGCATCTGATAAAGATGGTATTTCAGATTGGTGAGAAAAGGACAGACTATGCAAATAACTACATTATAGTGATGGGCAAAACACATGGGAAAAAGTGAAGGTGGGTTTCTATCTCATAATGGCTACAAAAATAACTTACAGGTGAATTAGCCCAAGGTAAAAATATACAGAAGAAAATACAATTAGACATTTTTTACAATCTTCCTAATATATGTATGGCAGACTTAATTGCTCCTCTTTTAGTCAAACCTGTCTGGCAAAACCCCAATCCTGGGTGAACCCAGTGCAAAAACCAAGTCTGCACTGAGGCAACTGGGCCCCGATGGAGCAACCTATCTATCTATTTATTTATTTATTTAATGTTTTTCTCTTTTTTTTTTTTTTTTTGAGACAGAGTCTCTTTCTTGTTGTCCAGGCTGGAGTGCAAATGGTGTGATCTCGGTTCACTGCAACCTCCACCTCCTAGGTTCAAGTGATTCTCCTGCCTCAGCCTCCCAAGTAGCTGGGATTATAGGCGCATGCCACCACGCCTGGCTAATTGTTGTATTTTTAGTAGAGATGGGGTTTCACCATGTTGGCCAGGCTGGTCTCAAACTCCCGACCTCAAGTGATCCACCCGCCTTGGACTCCCAAAGTGCTAGGATTACAGGTGTAAGCCACCTTGCCTGGCCAGAGCAACCCATTTTGTTGGTTGGAATAGGAAGACAATATTAAAAAATAAGGTTTTGAGTCCCATTTGGACAAATTAACCATGTTCCATGAATAAAGAGTATACTCTACTCCCTAACCAGAAATCCAGCATGATCAACCATTAGTCACAAAAACACTGGGATGAGAATATGTCTGGTCAGTACAAATGGAAAAATAAAAGCCAAAATTCATGCTCCATGAATAAAGCAACATTCTCTACACAGTAGACAAATTTGTGATTTATTTAGATTTTTTTTTTTTGCTTAATTTCCTATTTTCCTTGCTGTGAATGCTCTATCAATTTCACTGCTTTGTAAATAAACACCCTAGTAAAAAGCCTGAAAGGAAGCATTATGGATTATAACATCTAAATTAACAAATCACAGAAAATAGCCTAAATGCCCAACAATATAATCAAATACATTAGTATACATTCAAATGCGGAACTATTAATCTCATAACTAATATAATCTAATACAAATGCTTTCAAAGAATAAGATAGAACATAATATCAAATAAAAAACAGGATCAATACTCTATAAGGCATAATTACAATTTGGAATGTAAAACCCATGTACATTCAACTGAAAAATGCATTCAATTTAAAAAGTAAGAGGAGAGATTGGAATTTCTTTCTTTATACTTCTCTGTTTACATTTTTTTTTTTAATAATGAAGGCTTTTCCCTTTTATAATGAAAGAAAAAAGACACTTAAAATGTTAAAGGTTTTTTTCATTGTCATTCCCCATTGTTGTTAGTAAATGAGTAGGCCTTCTTGGGGACCGTGTAATAAGAGCCTAGAGATGTAAACTGCCACTGATGCAAACTGAGTAATATAAACATTTTCTCAGAAAATGGATTTAGATTGGGACAAATTTAGTATCAATAAATGAAGACTATAATATTATAAAATAAGACTTTGTGGTCCTAAAACAAGGTCTTTCTGCCCATGCTTTCTCTTCCTGGTCCTCTGTGCTGGTGTCTGCCTTGTAAGGGGTTATGCACAGACTCTCTCCCATGCTCCGTGCTGGTACAGTGCTGGGTGAAGGAAGATTTTTCTTCCTTCACTATGATGCCACCCAATGTGCTGACTGTGTTGTTGCAGGATTTGATGTTCTGGAGAGAGAAGGGGTAAGCCTGGGCTTGCGCCAGACATGTTGCTGCTGCCTGGTGCCGTGCCAGACTCACCTAGCTCCAAAGAACACACCTCATTCCTCTTGTCCCTTTTAACCTGCATTGGTCAAGGCTCTGTGGATTTATAAAGCACAAACCTGGGAACCAGAAACCAGCCCCTCACTACCTGGCTCCACTCCCAAAGTGGAGTTTTCACTTGATTTAGATTGCTATTTTATTTCCAGTCTCTGAAGGGCCGTGTGGAATGGCAAGAACCAGCTTCATTGCTGCATGCCTGCACTGGCAGCTGTTCTTGTACCCTGGACATGGAGCCCTGGAGTTAGTTTTCCACCTTTTCCTCCTTTCCCTTCCCACCATGTTACCTACCTGCCTTCTTTGAAACCCCATTTCTTCCTATTATTAATGAAAGCCTCACCAAAAAGGGCAATATAAAATAGTATTGCCTGTAGGATTGATCCGACTAATGGCAAATACATTACTGAAGGAAATAAATTACAGTGAAAGCTTAAATCATTTACCAGCTTCCTGTAAATGGTACCTCTCTGCCAGATGATTGAGTTGCTCCTAGTGAATCCCTGGTTCATTAACAAGGGGCTCACTAATGTTAAAAGTCCAAAAGTCACTTAAAAGGCAAATTGCACCTCTACTGTGGACTTGAAAAATAAAAGGCCATCATTGCCAAAAGCCATGATTTAAAAGAGCAGAGATAACGCCAAATTGAGCCACCACTACAATGTGACAAAAGAACATGTCCCACCTTGCCTGGCCAGCTGGCTCAGGTAACTCTCCAGGTCACTGACGCCGTGGCTGGTGAAGTAACTGTAATACTGGAAAACAGTGACGACTTCCGAGGACAGGCTGGAGGAAAGCAGAGGCTCAGCCCGGTCCAGAATTTGGGACACCAGGGTTCGAAACACTATTCGGAAGGGAAAGACACAAAGCAGCTTTAGATAGATGACCATTCATTCATTCATTCATTCAATAATTTTTATTTTTATTTTTATTTTAGAGACAGGGTCTCACTTTGTTGCCCAGGTTGGTCTCAAACTCCTGGGCTCAAGCAGTCCTCCTGCCTCAGTTTCCCAAGTAGATGGAATTGCAGGCATGAGCCATCACACCTGGCTCAATAAGTTGTTTATCTTTTATTGTGGTTGAAGATAGAGTGAAGTAGTAAAGTAAGCAGCTGGATGGTTTTGCACATGTGCACACCTGTGTAACTGCCATTTAGATCAAGATATGGAAGACGGCCTGCATTCCATAAGGTTTTCTTGTGCCCCTTCCCAGTCTATAGCTACCCTTCCCTTCCCTTATATATAAAATATATAATGAATAAATATTATATATGTGTGTGTAGGAGAGAGATAAAAAGGAGGAGGAAGAGACAAGTGAGAGAGGAAAAGAGAAGGAAGGAAGGAAAGAAGGAAGGAAGAATGAAGGGAAGAGAAAGAAAGGGAAGGGCACAAATAGGCAACTAACAATCTGACTTCTATCAACATAAATTAGTTTCACCTGTTCTTGAACTTCATGTAAATGGAATTATATAGTATGTACTTTTGGTGTCTTTTTCCTTTTACACAACAAAGTATCTGTGAGAATCATTCAAATTATTGATTATAGCAACAATGTGTTCTTTTTAAAAATTGCTGGCCCAGGGCCAGACACAGTGGCTGACACCTGTAATCCCAGCACTTTGGGAGGCTGAGGCAGGTGAATCACCTGAGGTCAGGAGTTCAAGACCAGCCTGGCAACATGGCGGAACCCTGTTTCTACTAAAAATATAAAAATTAGCTGGTCATGGTGGCATGTGCCTGTAATCACAGCTACTGGGTGGGGCTGAGGCAGGAGGATCGCTTGAACCTGGGAGGCGAAGGTTGCAGTGAGCTGAGATCGCGCCATTGCACTCCGGCCTGGGCAACAGAGCGAGACTCCATCTCAAAATAAATAAATTAATTAATTAAAAAAAATTGCTGGCCCAGTGTAGTGGCTCACAACTGTAATTCCGGCACTTTGGGAGGCCAAGGGAGGATTGCTTGAGCCCAGGAGTTCAAGACCAGCCTGGGCAAGAGACTGAAACCCTGTCTCTACTAAAAGTACAAAAATTGGCCAGGCATGTTGGCATCTATCTACAGTCCCAGTACAAAAGGGGAAGAGGCAGGAGAATCTCCTGAGCCCAGGAGATTGAGGCTGCAGTGAGCTGTTAAAACATCACTGCGTTCCCCCTGGATGACAGGGTGAGACCTTGTCTGTATTTTGTTTTTAAAAATTGCTGTGTAATACTCTATGCTATGAGTATATTACAATTTATCCATTCTCTTGTGGGCATTTAGGTTGTTTCCAATTTTTGGCTCTTGTGAGTAAAGCTGGTAGGAACCTTCATATAAATGTCCTTTCTTGTGAACATAGCACTTTATCTGTCTTTACATATTTAGGAATGAATGTGCTGGATCCAACGGTAGGGGGTATATTGAGCTTTAGTAGAAACTGCCAAACAGTTTTTCCAAAGTGATCATACCATTTGACACTCTCGTACTGGTGAAATTGTAATGAAAGAAGTATACACATAGAAATAACAATACATAAGAATGTAGTAGCTTTATTATTATTGAGATGGAGTCTCAGTCTGTCAGCTGGGCTGGAATGCAGTGGCGTGATCTCAGCTCACTGCAACCTCTGCCTCCCAGGTTCAAGCGATTCTCCTCCCTCAGTCTCCCAAGTAGCTGGGATTACAGGTGTGGGCTACCACGCCCGGCTAATTTTTGTATTTTTAGTAGAGATGGAGTTTTGTCATGTTGGCCAGGCTGGTCTCGAACTCCTGACCTCAGGTGATCCACCTGTCTCCGTCTCCCAAAGTGCTGGGATAACTGACGTGAGCCACTGCGCCTGGCCAAAATGTAGTAGCTTTAAATGTCACTGCTGATATTCTGAATTAAAACAGTTCAACACTTTCTTTTCTTAAATCTGAGTAGATGATGTTTTCCCTGGACAGTACACTTCTTTTTTCAGGGATGGCCTTTTGTGTGTTTCCCATCTGCAGGCAAGTGGTAGGAGGACCCCTCTCCCCCGACCCCCACCCCAATGCCCACTCTCACACTGAAGGACAGAAATTCTCTCTCTACTGCTGCCTCATACCTGGGTCTGCAAGTCCTGGATATTCTTTGTTGACAGTTCTGGCAAAGCTGGCCTCCAGCTGCTTCATCACTCTGTCCGCTGGGCTGTGGTAGACACCAACAGGGCTGCAGCACTTGGTCCAGAATGACAGCAAAGACAGCTTTTTGTGAAATTCTGGTATGGCTGGAAAAGAAGAGCAACCCCCCATCTCGTAACACATTTTATTTTATTTTATTTTATTTTTTTGAGACAGAGTCTTGCTTTGTTACCCAGGCTGGAGTGCAATGGCATGATCTCAGCTCACTGGAACTTCCGCCTCCTGGGTTCAAGTGATTCTCTTGCCTGAGCTTCCCAAGTAGCAGGGATTACAAGCATGCACCACCACACCTGGCTAATTTTTGTATTTTTAGTAGAGATGAGGTATTACCATGTTGGTCAGGCTGGTCTCGAACTCCTGTCCTCAAGCAAACCACCCACTTCGGCCTCCCAAAGTGCTGGGATTATAAGCGTGAGCCACCACGCCTGGCCATAACATTTTAAATGAAGCAGATGAAGACGTGTTGGGGAAAGGGTGTGTATGTGGGGGGTCTTTAGGGACTTTTTTTCTCCCCATAAGACTGTGGTTAGTTTTCAGATGGAACTAGCAGATTCCTGTGTGGTCAGCAGATGGCCCGAAGGGTAAAGAAGTTATGACGAGGAACTCATCCTGCTTGGGGAGCAAAGAAAATAGAGCAAAAACAAGTTCGTTTGCTGTGAGTGATAGGAAATACAGGAGCTCTACCCTTGGGCAGCATTCCAAACTTGTGATTTCCTATAACTCCACAGCAGAAATCATACAGGATCAAGGACTCAAACTGGAGGAGAGTTTCCTGAAGGGGATGGGAGGTAGCAGCAGGTGGCTGGAGGAAATTTTTACCCTGCCCAGGTGGTTCCCTGACTGAAATGACTGAACAGCATGGTACCAGGTGGGACAGGAACAATGTTTCACTTGAATGTGTCATGATCATGAGGAGGGGGCTGGGAGAGGAGAGGACACAAGTCACTCACAGCCTGAATGTCCTGCCCCTCTTCATGCCCCTCAGAGACCGGCCAAGGTCACCTACTTCTAGTGGGAATGGATGTGGGAGGCAGAAATGCACAGGGAGAAGATAGAGGAAGTTTTAGGCTTAATCAGAGATTATCTGGAAGACCCTGTTTCTGCTGAATATCTGATATGAAAACAGACATAAATTTTGGTTTCTACAAAAGTGCCCCATAGCCAGATCACACAAATTCAAAGGCATCTTTCCCAGGTCAAATTCTTCATTTAAAACTCTTAGAATCAGGAACTCTCCTGGAGGCGTTTGCATCCATGTATTTGTACCTTTCCCCAGCAGGGTCTGGCAGGATCTTCCAATTGACAGTCACTACAGGAGTTGTCTTAGCCACCTCCAGGGTGCAAGAGCATCCTATAGTCATCTGTCCCTAAAGGGAACCGCACCAGCAGAAAGTCTGTGAAACTCTGCCTGTGAAGTGGATGCTGTTTTTGTTTCTGGGTCTGACTTCTGGGGGTGGAGGCCCTCTGGAAAAAACTGTGTGTCTGCTGCTTTGACTCAGAAAGCCGAAATGTGACATTAATGAGCCCAATTTGTTTGGAGACCTTTCTCAATCCTGTGACCTAAGAATGCTTTTCTGTTTTTCCAACAAAGCAATGAACATGCATAGGGAGTGGACTGGGCTAGTGGTGTCATCATTTACGTGAATAGCGGTGTAACTGGCAGATACTTACCTTCCACAACAGAACTGATATTTCCTATGTTCTCATCACTGACAGCTGCGAGTTTCTCCATCACTTGGATCTGCCTAGAAAGCTTCTCTAAGAGACTTCTTGCCACAAATGGGGTTTTGCTTGAGAAAACAATTTGCTGGTAAAACAAACAAAACTCCTGTTTCAATTATGTTGTTTTCAGTAGAGCTTTCTCTACCCAGCCTCATCCTTCCTGAATGTGGTGATGATACTAAATAAACTCATGCGATGTTTTTCTTCCAGCTCGATAATGATCCTCATTCCATGCCAGTTACAACATCTGATGAAATCAGGCATGTTTTTGTTGCTTTGCATTTCTTCGTGTGTGCATAAATTCTGGAACTTTCTCAGTAGTAGGTCTACAAGGTTATTATAAAGCTGCTTTCCCTTTTATGTATTGTGAATCTGATCTTCCCCTTTGAAACGTGAGGGGCAGTTTAGGCTGTGTCTTGGTGTGTAAGCAGAAATAGATTTGTCTTACAAATGCAGTAATTTTTCACAGCATGGTTTTATTTTTGTGTGTGTGTTCAAGCTGAAAGTTAAGAGCAGGTTAAATAATAATGAGAATTACAATCAGAGCTGTCTCTTGATAACAAATGAGTGCTCACTATGTGCCAGGCACTGGTCTGAGTTCTGTATAAGTGTTAGCTTATGTTATTTCTCAAAACAACCCAATGAGGCGGGTCTTATTGATATCCCCATTTTACTGATGAGAAAATTGAGGCACAGAGAGGTTAAGTAACCTGCCCAAGGTCACATAAGTTGTAAGTGGGTTTATTTGTGTGCAGTTCACAAGAATGAGAAGACCTAAGAGAAGAAAGGATATAAGTCATTTGCTGCCCAATGGTTCTACTCCTTTCTGTGTCTCAGAGACCTGTCTCAATCACCTGGTAGCCATAGATGCAGAACACAGACCTGTACTACTATGCTGAATTGTTTAAAGTATTGGGACTCTAAAACAAATAGGATTTTCAAACCCAGCACTTTGGGAGGCTGAGGCAGGCAGATCACGAGGTCAGGAGATTGAGACCATCCTGGCCAACATGACGAAACCCCATCTCTACTAAATATACAAAAATTAGCCAGGCGTGGTGGTGCAGGCCTGTAGTCTAAGCTACTCAGGAGGCTGAGGCAGGAGAGTCGCTTGAACCCTGGAGGCGGAGGCTGCAGTGAGCCAAGATTGTGCCACTGCACTCCATCCTGGGTGACAGAGTGAGATTGTCTCAAAAAAAACAAAAACAAAAACAACAACAACAAAAAAACAAAACAAAGTCTAGTGCAGCAATTATGTACTAACACCCTTCCTGTGAGTAAATACAATAGCAATGAACTGCTTTATTTTGAAAATAATTGTAGTGATTATGATTCTTAGAAAATGCACATCTTTATCTCTCTGTGGTTATATAACTAATAAGTAAGCTCACACATGAATCAACGCAAGCCAGAAGGTAAGTTTCTAAATCTCATTCCTTCAATCTACATCTTTGTATCCACCTCTTCTGTTTTTGTACCATTGCTCATCCCCACAGAAAGGATGAATTGTTATAATCATGGCCTTATTACCGAGAGAAACACTGCATTGACTGCTTGCACTAAAAGCATGCCAATTAGTCTTTGCGAGAAAACAGTCACTCCTTCAAAGATAAGAATTCTCTTATGTCTCACAAAATAGCTATTATTCTCTAAAAGAGAAACAAGTGGTTTGCTTGGCATAGTATCAGGCTCAGCAAGGACAAAGAGCTGTCTCGTTCAAATGGTTGGTGAGTAGAAAATAGTCATACATAAATAAAAATCCCTGTCTGTTTTGATCAGAAAAAAAAAAAACTGCACATTCTACCAGATTGGTTATCAGTCTCATGGTTTGTGAGACCTTTGTGGTTTTTGACCTCAAAACTCAACAGAAGAGTTCAACTAAGTGTTGGCTAACCAAGTGGCAGGAGTTATAATTGCCAACCAGTCTCCCACAGCACACAGTTGTCTGAGGCTTCTCTGATGCTCTTCATCTATGGTGGAGAAGCATATTCTCCTACATCTCATCACATGTCTGTTACCAAGGAGGCAACACTGCCCCTCTGCTGGGCTCCCGAGGGACCCCTAGCTCCTCACCCTGACTCTTGTCTTCCAACAGGTTCTGTGCTCTTGGGTTACCATTCCTCCTCCTTCTGCACCCTTCCTGCTTGGCTGATCCCCTTGACACTTTTTCTTTTCTTTTCTTTTTTTAATGAGGCCTTGGCCTCCCAAAGTGCTGGGTTTGAAAATCCTATTTGTTTTAGAGTCCAAATACTTTAGACAATTCAGCATGGTAGTACAGGTCTGCGTTCTGCATCTATGCCTACCAGGTGATCGAGACAGGTCTCTGAGAGACACAGAAAGGAGTAGAACCATTGTCACCCAGGCTGGAGCGCAGTGGTGCCATCACAGCTCACTGCAACCTCTGCCTCCTAGGCTCAAGCAATCCTCCCACCTCCGCCTCCTGAGTAGCTGGGACCATAGGCCTGTGCCACCACACCTGACTAATTTTTGTATCTTTTGTAGAGATGAGGTTTCACTCTGTTGACCAGGCTGGTCTCAAACTCCTGGGCTCAAACAATCTTCCTGCTTTGACCTCCCAAAGTGCTGGGACTATGGGCCTGAGTCACTGCGCCTGGTCTGGAACCATTTTATTAGCTTCTGCATTCTCTTCCTGTTCCACATACACCCAAGCAAGCTGGGAGAAGAATGATATTAGAAGAAAAGCAACCAGGCAAGGAGAAAGCTCTTAAGTAGATGCTTGAGGAAAAATGCTTTGTTCAAGACAGCTGAAACCCTTCCTGCAACAAAAGAATTTAAGAACATTTTGCTCCACTGTTGAAAAACCTTAAGTGGTAAACAGCTTGAGATGAGAAGGAAAATTAGCTCTGTGGTGTCCCAGAATGAGAGCTAAATGGTGATGATGATGGCCTAGAGAATTATATCTTAGCATTGCTAATAAGAATTACTTATTCAAGGTCCAGGAGACTGTGGTTAGATTCTTTAACACTTTCTTTTAGCTATCCAGGTGGTGAAAAACTAATTCATTTGACATTCATGTTAATATATATTCAGCACTACTGGCTTTCAAACTCCATTGCAGATGGTGGAATACAAATGGCTTCCCCCCACCCCCTTAATCACATTATTCTCAGGTACTACCAAATGAGTCAAAAGTGAGAGCTAACCATATGCCACCTACTACTGTGAAGGTCTGGAGAGTTAGGTTCGAAGATGAAAAACCCAAGGTTGTAGAGGGATGGGCAGGCCCATCAGAGTTTTTGACTTGGCTCAAACCACAGCAAGACTGTTCTCTTATTCCTGAATTCTCATTTCCCTGGCAACACTAAAAAATGAAAGCACACTTCCTGGTATGTAAATCACCTGGCATCTCAAACACAAATTCATCGCTGATCCTACCTGCACGAGTTGGGTGCAGTACTGGAGGTGCCTGACGATGGTGATGTCCAGGCTCTCGTTGCCTGTGGTCAGTGGGAGAGGACTTCCTGCCACACTGGTCCCAACTCCTGTGTCTTCAGTGAGCGCTTCACTGAGATGCCCCCTGGCTTCTGGGTGAACCGACCTGTAACTATTGAAGGTGGGCAAAACATTAGCTATTCTTTTTCTGTGCACAAACCACAGGTCAAGTCCACATGGTTTGCATCGGGCCCCAACAGCACCCACTGAAAACAGTCTTTCACTTGCCTATCTTGAAAAATAGAGACACCTTTAAAAAATTACTTAATTCAGCCTGGTCACCAAATTGCCTAGTGTTAAAAGGACATGCAAACAAATTGCTTTCAAAGTTCTTTCTCTACTTTTTAAGCCTAATGAACCACTTATGAAGTAGTTTCACCCAGAAGTCTTTGAAACATGCCCTCATTTTGAATGTGTTGCACTTTCCTGCTCTGTTGACAGGGTGATCTGCCAAATTTTCTGGAATTAAATTGTCCTCTATATTTGTGGTTTCCCAAAGGCAATACCATTAAGAAATAATCTGCCAAGGTTTTTTCCTGGCCTCAGATCAACTGCTACTTGAATAAAAGGAAAAAGGAAAGCTGCCAAGAAGAGAGACATGATGTTCTACTCTGGACAAAAGTTAAAAAGGGTGTTTGAATATTCAGAGGAATCGCTTAGTTCTGCCTCTGACGTTTTGTTTAAACCCCCTTGTTGAACTGTATGAAGTTATATCATGGTAGGCACCTACATTTAAAAAAATCTCTTGCATTGATTATCTAATTTTATTCATAAACTAAACCTGCGTACTAGGGAGGGTGGCAATAGTGGTCTTGTTTCACATGATTAGCAGAGATTTTGAGTGTCCTGGTTCACACAGCTAGACGGGACAGGGAAGATTTGGGCTTCTAGCCTCACACTCTCTGGTGTCCACAATTTAAAAAGATTAGCACCAGAGCTTAGAGGCTTTGAATGCTTTATTCTGATTCTGATTCACATTTGACTCCAAGGGGAAAACACTCAGTTTGTGTCTGGGCAGTCCACACATAGCAGCCAATACATATTTAAAATACACACACACACACACACACACTCTCTCTCTCTCTCTGTCTCTCTCTCTTCCCTAATACTTCTGATGACATATAATAAGATTGATCAAATTAGACATATTTAATATCAATGATGTATAACATTTATAAAACCTGTGCTTGTGATATTTTTTTGTTAAAATGTTTCTTATAGCAAGAAGAAAAAAAGTTTAGATTGATGCCTGACTTTGCTACATCCTGTAACAGCTTAAGGTAACAAGTATGCAGAAAAATTTTTGGATAAGAAGTATTTCACAAATTCTATCAAGCTAAAAAATATTAAGGCAGAACAATTTATTTTTATTATTTTTTTTGAGACGGAGTCTCGCACTGCCACCCAGGTTGGAGTGCAGTGGCTCGATCTCAACTCACTGCAACCTCCACCTCCCAGGTTCAAGCCATTCTCCCACCTCAGCCTCCTGAGTAACTAGGACTACAGGCGTACACCACCATGCCTGGCTAATTTTTGTATTTTTAGTAGAGACGGGGTTTCACCATGTTGATCAGGCTGGTCTCGAACTCTGACCTCAAGTGATTCACCCTCCAGCTTCCCAAAGTGCTGGGATTACAGGAGTGAGCCACCACTCCCGGCCTTATTTATTTATTTGAGAGAAGGTCTCGCTCTGTTGCCCAGGCTGGAGTGCTGTGGTACAATCTCAGCTCACCTTGACATCCTGGGTTCAAGCAATCCTCCCACCTCAGCCTCCCGCATAGCTGGGACTACAGGTGTGCACCACCACACCCAACTAACTTTTGTATTTTTAGTAGAGATGGCATTTTGCCATGTTTCCCAGGCTGGTCTTGAACTACTGAGTTCAAGCAGTCCTCTGGCCTTGGCTTCCCAAAGTGCTGGGATTATAGGCATGAGCCATCATGCCTGGCCAAATGTAGGATAATTTAAACATTACATTCATTTAATAAATTTTCTTTGCCATGTCCCCAGATTGCTTATGGGGTAAATTCAAGTTCTCATGTTTTTTTTTTTCCTGGTTTTATTTTGAAAAAGGAAACCCTTCAGGGACAACAACAAACAAAAACTAGCATCTTTCAGGGAGATTTGTGAAGGTTGAAATCATAGCTTGCTGTAACTTGAAAACCCATTTACGTCATATTGTGCCAAGGTAAAGATGAGCGGGCAATCCACCCCCATTTTGGGAAAGTGTGTTTTCTTTCACAGCAATTGATGGAGGTGGGTATGTTCCATTGTGCTTATTTTGCTTTATATGTAGTTATAAATTTGGACCCCAGGCTCTAGTTCTCAAAACATGATTTGGCTGCATGAGGACACCGGACGGTGAAGGTGACAATGTTTCACCTTCATCTGTTGCTTCCAGAGAAGGTCACATTCTCCACCTAGAGACATGCAGTACCAGTGGCAGTCATTGGTCATCCCCTCTTACATTCTACAAGAAATATGCACCATGGGACTTAAACTTGACTTGGATGCGTGCCTTGATGAACTCAATCTCTGGCAAAGACTCACTGGGTTGAAGGAAACATGAAGGGTTGGGAAAGGGAAGCACAACAAAACAAAGGCAGTGGAAGTAAAGTGCAAGCCAGGGAGAACCAGGCCCAAATTTGTCATCCAGTAAGAGTTCTTCAGAAATGTGTATACCTAGTTAATTTGGAATTAATTACATGGGGTCAAGTTGTAGACACTGAACCCTATAAGACACATGTGAGGGCTGGGCATAGTGGCTCACACCTGCAATCCCAGCACTTTGGGAGGCTGAGGCGGGTGGATCACCTGAGGTCAGGAGTTCAAGACCAGCTTGGCCAACATGGTGAAACCCCGTCTCTACTAAAAAAATACAAAAATTAGCCAGGTGTGGTGGCGGGTGCCTGTAGTCCCAGCTACTCCGGAAGCTGAGGCAGGAGAATCGCTTGAACCTGGGAGGTGGAGGTTGTGGTGAGCTGAGATCGCACCACTGCACTCCAGCCTGGGTGACAGAGCAAGACTACGTCTTAAAAAAAAATGTGTACACATGTACTTGTATAAAACACTCTCATACAAAATTTTCCTCTCTATTTATAAAGAGGAAATATAAAGATATTTATTTTCCCTTAAGCAACCCAAAAGAGGTGAATAATATTGACCCTTTTATTGCACTTGACAATAAAAAGGAACTGTAAGCCAACTGGTCACTCATGTGGAGAGTTTTATCTTCCTGGAAATGTGTACCAGGTCCCCTCTGACAGTAACAAAGAACTACTGTATCAGCTGTGACAGGAGAAATATAAGGAGACACTAACTTCAGACTTACCTGTGTTTCTCAGTCTCAGTGTCTGAAAATACTGAGTCAGCACCTCCGCCAACATTACAAACCTCATCACCATCCTCCTCCTCGTCAAAATCAGAGGTGTTCAGGAAATCAAAGCTTTCTAAAGCACTTTCAACTGTGAGACTTAAACTGGAAGACCTGCTGCGGCTTACTGCTGGCTTGCACTGTAAAGGCAGAAGGCACCAGGGAGAACATCAACATATCCGGAAAGAGAAACCAGACACACGATGCTCAATTGGAGATGCCACACTTTTTTTTTTGTTTCAAGTTTTTATTTTTTGTTAGCATTTAAAAAATGCATTTAAAAATCTTTATATCCAAAAAAGAAGTACAACCATGGATAAAATGGCACAATATCTGGGACTGGTTGCAGAAGAATCCAGAGGGAAGTCAGCAGGTTGAAGAATAGGAAACAAGATTGGCCATGAGTTGATCACTGAGGAGGTTGAGGGATGGGCACACTGGGATCCATTAGAGGATCTTCTCTACTTCTGTTTGAAATTTTTATAACAAAAAGTTGAAAAAAAACAAAAAAAACAAAAAACAAAACCATGTCAACCACAAAGCCTTGGGAAACAGAACTGCTATATCCCTCTGCCTAGTGCTCACCCCAAAATAAAATACCACAAGCAGACAAATTTTAAGTCAGTGAGTCAATGCTGAATACTGACCAATCTCTAATTCCAAGTGGCAATGTCTTCGGTGTTTTACAAAAGGCGCTAGCTATCTAAGGCATCTGCTCTAAAGGACTAACAAAACAAATCCCAGAAACAGGAAGTGGTTCAAATTCACCTAGCCCATGTTCCCTAGGTAAGAAGCCCTGCATCTTTTTTTTTTTTTTTTTTTTTTTTTTTTTTTTGAGACAAGGTCTTGCTCTGTCACTCAGGCTGGAGTGCAGTGGTGTGATCACAGCTCACTGCAGCCTCAATCTCCCGGGCTTAAGCAATCCTCTCACCTTAGCCTCCCAGGTAGCTGAGACCACAGGCATGTGCCACCACACCAGGCTAATTTTTTTCTTTTATTGCAGAGACAGGGTCTCCCTATGTTGACCATACCGGTCTTGAACTCTTGGGCTCCAGCAATCCTGGGCTTCCCAAAGTGTTGGGATTACAGGCATGAGCCACCGCACCTGCTCACAGCATATAATTTTTCCTCTGAGGACTGAGGAAAGAATGAATGCCTTGGGCATGACAAGAAGCAGCCCTGCTTCCTCTGGAGCTCTGCCTCAAAGGGAACAAGTCCCACCACTTCCCTGACCAGGCCCTGGCATCATGGGAGCAATCCCATTCTCTGGCCTGGAGCATTCTATAATGCTGGCCACATGCAGAAACATTACAAGCAAAACAATGCCAGTTGCTATGGGCACAGAGTTGGAGAGAAGTATTTCCAAATATTCAAGAGGATGCTGGGGTGGGTCGAATGGGACAAATTCTGCAAGTTAGAAGCACTAAATGTCCTCCATCCAGTTAGGTGACACTCCTTGCTGATTTCTTAGCGCAAGGTAGGAAGGGCCTTGCAGGGATCTGTCTCTGACACTCAAGATGGCACAAAAGCACATGGGAAAACGTCTTTCGGTCTTTTAAATCACAGTTGTCTCATTCACCCTCAGTGATCTCCGTCCAAGAGGCAGCACCATTTAGTTTCTGATCGTCAAGGTGTTTAGCATCCTAGGAATGTGAAGGAGGGAGAAAAGAGAAAGCTTTGTCCAGCTGATGCTTTAATTCTGGCTGGATACAAAGCCATTTGCCCCAGACCTAAACACACTCACTAGTGATGTTTTCAGCAGTCTCAGGGGGAGACAGGGAGTCGGTCTTGACTTCACCTACTTCTAGGGTCTTTTTTCCTAAGCAAGGTGTCTGCACAATTTTATCTTGTACAGTACAGATGTGTTTAAATATTGGTCATGACAAAGAAAGGGGCAGTTGAGGATTTTAGTAGCAGGACAATTTTGGAACAACAGCAGACTGAAATAATACTCTGGAAAGAAGTCTCTGATCACCAGTTTTTAATAATGCTTAGTGTTTCCTGTGGATTGAGCTACTTACCATCACCCTAGATGCCTGGAATGGGAGCTGCTATCACTACTGGATTTCTCTAAGGAATTCACTTTAGATGGCATCAATTTGTGTCTTAGCTCTTTGAAATGAATACCTTTTGCCCACAAAGCAAAGCTGGTCAACTTTGCAGAAAAGATAGGTGTTTAGTAGAATACCAGACAAGCAGCCTGCATATACAAGCCCTGAGCTGATGGTTTTGAACTGATATTTTACAGAAAGTAGATTCAGAGTGCCCTTCTGTTTCTCGGAGGCTATGCCATCAACTGAACTATCTGTCATGAGCATTTGAGGACCTGGAGAGTCAGGACCTGAATTATCATCTGCCTGGGGCACAAATCTCCTACAGAGTTAGGTCAGCAAGACTGAGTAGAGAAGGATAAGATGGTCAAAAAGCCTTGGAAATGTAGTTTCAGATGCCACTGGGCAGGCTACATATAAAAACAATCACCATATTTTTTTTTTTTTTTTTTGAGACAGGGTCTCACTTTTTCACCCAGGCTGGAGTGCAGTGACGTGATCTCGGCTCACTACAACCTCTGCCTCCTTGGCTCAAGCGATTCTTCCACCTCAGCCTCCCTAGTAGTTGGGACTACAGGTGTGTGCCACCATGCCCAGCTAATTTTTGTATTTTTTGTAGAGATGGGATTTCATCATGTTGCCCGGTCTGGTCTCTAACTCCTGGGCTCAAGTCATCTGCCCGCCTTGGCCTTCCAACATGCTGGGATTACAGGTGTGAGCCACCATGCCCAGCCAGGAAAACAGTCTTAGAAAGGGATGCAACAGCTTTCTGTGGGTTGGTTCTCGGCTTGCCCCTGCAACCTTACTTTCAAGCCTTTTTACAGACCAGGTCCCCAAAGAACTGCTCTTTTAAGAAAAAGGATCTGAGTTCTCTTTTCTTTTATATGACAATATAAATCAGAGCAGCAAAGAATACAAGAAGTAGCAGTGAGATTTGGGACAACAATTCAAATCTGTCTTCTTGTGCAGTGTTTTTTAAAAAATTAATCTGTATGCAGGTGGAGACAGATACATTCTGATGCAGCAATAATGATCTCATTATCAGGACCTCCCGCCTGCGAGGAAATCATCCTTCTCATCTTACCCTCCCACCTCCATCCTGGGCTGTCTGATCCCTATGGATTGAGGGTATCCCTGGAGAGTCTGTAGATCTCCCGCTCTAGAGTAGAATGGATGATTATTTTGCTGATGATTAATCTGAGATTCTGACTTGGTTATTTGGACCAATTGTGAGAGCAGGTAGTCTCCTCCAGCAGGCAGTGGCTCATGGCTCTCACAATGGGACGGATAACTCTGACTCCAACCAGGCAAAGGGCTCCCTGCTTTCCCGACCCCCTGAGAGGGATCCTATCCAGTAACGCCTGTGAGACTGTAATCATCAAAGTGCCTCTACTTCACATATGGGATTAAAATGATTAACTTGGGGACTGGGGGAATTTCAACATTCTCTAGAGCTCTTTGTTTAAATCCTAATCAATTTAGATAAGTTGATCTGTTGTTTGGAAAATAAAACTTAATATGCACTACTGGCATATTAGTGCCATTTAAAATGATGATGAGCTATTAATCCTGTGATTGGACAGGATTTTTTTTTTAAATGATACCTCATCTTAAATAGAATGTTGGCTTAGGACACCTCTCTCCAAACCTAATCCAATTTCTCTGAAAAGGTACTTACTTTTAGAATATCATCCAAATTCATGACTTCTTGGTTCAGATCCTGAAACTCTTTATACTGCTCTTTATGTGGTTCTAATGCAAGTAAAAGCCCATTAAAAGCATCCTCTAAGCTTCCATCTAGAAAGGATCTGCAGCCTTCAGATTCTCCACCAACAGAACCCTCAGAGAGCAGCCTGTCTGTGGCCATTGGCACCTCTGCAGATGTGAGCCTCTTGACCAGCTGCTTTGTGATGTTTCCTTCCGAAGTGTCCAGTTCCACAGGCTTGAGCTCAGAGGCCTCCTCAGACTCTTGCAGAAGTGCTTCTGCAACATCATTCTCAAGGAACAGGTGCTCAGCCCCAGCACCTGAGGACTGTCGGCGGCAAGCCTCAGATGGGGCCGAGGCAGGTTTTCTGGGCTCCTCTGGGTCTTCCTCCTTCAGGTGTGACTTTGGCTCTTGGCCTTCTCCCAGGGAGTTCCTGGAAGATGCTGAGCTGGTGTCATCCATACCCTCATTCTGGGAGGCCAAGCTGCTGAGGTTAAACTCCGCAGGGGTGATGGTAATTTCTGGATTTGTTGAGTTGGAAGGGGAGCCTGTTGAGTGGGAGGTGAGGGCGCAGTCCCCGTTGGGCAGGTCACTGAAGCTGAGCGACAGTGGCATTTTCTCCTCGGCTGCCTTTCCATTTTCAAAGATGTCATCAGGTAGATTTGACTATAGATAAAAGATACCTCATTATTATTTTCAATACAAATGATGCATTTGGCTTGGCATGGTTTATTTCCAGACAGAATATAAGGCAATTACAATGAAAAAACCCAGAACTTTCAGAATGTTAGCATTTTATTTGTTGATGCCGTGTGTGTGTGTGTGTGTGTGTGTGTGTGTGTGTGTGTGTGTGTGTATCTGGCAAAAGAAAACAGACCATCAAGGACTGTTTCTATTGTTGAATCTAGGTGAAAGTTCATGGCAATAGTTTCAAGGTTTGACATTTTTCAAAAGAAAAGGTTGCATGGGGGGAGGGGGCTTGTTTTCTGAATTCCAAGAGCTCATAATATTTGGCAGCCATAGTTATGAATAACATTACCAATTTCTTTTTCTATTTAGGCATCTATCTTAAAAAACTTTCCAACATCCATGCAATTTAGTTCCAAAGTTGTGATGTTTTGTTCTGCTTCAATTCTCAAAAATTATTTTTTTGAAAATCTCTGCCCACAAATCCCAAGCTCTGGAAAATGTTTTATTAATTTAGTAACCACACCATAAATAATTCAAGGCCAGCCATACATTTGCATAGCTTCTCTAGAAATAAAAGGAAAAGACTAATAAATGGAACATCAATCTTGCAGGAGGCAAACCCCAGGGCTCTCAGGCTGCCTAGAAACACCAAGTCATCTGTCAAGCAGACCTGGGTGGTGTCACAGGTACGCCCTGTGCTTCATGAAGCAGAACTCTGAAGAGAGAGGCCAGAAATATCCAGGTAACCAAGATCATTCATTTATTCAGGCATTTCTATTTTGAAGTCAGCTCTCTTGTGCTGTGGTCTGTGTATAATGCCTAAATGCCAAATGCTGCTCTGTGGAAAGGGCTTTTGAGTTACTGAGATTAACCCCTTCAAAATGGTTAATTTTTCTTTTTTTTTTTTTTGAGACAGAGTTTCCCTTTTGTTGCCCAGGCTGGAGGGCAATGGTGCGATCTCAGCTCACTGCAACCTCGGCCTCCTGAGTTCAAGTGATTCTCCTGCCTCAGCCTCCCAAGTAGCTAGGATTACAGGCATGCGCCACCACGCCCCCAGCTAATTTTTGTATTTTCTTTGTAGTGAGACAGGATTTCGCCATGTTGGTCAGGGTGGTCTCAAACTCCTGACCTCAGGTGATCCGCCTGCCTCAGCCTCCCAAAGTGCTGGGATTACAGGCGTGAGCCACCGCGCCTGGCCCAAAATGGTTAATTTTTCTTAGATCCCAGATTCAGTTTTTAAAGTAAATAAATGGTAAGTATCATGCTAATAATTGTTTTAATTATATAGAAACTGACAAATTCTCAAAATTTGCTGGGAATAAGCCCGGCAAATAAAAACATTACAGCAAATGCAGTGAAGAGCAGAAGGGAAGACAAAGGCTCCCCTTCCTCCTCCAGCTGGGTCCCTGGTCCCATTGCTGCTGTATCTGAGGCCACTAGATCCCGACACATGCAGTTCGTTGCACCCAAACTGTCCGTTGTAGCATGGTTGGAAGGTGACTTACTTTAACCACAGGACGAGTGAAATGATGTGTCACTGGACACTTGAGTAACCTCTACAAGCTCTGTCTCTTTACCTCCCAAACTGAGGATGTTTTACTCTATTAGTGATTATTGAACTGTGGTCCACAATGTTGTTGGTGTGGTGGGCTCTGGTGCTCCTCTTCCTCCCCTCCAAGCTTGTGTATTTCAGTTTCTTCCCTCCCGTATTTGCACCCCCCACCTCATATACACCTTATGTCTCTAGGAAAGATAAAAGGAATCTTTTAGGGGAGGGATGAAGGATGCCTGGAGCCTTCTCCCTAGACCTCATCCATGGGGGTTCCTTAGGCTTCTAGAACCCATGGGCCCTCCATGTGGTTCCACTCAGCTTTGTCTGATCTGTGCACACATCTCATGGCAGCACAGAGGGAGGTGGGAGACACTGGGTATGGCAGGGAGATTGGGTAGTCAGGATTCTTATTCAAATTCCAAAGTCCTTCCCAGCCATTTGTCTTGAGACTCCAAGACTCAAGCTCAATTTCCACCTACTTAAGTGGCAAATATTGAGTGAGAATAAATTGAGATGCCCTGCCCAAGGGGACTTGCAGTCTACCAAGGGGACAAGTCTAACAACAAGCACACAACAGTACAATGGTGTACACGCTATAACTGAGGGATGACATCATGAGGGAAGGGCCCCAATGAGGGAGTGGCTGCTGCCTGTGAAAGAGCCAATCCTGGAGCTCAGTGTGGAAGATGGTGAAGTAGGGGGCAGGCACCGGAGGAAGTGCGTTCTAGAAGGAACAACATGCAAAGACATGAGCTCCTGAAAGGAGGTGGTGCATTTGGAGGACACTGAGAAGCTCCAAGGGGCCCCAGCAGAGGATAGAGAGTGAAAACGTGGGATGGGCTTGTGGTGGGCTGTGGCCAGATGGGAACAGCCGCTCTGAGGACCTTTGCATTTATCTAAAAGGTTTTATCAGGAAAGCCATCCAGTTGTTTTCTAACCTTGTTCTTATTTAAATTATGACGTGAAACCTCTACCAACTCTCGCCCACAACCCCCAACCTGTAGCACATGAACATATGAGCATGAATATACATGTTATGTTAACGGTTGCGTGTATAGCTGTGTTAGCTCTTTGTGTTTTGGTTCATGTTTTCATGTGTATTTCCCCCATACAATCTTCCCATTTTCCCTGAAAACTCCACCAGAGTTTAGCCTGGTCCTTTTCACCTGCCTTTTTTTTTTTTTTTTTTTTTTTGAGACAAGGTCTTGCTCTGTTGTCCAGACTGGACTGCAGTGGTGCAATCATAACTCACTGCAGCCTCAACCTCCTGGGCTTCAGTGATCTCCTGCTTCAGTCTCCTGGGTAGTTGGGACCACAAGTGTGTACCACCACAACAGGGTAATTTTTAAATTTTTTGTAGAGACGGGGTCTCACTTTGTTGCCCAGGCTGGTCTTGAACTCCTGGGCTCAAGCAATCCACCTGCCTTGGCCTCACAAGGTGCTGGGATTATAGGTGTGAGCTACCATGTTCAGCCTTCACCTGCATTTTTTAATTCAATGAAAACGATGCAATTATTATTATTATGAACCCAAAGACTTTTAATCCTTTCCTCTGTTGACACTCAAAGCTTCGTTTTATACATCTGTGAAGAGCAGGATGTTCCATGTATGTGTGTGTGCATGCATGTGTGTGTGTATCCTCTGGTGACATAATGTATAATATATAATACTTATTGTATTCCTGACTGTGAATTAAGGATATCTTTTTATCGAAGTGTTATAGAATTAACAAACATTATAATAAACTAAGACTGAGAACCTTTCAAATAGAAGTAGCTCTAGTAAAATTCATTGAAATCCTTTTGAGTTCCTTGAATGCCAATTTTTTGTTTGTTTGTTTTTGAGATGGAGTTTGCTGCTGCCCAGGCTGGAGTGCAATGGCACCATCTTGGCTAACTGCAACCTCTGCCTCCTGGGTTCAAGTGATCCTCTCACCTCAGCCTCCCAAGTAGCTGGGACTACATGCACATGCCTCCATTCCTGGCTAATTTTTGTATTTTTTAGTAGAGGCAGGGTTTGACCATGTTGGCCAGGCTGGTCTTGAATGCCTGAGCTCAAGCGATCCACCCACCTCAGCCTCCCAAAGTGCTGGGATTACAGGCGTGAGCCACCATGCTGGGCCGAATGCCAGTTTTTGAAAGGCTTAAACTTGTTTAAAATCTTGTTACCATGGATATCTTTGCCACAATGGAGAAAAATCACAGCACAAAAACAGGGATCATTAGAAGAGAAGGACAAACTGCGTCTCTATCAAAGTTACATGCACGACCAAGTGTCCCGCCCCAAGGACAGTACAGCTGTAACCATACCCAGTGAGCAAGACAGAGAAGATAAAACAAGAGACATGCTAAGTCACACATGCCACAAGCCCCAGAAGTCAAGCACTCCATACCCGGGCAGGCCACACTCACATAGAGCTCTAGCACGGCCTTGGGACTCGGCCTGAGGGAGGGCAGGTCACTGAAGGAGCGGCTGCGGTGCAGCTTGGCAAAGAAAGTGTCTTGCAAGGCACTCAAGACAGACAGCCGCCTGGGCTTGTCTGGGGAAGGATGCAGCCACCTCTTCAGAAGTGAAAGCAAGATGGGGGAGTTAGTGGGAAGAATCAGGTTACTACATTTTGTTAGCTTTTTAGCAAGCATTTTTGATTAAAACAAGGAGGCTATTATTTATATGCACTTCTTTAAAAGGCTGATCTTAGAGAATGTTCAGAAAAATCTACATGTTACCATCACAGCAATAGGTAAGGTGGGCAAGGAGAGAGGAAAAACAGAGGAGGCTCACCACCTCTGATAGAATTACTAACTCCCAGCACTGTCTCTTAAGCATTTCAAATGCTGGGTGCAAGCACTGGCTCAGGTGCATTGATTCTACTCGGGAAATTACACTGAACTTACAAAGAAGGAGTGGTCTTTGAAGGTGGGCGTTTCCGGGGTACCCTGGCTGTACATGGACATTCTCCTCTGAAGGGCTGCTGCCTTGTTCCCAGCGCCTGAGGATGCGGTCATGTCCTCCACGTCAAATGGACTGCAAAACAACAGGTCCCCAGGTATGCACATTTGGCAAAATCACCTATCATCAACAGACCACAGGCTAAGAGAGTACCTCATTATATAAAGGTAAACTCAACCAGAGGTTCAGAACTGGGCTGGTTTTAGCTAAACTGCTTTGCAGAAAATAAACCTGGATAAAAGAAAAGTGGAGCAGAAAACTGAGTCTAGACTCACCCAAGGGACCCCAGAATATTATCACAGCTCTAAGCACAATTTAGCTATACACTTAGATACACCCGTTCCTCATTAACATTAGAAACACAAATTTATGAATGCTTGCTTCGACAAAACAAGATGTTGAAAAGTCTATAAAAATTATCTGAACTTTGCGGGGCTAGATACCTTAATGGTATAAGACATCGACAGACTATTGTTCCATTCTAAAGAAAACACTCAAAAATAGAATCCCATTCATTTCAGTTGACACAGAGCCTCTTGTGTGGGAAGAGAATAACAGTCTGTTCACAATGATGCCACTTAACATCATGGCACCCGATTCATCCAGCAAGAAGAATGATCTTGCATGTGAGACATCAATGACTGCAGATTGTGGGGAGGGAAGGGCTGAGCAAAGCATGCTGATGATGACAAAGCAAGAGTGTCTTTGCTGCTTCTACACCTGGCTTTCCATATTGTAAATGAGACCCTGAGCATGAATACTCAACATGTCATATTTACTTGGCAATATACCGGGGGCATTACATTAAATGTTGTGAACTACTAGTGGTTTTTGTTTTTTTGGAGATGGAGTTTTGCTCTTGTTGCCCAGGCTGGAGTGCAATGGCACGATCTCAGCTCACTGCAACCTCTGCCTCCCGGATTCAAGTGATTCTCTTGCCTTAGCCTCCCGAGTAGCTGGCATTACAGGTGCCTGCCACAATGCCCAGCTAATTTTTGTATTTTTAGTAAAGATGGGGTTTCACCATGTTGGCCAGGCTGGTCTCAAACTCCTGACCTCAGCTGATCCACCTGCCTTGGCCTCCCAAAGTGCTGGGATTACAGGTGTGAGCCACCGCACCTGGAGCTGCTAGTGTTAATAACTTATCATGACCTTTCTCACCGGGTGAATTTGGAAAACGATTTCTAAGTTCATTGCTTTGAAAAAAGATATCTCTTGCCCTTTGGGGATATTCTATTTCAGTAAATACAGTGCAGAGGAACTAAGGATACTCATAATTTTCCAGAGCAGTGTGAAGTTATGCGATAAAGAGGAATAAGCATCCGTGAGAATCAGGATTTTTCTGAGGTCAAAGTACCGCCTATTGGACAGATATTTTCTTTCAAATTAGTTTACTTGAGAGGACATATGCCCTTATATATTTAAAGGTAGAGAGGGAAGGAAGGTGACAGAAAAAATATTTTAAAATAGGAAGTAGAAGAGGAGATTGGTGACATGACCCAGGCTTCTCCAACTTTAACACGCGTGCACCTTACCCGGGGAGTTTGTTAAACAGATTCTGGGGCCTGAGCAATTCTGACACAGTAGTCCTGGGGTGGGGCCCGAGATTCTGCTTTTCATAACAAGCTCCCTGGTGATGCGGATGGTCCATGCACCAGCTTTGAGTAGCACTAGCCGGTATCAGATATTTCTATATGATGAAATAAAGGAAGAGGCACTTACTACCAGGTGATTTCCAGGTTCAGTTTGATGGTACCAAGGTCATTGATGTCGACAGCCACTACCTGAGGTCGGGCTGCAAACAGCTCTTTGGTCTCACAGGTCACGCTACCTACCAGGATGTGAGTTGCTAGCCCTTTGAGCTCCGTGACCTAGCAGAGAGAGTGGGAGAGAATAGGCCTTACATCACAGCAGAGGAGAAAGGTAGAATAATGTGTCATTTTTTTTACTGAGCTAGGTTGGTCATTTCTTTCAGAATCATATCTGAAATCAGAAGCGGATTTTCATTTTTCTTTTTCTTTTTTTTTTTTTTTTGGAGACAGGGTCTCTCTCTGTCACCCAGGCTATAGTGCAGTAGTGTGATCATGGCTAATTGCAGCCTTGACCTCCTGGGCTCAAGTGATCCTCCCACCTCAGACTCCCAAGTAGCTGGGACTACAGGCACACGGACCACGTCTGGCTAATTTTTGTACTTTTGTAGAGACGGCGTTTTGCCATGTTGGCCAGGCTGGTCTCGACCTCCTGGGCTCAAGTGATCCACCCACCTCAGCCTCCCAAAGTGCTGGGATTACAGGCGTGAGCCACTACACTACGCCTGGCCAGAGGTGGATATTTCAAAAGTGTATCTTAGATTGACTTTACTTACTCTGATGAGAGGGCAGCTGTCTTTGTAATAGACTTGTGCAGAAAAGTCTGTGGGATGGAGGGGCAACAGGCAGGGGTCACGGGTAAGGGCCCCACCAATGGATCATCCAGCCGTGGCACCAGGAAAGACAACAGGCAATGACAATACTGTACCTTGATGGAGATGAACCCAACTATCAGGGGCAGAAAAACTGTTTCTTCTCCATCCCAGCTCTGCTTGCCATTTACTTCTATTTTGCCTTTCAGTTTCCACCGCTGCCGGCCATACTTCATGAAAATCTGGAGAGGAGACATCCAAGGGCCTTCATGTCTTGCCACCCCCTCTTCTCCACCAGAACACCAAGATCAAAAGGAGAAAGACCTAAAGCCACTGCTGCCCTCCGCTTCTCCCTTACTCTCCCTCCACCCCCTTACTCTTGGGTGTGAATGGAGCTGGGGATGAGTGGGGAGGAGACTTTTTTTTTTTTTTTGAGTTGGAGTCTCGCTCTGTCACTCAGGCTGGAGTGCAATGGTGTGATCTTGGCTCGCTGCAACCTCCGCCTCCAGGGTTCAAGCGATTCCCCTGCCTCAGCCTCCCAAGTAGCTGGGACTACAGGCATGTGCCACCATGCCCGGCTAATTTCTGTATTTTTAGTAAGACGGGGTTTCACCATGTTGGCTAGGCTGGTCTCAAACTCCTGACCTCAGGTCATCTGCCCGCCTCAGCCTC
Source organism: Homo sapiens (assembly GCF_000001405.40). Lineage (NCBI taxonomy): Eukaryota > Metazoa > Chordata > Mammalia > Primates > Hominidae > Homo > Homo sapiens. The sequence goes on from NC_000006.12 coordinate 24,851,153, forward strand.
CCAAAGTGCTAGGATTACAGACATAAGCCACTGTGCCTGGCCCGAGACTTTTAAAGCACAGTAAGTTCTGCCTGCCTGAGACAGGGAGGGTACAGGTTTTCTGTAGTAAAAGGTCATTGCACTGTGCCCTTCTGCTCACTCATGCCAAGCAGTTCTCTCTCTTGTTAGTTCTACTTCAATAGAGCAGCCACACAACCCAGCTCCTTTAGTGAGATGAGGAAGTATCAGCTAAAACCCCCTTAGCAGTCAGAAGCAAGAAATAAAGACATCCTTACTCTGGATAGAGAGATGGAGCTGGCAAGGACTTTGAAATCCAACATACTCTTGGGGGAAGGTGTGCAATATCTCCTTGGTCAGACTGCTTTAATGTTTAAGGGAAGATACACCCTCACCCCCTGCTAAGAGGTATGAGTATAGAGGGTTTTGGAGGAGATGTTAGATGAAATGGTTATATAAGTTTCCTTTTGAAGAGGGAAAATAACAAAGGCTATTTTTACTTTTTGGAGCACATTTTTACAAAGAAAGATCTGGATGTTATTTTTCTTCAGTCATGGTACTTATGATCAGCCATGATCCTGGATTGGCCCTTGGATCAGGAAAAAAAAAAAAAAACCTGCTTACCTAGTACAATATTGGGACACCTGGCAAAATATGAACATAGACTAATTCCAGGTGACGTTAGCTGAAGAGCCAGTGTTATAAACTCACTGGTGTTGAGGGCTTAGTAATGCCTATGTGACAGAATGTCTTTCCATTCTTAGAAGAATTTAGGGATGAAGAGTCCTGGTGTTTGCATCTTGCTCTAAAATGGTTCAGGGGCTGGATGTGGTGGCTCACACCTGTAATCCCAGCACTTTGGGAGGCCGAAGGGTGGGCGGGGGGGAATCACTTGAGGTCAGGAGTTCAAGACCAGCCTGGCCAACATGGTGAAACCCCATCTCTACTAAAAATACAAAAAAATTAGCCGGCTGTGGTGGTGCACACCTGTAGTCCCAGCTACTCCAGAGGCCGAGGCAGGAGAATCGCTTGAATCCAGGTGGCAGAGGTTGCAGTGAGCTGAGATCATGCCACTGCACTCCAGCCTGGGCAACAGAGCGAGACTCCATCTCAAAATAAAAAATAAATAAGTAAGTAAATAAATAAATAAATAAAATGGTTCAGCAAAATAATAGTAACAATGACAGCAATAATGATGATGATGACAGAGCAAATGTGGCATAATGTTACAAAGTGGTGAATCTAGATGAAAGGTTTATGGGAAGTCCTGTACCAGTTTCCAGACTTTCTCATTGGCTTAAAATGTTTTTCAAAATTAAAAATTAAAAAAAAAAAAGACAACTTGAAAAGCAAAATAATGACATGACAACTGGCCCCTACCCTTCAGGTCCATAATTCCAGCACCTAGACCAAGACAATACTTACTTCATATTGATCTCCAGGACAGAGGCGTGCAAAGCCAGCCAGACCTGTAACCAAGAAATTGGAAGGTGAGGTGTAGAACATATTTCCCCTCTCTATAGACACATACTGGCACGTTAAAAAGAATTCAAGTGAAGTGTCAGAACTTTGTGCAAACTCACATAACACTTTTTGGGGCCATTCCTGGGGAACAGCTGTTTTTGGGGGAGTTCCTTCTATCACAGGTAAAGAAGACATTCCTGGATGAAGTGATGGAAGAGGTGGTCTCCAAGGCAGGGGAGGCTGGGCAAGGAGGGGAGCTAGAGCTCAGAATATCTTGGGCTGATTTAAGATCCAAGTGGATTCTAGGGTTAGGGTATTAGGGCCAGAAAGATAGATTTATTTATTTATCCAACATATTCCCATGAAGATAATCTGGTCTCCTATTTTTCTTTCTGTCCTAAAATGTGTGATTTTTAAGTGCCTCCCATTTGAGTTAAGATTCCATGCAGTTATTTCCCTTGCTGCCCCCCAATTTACTCATTCTGATGTTTTCTTTATCCTTTTTATCTGGTGTAATGATACAATTTGCTGTTATAAAATCCCTGAAAATGGATTATTACTTACATAAAGCTAGTGATTAAGAAAACAAAATCAATCCAACCAACCAAATGATACACCCCCAAAAGAAAGACGGGACTTTTCTTCTACTGTGCCATCCAGCAAGTCATGTCTAACTGGATCTGCTCGATTCGAGATCTCTCTCTGGTGCAGCAGCAAAAACAAATCTTATCAGACTAGATGGCCACCATCCGAGGCCATCTCAGGAACTCTGGGTTTGTCCAGTCTTTTTCTTTCTTTTTGTAGATATTTACTGAGAGCCGGCTATATGTAAGGGTCTAAGCTAGGCATCGGGGTAATAATTTGGAAATTAAAGATTTTATGGATACCCATGATATAGAACAAAATACAGTTAAAGCCCACAGAAATGAAACAGACAAGGACTTGAAGGCAGTAAGATGGAGTTACACCTGAGGTTAATTTGTTTGTCTACTGGCTATCCTACTCTAGAAAATTTACTTAACCCAAGTTTCTTCACCTTTAAAATAGGGTAACAGTGTCCACTTCATAGAATTGTTTGTAAGGACAATGGACGGCATCTAACACATAGTAGGTCGTTAATACATGGTAATGACAATATATCCAAGAGTGGGATAATACTATTTATTGAGTACATGCCATCCACTATTTAATGAAAGACGTAATCTATATGAAAAGACACAAGGCTGGCATGGTGGCTCACGCCTATAATCCTAGCACTTTGGGAGGCCAAGGCAGGAGGATGACTTGAGCTCAGGAGTTCAAGACAAGCCTGGGCAACATAGTGAGACCTCATCTCTACTAAAAAGAAAAAAAAAAATTAGCCAAGTGTGGTGGTGCATGCCTGTAGTCCCAGCTGCTCAGAGGCTGAGGTGGGAGGATCGCTTGAGCCCAGGAGGTCTAGGCTATAGTGAACCGTGATTACACCACTGCACTCCAGCCTGGGTAACAGAGTGAGACTATGTCTGAAAAAGAAAAAAAAAAAAAAAAGAAAGAAAACACACAGTAAATTGATATGCATCAGGGAGGCAAACAGCAGTGGAGAGACAGAAGGAGATCTTTGCTTTTTTCTGTATTTTTATGAGAATGTATTACTATATAATTAAAATGAAAAAAGAGAGACTATCTTATTTAATGTAGAATAGTTTCATGGAGGAAAGTAGCATTTGAATAACAGAGTTTCACCACAGTAAAATGAAGACATGGGTGTACAGATACTTCCAGGCTGAGTGAATGGCATGTGTGCATTCGACAATGTTTCTTGGATGTCTACTGTGTCAAGCATGAATAAACGTGTGGGGACGAAGGCATGCTAGTCACATGTGCATAGCAAATGAGGAAACTAATCTCATCAACAGAGGCTTGTCAGTGACCCAGCTTTACTTTAATCAGTTGTTTCTGGCTTTAGTCAGCTGTTGTTTTCCTGCCAATCACAAAGCAAAGCACTTTACATTCCTTGGGGCCTAAAGACTAAAAGTTTTATTGAAGGAACCAAAATAATTTCATAAAAATAGGTAAAAATCTTCATCCTTTAAAAATTTTTTGAAGGAAAAAAAATAAAGTTTTATGAGATTTCCAGTTAAGAATTCAGTACAGGCTGGACGTGGTGGCTCACACCTGTAATCCCAGCACTTTAGGAGGCTGAGGTGGGCAGATCACCTGAGGTCAGGAGTTCCAGGCCATCCTGGCCAACATGGTGAAACCCTATCTCTACTAAAAATACAAAATTAGCCGGGTGTGGTGTCGGGTACCTGTAATCCCAGCTACTCGGGAGGCTGAGGCAGGAGAATCGCTTGAACCTGGGAGGCGGGGGTTGCAGTGAGCCGAGATCATGCCACTGCACTTTAGCCTGGCAACAGTGAAACTCCGTCTCAAAAAAAAAAAAAAAAAAAAAAGGAAGGACACAAAACCTTACATAGAGTATAACCTCAGCCATATATAAATGGATCCCCAGGGAAAAAAGTCTAGAAAACCATACCAAACTGTTAAAAATAATTATCTCTGGTAGGGTAGAATTAAGGAGAAAATTAAATTTTTGTCAATAAGTGGTAATTTTTATTTGATTTATAAAAAGATGATATACTTATTTTGTAATACAGAAAAAAGATGTAAAAAAGATCACATACCTTGGCAGGGAGTGTGTATACACAGAAAAGTTGGTTGGATATTTTAATAATTTTAACAAAACTTAGCACTGGGTGGAATGATTATATATGACTTTATTTTTTTTTTGTTATATTTCTCAATGTTTTAAAAAAAGAAGTTACTACTTTCAAAGTGTTTAAATAGAGATTGAAGAAGACACGAACAATTCCTCCCTGTTTACCCAGTAATTTTTTAGAGGCACTCCGAGGAAATAATTTTGATGAGCTGGTCCAGAAACAGCTGTTAGTCCTAGGCTGTTCCCACACAAAGACATCCATATGACAAATGGGTCCCTTGGTACTTCAGCCTCCTTGAGTTGCTATTTATAACCTTTGTGCTCTGGGTTGCTTTTATATTTATTTAAACGTGATTTTACCCATATAAAGATGCTGTGGATGGTATCACACAATGTGTTTTGCCTTCTACAAATAGCCCTGTTAGTACGCTGGAGACTCTTGGCCAGGCATGGTGGCTCACACCTGTGATCCTGTGCTCTGGGAGGCCAAGGCAGTAGGATCACTTGAGCCCAGGAGTTTGAGACCAACCTGGGCAACACAGTGAGACCCTATCTCTACGAAAAATTTAAAAATTAGCCAGTCATGGTGGCGTGCGCCCGTGGTCCCAGTTACTCAGGAGGTTGAGGCAGGAGGATTGCTTGAGGTTAGGAGTTTCAGGCGGCCGTGAGCCACTGAACTCCAGCCTGTGTGACAGAGCGAGACCCTCGACTCAAAAAACAAAACAAAGCAAAAAACCCAGTAAGTTGAGAGTCTTAAATGAACGCTTCTACTTTCACCTGACTTATAAACGTTGCGTGGGTAAGCTGACAGCAAAAAAGGTCCCCGGATGCTTAAAAAAGAAGCATGTGCTGTTACCATCACTTGTCAGTAGGTGGCAGAAACTCACCAGCTCGTCCGTGCCTTCCTGCCCGTGGAGCCAGCACATTTAAAAACAGCTTTCAATAATAATTAGAACACAACAACCCACTTAAAAAGACTTACTGAAATAAGAGCAGAATTAAAGAAGCCTGCATTCTACTAATAATTTTCTGCAGCATTTAGTTAGTCTTTAAAAAAAATACTTCTGAAAGAAAGTATAATCGACTTGTTTTTGTAAATCCTAAACTGGACATGCTAATTCTAATAAAATCCAAAGTGCTCTTTAAAAACCTCTGCAAATTGGTCAGGCACGGTGGCTCACACCTGTAATCCCAGTACTTTGGGAGGCCGAGGTGGGCGGATCACCTGAGGTCAGGAGTTCGTGACCAGCCTGGCTAACATGGAGAAACTCTGTCTCTACTAAAAATACAAAAATTAGCCGGGTGCGATGGTGGGCATCTGTAATCCCAGCTACTCCGGAGGCTGAGGCATGAGAATCGCTTGAACCCAGGAGGCGGAGGTTGCAGTGAACAGAGATAGTGCCACTGCACTGCAGCCTGGGTGACACAGCGAAACTCTGTCTCAAAAACAAAACAAAACCTCTGCAAATTAGTTCAGGATTAATCTATTGCCTGTTTATGTAATTACAATGGAAGACTGGTTGAAAAGAAACTGATCTGACATTGTTACTAGATAAAGGTGAATAAAGGGGAAATCCTTTGAAGGTGTTTTTCCCCCCCCTTTAAAATTACCAGAAATTTTATATCTGAAGAAAACAATGTGAGAAAGGTACTTGGTAGTGATGTTTTTTTCACTTCTCAGCCCATGTTACTAAGCAAAATTTCTTGGAACTGCTGTAGTGGCATCACTGATCCTCTGATTGTAGCAATAATGTAGCACAATGGCACTATCCAGGCACAAACAGCTTTTGTGCCGTGCTTCTTAAAGTTCTATCTGCTGTGTAAGCCACTGGTGGTACTGGCCACGGAATTAGCACTAACAGTGGGGCAATGACAGTTACAGTCTGTCTTTGAGGCCTGGCCAGGTTTCTTACAGGCTCTTGTCTGGGGGCCTGCTGGCATTTTCACAGTTGGAGAAAGCTGCAAGTGTTCTTGACAGTTTGTGATTACCAGTGCATGATCTAGAAAGCTTAATGAAAGCTTTCTAGCTTTCACTCAAAAAACCATCATGGGGGTTACCTCTGAGGATGCGCACTGGGGGCTTGCAGGGGTCATACCTTTGGATGTTTCACGGCGCTCACATATTACTGATCTAACACCTCCTCCACAGCCTCGTTTGGAGGGTGTTACAGCAGCTGCCTACTCTTGCCTGCCTTCCTTTGCTCAGACACCATTCTGCCAGAAGAACGCTCTACATCATTTTTCCCAGTTCTATGATGATCTTTCCTTCCAAGAGTCACACTTCCTACTTTAAGACAACCAAGTAGCTATACAGTCAGGAGCTCCTATTACAGGTGTTACTGATCTATTGACCAGGCATAAATAATGCAAGTTTACTAGCTCAATGGTGGTTCTTCCTTCTGAGGAAGGTTGACCTGCCCTGGAAACTGTAAGGACCAGGATATATGCACTGCCTGGAACTTAATTTGAACAAAGTAATAATTTGGAGAACTAGTTTGCTCTAAGGAACTACATCCCTTTACCTCCATCCTGTTTGATAGTTTGCAGATTAAGTGCTCTCCGTTTAGCCTGGCATTCATGGATTTTTATAGTCAGGACCCAACTAATTCTCCATAGCTCTTCTCCGAACAATCACGTCAGCCACACCGGTCTACTTGTCACCTCTGAACAGGCTTTCCTCTGTTTGGTGAATGCTATTCTGGTGCTGTTCACCATACATTACACTGGGATGCCTTCCTCTTTCCTGCTCCTCTCCCCAACTAGAGAGGTGAGTGGCAACCTTTTCCTCCTCTCCCCTCCTGCTTTTGCAGCAAACTGGGTCACACTGTTGTTCAGGTGGTCATTTGTTCCATTGAATGAGAATGCACAGCCTCATATGTCTGTTTTCTCTGGTAGACCATGTGGAACTCAAGGCCAGGGAGCAGTCATCAGAATGCAGTCAAGTGCCTGGCCAATAGCAGGCACTCAGTAAGTACTTGCTCTATTATCTTTAATGTCACTACCCCAAAAGGTTGTTTTCTAGTGTTGGGGTTGGGGCAAAAAGGGAAGTGAGGAAGGGTGTGGCACGAGGAAGTTAGTGGTTGCCAGGTCTGAGAGTATTGTGAAATAGTCTGTTTGTCAATATGTATGTTGGAAGTAGTTTTTACCAGAATGAGTAACAGATGAGAAAGCAGCTAATTGCAAAGACAATAGGATTTCTTGGCAGCATGAGGTTTCCCTTTCTCTTTATGGAGGAAGAGAAAGATTTCCATGGGGGTGTTTACCATTGAAAGCCTTCACAGATGTAGTTTCTGAGTTTGCCTGTTAGATGAGGAAAGTGGAGGAGACAGGAGTCTATCAATGAGGAAGGAGATTTAGTCTCAGGCCTGAGAAACCCCATGGAAGAAACCAAGCGTTCAGGTGGACTCTCAGGAACATCAGGCAGGAGAGCAAGAACAACAGAGAGAGGAGGAGATGGAGGAGCAGGAGCAACAGCAAGTTCATCAGTCCATCAGGGCTGCGATGTAGCGGGGTGGCCAGGTCCCCCAGTAGGTGGCAGGGACTCCAGCATCATCTCCTCCCTGAACACCAAGCCTGAAGCTCCAGATCTGGTCCGAGGGTGGTCCCTTTCCTCCCCATCCCACTCCTAGGGTGTCTCTGTGCTAGGTTGGAGAGGATCTGCCCGTGAGGGAGACCATTCTTTGAGCAATGGTTTATATTGTCTGCTCAGCTCTGAACTTCCCTCATAACATGGAGTTAGAGGTGGGAATGCATTAGGAACAAAGAACCCTGGAATTCAGTTTCTTGTCTGACTCCAATTTAAGTGTGACTCCTGGGACAAGTCATTTAGCCTCTCTAGGCCCCTATTTCCCATCTGTAAAATCAGGAAATTACCATCCCACCAAAAATAGATGCACTTGATAATACTGAGCATCAGAAATAGGAGAAATATAGTACTTTTTTATATTAGCAGTGATAGGTGATGTGCATGATTTGAATTACTGTTAGGCTGCGAGACTCTGCGACTGTGCTAGTCTGTGTGGGTGGCGTCTGAGAGTTGGGGGAAGTAGAGGGAAGGTTTTCTGCTAAACACTGATTCAGGGCAGTTATTTTCCAGAATTGATCAGGCTGCTGATAGAATCATCCTCAAAGTTAAAATAAAAATTCCAGGGCCCACGTGGGACTATGGACCTGCGTGATTTTGGAACCACTGACTCAAGTGAGGACCCAAAAATGTAGAGAATGGACCTAAAAAATGGAAAAAAGCACAGATGCCAGACTCAGTAGCAAAGCAAGTGTTGAAACTTAACACTGAATACTAAACTGATTCCCTACCGGATCTGCCGGAAGAGAAGCATGCAGCCATTTGGGAAGCTGAGGGTCAAGGTCATTTATATTCCAGGTATTCTCAGACAGGCTCTTACATGTCAGTGCCTAGTGCTTGACAGAATAATTTCCCTCCTGAGTTAGATGATTCATTGGAAAATGAAGCCCTCCTGTCGAGCCCTTTCAAAAAAAAGTCTCCTTTCTTTACTCCCTTAATTGCAGAAAGTAGAAAGAAGGTGATTAAATCCCCATTAGCAACCCAGGGATCAAGCTGCTAAGAAACCTCAGAATTGCATAAGCACCAGCCCTCTTCACTGCAGTCAGATGGGCCAAAACTTGGAAGAGAAATTGACTTGCTGTGATGGCCGCTCATTTGACAGCCATGCCTGGCCACTGAGCCGTAAATCTGACAACACCTGAGCAATGCTCTATTTTCTAAAACCAGACTTCGTTTTTGTTCTGAAGATGCTGTGGTTTAACTCAATAATGTGTCTAGTTTGGAACTTTCTGGAATAAATACCAGAAAGGCACTGGGAGGGGAAAAATTCTCTGTGGGTTTAACACCAAGATTTACAAAATTTCATAGTTAGTTTGCTAGAAACATGAGGAGCTAAAGGAAGAATTTAAAGATCACCCCAAAGAAGCCAACAGACAAGCTAGAATGTGGGACATTCTGTACAATGGTTTCTACAGCAAGTCAAGGGTAGAAAAAAAGGTAGGGAGAGGTTTGTTTTAGATTAAAGGAAATCTAAAAGATATACCTAACAACCAATTGTAATGCATGGACCTTGTTGGGATCCTAATTTGAACTAATCAAATGTACAAGGCATTTTTGAGACAACGGGGGAAATCTGATAATGGAATGGGTTAATAACCAGGGTTTATTATTTTTGTTAGCTGTGAAAACGTGACAGTACTTGGCATCGTGGTTATGTAAGATGACAGCCCCATGCTTTAAGAGATGCATACTGAAGTGTATAGCAGCAGACTGACATATCTGGGTTTTATTTCATCAAAGGACTTCTCTTTTATCAAAGGAAAAACAAAAGCAAAGAGATGGAGCAAATGTGGCAAAATCTTGCTAATTATTACATCTAGGTGATGGGTTTATGGGGGCTCATTATAATGTTCTCTCCACTTCTGTGTATGTTTGAGATTCTGTCATAATATTTTTGTGTGTGTAGGTAAGCCTCAGGATGAGAAGCATCAGTAAACTATCAAAAGTGGGGTGGGTTGAGAGTGGGTGGCGCTGCGTCTTTGCAAGGAAAATAAAAATAGCATGGGCTCTCAAACTTCAAGGAGCTCTGCACTCTGCAGAGATGGCTCCTTATTCTCTCTAAACAAGGAAAATAATACCTTTCATCTTGATGGAGAATTCTCCCAGCAGATTCTCTAGCTCCACTTCAATGGTGCACATATTCTGCAAAGAGGACAGGAGACGATCATGAGAGCTAGCCTTTCACCCAACAGCTCAAAGCACACGACGTTCGAACAGCAGCACAACCACTGCGTGAACAACGAGAAGCATTTACCTGTTTGCTCCACACAGCACAGCCTAAGAAACATTCTTGACAAAATGTTTGATCTGAGTCTAAGCCCACCTTTTAGTGTACAGGAAATTTAGGGCATAGATGAGCAAGTCAGATTATATCAAAAATAGACACATTCAGAATGTGGGGTAGTCTATAGGAATTAGCATGAATTCTACAAAAAGGCAGTATCATAGGGGAAAAAATTTCTACATAAAGAGACTAGACAAACATAATCACCAAATGTAACAACTTAACCTTGATAATATCCTGATTTGAAAGTAAATAAATCAAAACATTTATAAAAGACATTATTGATCCAAATAGGGAAAACTTGAAAATGGACAATATGTTATATAATTCTATGGGATGATTGTCAATTTTCTTGGTTGTAGTAATGGTATGTGGTTATGTAGGAAATGTAGATATTCCATAGGTTACTATTAAGAGATCCCTGGCTTGATTTAGCCATTGTATTACATATTTCTGTGCATACACACTTCAAAACATCAAGTTGTATACCATAAATATGTAGTTTTTATTTGCCAATTACAAATAAATTTTAAAAAGAGATCCAGGTTAAAATACATATAGGGTGAAATGTCATGATGTCTATCACTTACTGTCAAATGACTTGAGGGGGATTTGATCATATGAGAGAGAGGGAAAGCAAATATGGCCAAATATTACCAATTGGTAAATCTAGATAAAGGCATATGGTGTTCAATGTACAAGTCTTTCAATTTTTCTATAGGTTTGAAATTTTTCTTAAAAATTTGGGGCCAAAAGAGCACAAGGGCTGAATTCTGCTCAAGTGAGTAAGGCAGACTTCCTACTGCAAACCTACAGCGCCCCAAAAATTATTTTTGGGTCTGACAAGGGTCTTCTCTTTGATGTTGAAGGAAAAGGATAGAGAGAAGGAGTAACACCATCTGTGCATGTGGTTAGATACATAACTAGCCTCACCCTACTTCCTCAATACCTGAGGACCTAAATAGAACAATTGCAGTTAGAAATGAAAAGGGAAAGTGCTGCGGCCATGGGCCATCCCCAGGGAGGCCCTTCTGCTGCTTGACCAGCTTACAATCTGGATGCTGCCTCTGCTATGCTAAGCAGCAGTCTCCATTGAAGCTTGATGCAGGGTGATGTCTGCAGGCTTCTCCCTCAGTTGCCAGCCTCCCACAAGGCTAGGGGTTCGAGGGTGGCCTCACTGACAAAAGCATGGCCAGCTTGATTAGTGCAGGCTGGTATTGCTTCCATTTGAATTCTGTATGCTGAGGACCTCAGCCTAGAGGTTCTGATTCTTCTATGTTTCGTTGTTCTGCTCCAAATGATCACTCTCATGGGATGCAAAGAGAATGGCATTGCTTTTTCCCTTGTAAATTCTCACTACCTGAACTAGCTAGCAAGGCTGGGGAAAACTTCCTGAAGTCTGAGCTCTGCGTAGCTTGAAAGCCTTGAAAACAAAGCCTCAGTATTATAAACCAATTTATTTCCTCAGAGTATTGGGCACTTCTGTGAAGAAACAGTTTCCAGACATATCAACTATGCTATCATGCATGTCAGGATTGCTACCAGTATCTCTGAAAAACGTGAGAGCAGCTAGGTTAAGACTTGAGGACATCCATGGTCAAAATTTTCCTCCCCCGACCACTGGCACCCCCCCACCACCCACAGCCACTGATGAACATTGCTGCACACGAAAAAGCACCTGAGCCTACCTTGACCTCATTGTTAAATCCTCATTTTAAACCATCATCATAATAACATGCTGGCTTTTGTGGTTATGTGAGGATGTATTTCTTTCTTGCTTTTTTGTTTTTTTGAGATAGAGTCTCTATCTGTCACCCAGGCTGGAGTGTAGTGGCGCCGTCTCAGCTCACTGCAACCTCTGCCTCCCAGGTTCAAGCGATTCTCCTGCCTCAGCCTCACGAGTAGCTGGGATTACAGGTGCCCGCCACCACGCCCGGCTAATTTTTGTATTTTTAGTAGAGACGGGGTTTTGCTATGTTGGCTGGGCTAGTCTTGAACTCCTGACCTCAAGTGAACCTCCCAACTTGGCCTCCCAAAGTGCTGGGATTACAGGTATAAGCCGCTGCACCCGGCCATGAGGATATAAAACCACCTGATACCAAATGAGGTATGAGGCTACAGAAGTCCTGGACTTCTTTCTTCTCTAAGGCAGTTTAAATTGCACTCTATGTCTTTGAATTTGTGAGCAAGGTCATGATGCCATGCCCTGGCACTTGATCAAGGGTGGCTGTGTCTGAAATGACCTGCAAATATGCCAACAAAGGCAGCCCCTGCATTCTGCTGGTCAGTTATCTGCATTTGTCCTATAAACATCCTTTATAATTGGAAACGGCTCTCCTCATTTCAGAGATCTGTAGAAATGGGGTCTCGTGAACTAGGACTGCTTCTAGGCCAGGAATTTTCAATCTGCAGCTCTACAAAGTAGGATGGGGGAGGGTGGGAAGAGTCAGATCTTTATTTTCACTATCATTTAACTGAAATTAAACATGTTTAGGTATGATGAAGGTAGAAAACAAGCCACAGCAGTATTAGCCATACCTGTGACTTTGACACTGATAGAAATCACATATATGTTCATGTCACATTATTTATTGCAGATAACTTTTTAAAAAATCATTTATACTTTTCATTACTTTGATGTTTCAGTAGTTATTAGAGCCACTACTAGATCTTATAATTTGATGTGTTAATAAAGCAGCAGCATAGAACTATGTCACATATTTGACTTTTGAAATATTTTGAAAACTATACTGATGATTTTGAAATAACTGTATTTCAATATATTTTCTTCTTTTCAATTCCTATGTATTTTATTTTATGCATTTAAAAAACATTATTCTAGGCCGGGCTCAGTGGCTCATGCCTGTAATCCCAGCACTTTGGGAGGCAGAGGCGAGTGGATCACCTGAGATCAGGAGTTCGAGACCAGCCTGGCCAACGTATAGTAAAACTCCGTCTCTACTAAAAATACAAAAATTAGCCGGGTGTGGTGGCACACACCTGTAGTCCCAGCTACTTGGGAAGCTGAGGCAGGAGAGGTACTTGGGAAGCTGAGGCAGGAGAATCACTTGAACCCGGGAGGCAGAGATTGCAGTGAGCCAAGATCGCGCCACTGCACTCCAGCCTGTGTGACAGAGCAAGACTCTATCTCTCAAAAAATAATAAAAAAATTATTCTAAAGGAGGAACTTAGGTAAAGAAGCCCTGCTTTAAGTCAAATAAAGAGAGAAACTTGGTTTAGACAAGAGGCAACACGGGAGTGTACACACAAAGGGATCCTACTGACAGTCATCCAAGCTGTCCTTCTGATCCCAGGGCTGAACCAGATGCTCAGCTCTGGGAATTGTCCAACAGACCCTCTACAGGCTGATGACTTCATTCATGAAATCTGATCTCTGAACAAAGACTCATGGGATAGTGAGGAGTGCTGCTTTAATAATTTAGTCATTTCATCAAAGACATTGGTATTAGGTGACCCCAGGAGGAGTGAAGACCTCTCTATGTCAGATGCTTGGGCCCCAGAGAGTTGGAAACCAGGAAAGCACACTTCTGTTCATGGTTCTTAATCTTGGCTCCTTTATGATAAAAATTTCTCACAATTAAAAAAAACATTGTAGGCAGAGGGTTACTGATCCAACACTGACATCCAGTGTAGCTATCTGAACCATAGGGTCTGCTCCACTTCCAGGGATAAAACTAGGCTCGATTTACACTAGAATATTTAGAAGTGTGTTTAAATGACACAAATCAGGGCAATGTGGTTTACGCATTCATTTTATTTTATTTTAGAGATGTGGCCTCGCTCTGTCACCCAGGCTGGAGTGCAGTGGCGCGATCGTAGCTCACCGCAGCCTTGAACTCCTGGGCTCAAGCAATGCTCTTGCCTCAGCCTCTTGAATAACTAGGACTACAGGCACATGCCGCCACTCCCAGCTTATTCATTCATTTTAAGCAATTCTACCGATTGCCTTTCTTGCATACTTTTTAGGCTAACAGTAAAACCTATCTTTCTAGAGGGTGGAATGAGGTTGTGGGTTGCTGTTTGCCTTGTTCTTGGCAATTACCAACAATTCACACCAGGCCAGATGGGATTCGGCAACTTAAGCAGGTTAGGGAGTTATACCTCTGTGTACTCCTTGAAGCTCCGATTGATCTCTGTCAGACTCTCCCGGGCAGCTTTGCTGGCAGGGGATGTTGCGAAGGCTTGCTTCATTTTGCTGGCACCATCCTGGAGGCGTCGCTGGATACAATAAGCTTCATAGAGTTCATCTACCTGCCAGAATCAAAACAGGAAACAGAAATAAATGTCAGGCTTGAAAGAAAATACATAGATCATTGTTACATGCTTAATTTACTTTATATTTCTGACCTCTACAAAGAGAATCCTGTAGAAGTATTATCCTTTTAGATAGGGACCAATCGTTTTTATTGTAGCCACTGTGATACATTTTGTCTCAAAACAGATTTTGCTCTAATCCTGTTTTCAAATTATGCAAAAGGGAAGTGCCTCTCTTGCATTGTTTGAGGCTATCATTGGAATTGTTTAAAATGACTCCCAGGTGACTTTGTGGGTTCATGGGTGGACTGTAAGTATTAAATAAGAAAGATGAGAGCTTTCTGTAAGTATTAAATAAGTATTAAACAAATAAGTATTAAATAATAAAAATAATTAAGTATTAAATAAGACTGTAACTATTAAATAAGGAAGATGAGAGCCTTCTGTATATAGAACAAACACTGAAAGGGTTTGTACAATTTCATACCAAGGTGAAAACTTTGTAGTATCCTAGGCTAATATCACTTTAAGAGGTAGTGTCACAATATTAGGATTTGTAATCCTGATATTTACACATCCAGATTTAGTATTTCATAAAGTAACTTGGGGATATATATTGAAGATAACTTTTGTAAAGTCTTGGCTCAACTGTAAAGGAAAAAGTTATTCTTAAAATTAGGGTAAAACACAATTATCTAAATATATCAAACTGAACACTTAAGAACTCAACTCTTTTTCGTGTAAATTATGTGACAATTACAAAAAAATAAATTGAAGCAATATAAATGAACTTTTCTTTTGCTACACATCTACACTTATGCTTCTAAATAATAACAATATACCCTTTTCAAATGACTATTGATTTTATACTCATATAAGCCTGATAATCAGCTAATTCTTCTAAGGCAGTGATTCTCAATCAACCCAAGGCAATTTTGACCCCCAGGGGTCTACTGGCATCTAGTGGGTAGAGGCCAGGCATGCTGCTAAACATCCTATAATGCAGAGGACAGCTTCCTGCAATAGAGAATTATCCCCAAATGCCAGTAGTGCTAGGGTTGAAAATTTTTTTTTTTTTTTTTTTGAGATGAGGTCTTGCTATGTTGCTCAGGCTGGTCTCTAACTGCTGGGCTCAAGTGATCCTCTTAACCTCCCAAGTAGCTGAGACTACAGGTGCACATCATTGTGCTTAGCTAAAAAAAAAACCTGTTCTAAAGTTATTCCTAATGATATTTATCTCTATAAGTCTGGTACTATCTTTAACTGACTGCAGTTAACTACAAGAATTTTCAGGCGGATAACAAACAACAATACCATCAGGCATTGTCAAAAGCAAATAAAACCTGTTGCTTTGGGGAGGCATACTTACCTAGCACTATTTGAATTTTCATTTCAGTATGAACTTTGTTTCTTCAAAAAGGAAGCTTAACTATAGATCCAGAAGAAGGTGGAGATGCATATACTAGATTTCAGAGTTTAAGAGTCCCGTTTTGTTCTGAAGGCAAACTTTTGGCTGCTCACTAAAAAGCATTACTATAACCTGTTTGAGGATTACAATTTTCCATAATTGCATTCTCTACACAGATATCAATGACACTTAGTTTAGAATGCAAACATGAAGAGACTAAAAATTATTCTCTTGATTAAAGGATTCTTTGTTGCTATTTACTTCAACAATGCACTCAACTCTGCTGAGAAGAATGCCCAAACTGAAAAGAATCATCTTTAATCTTCAGGGTCAGTGGATTTATCTTTGATTAAGAGGGAGATATAAGACTCAAGGAGTGTCCTATCTGCTGATGACATCTTTTGGTTGATGGTTGGCATAGAGTGTGGTTTCCGTGCTTTAAAGCTAAGCCTCATCTGGTGAGCTTGGTAAAATGCTGATGCCCAGGCCCCACTCTGAGATGCTGATTCAGTAGGTTAGGGCTGGGCCAGGAATCTGAAATTTTAAATAAACATTGCAAATTGTTCTGATGTGGGAGATCCCCACAAAACTTTTAGAAACCCAAGTGCTAATATCTCTTCCAATGCAGGTCAGGCTATGTCACCCATGTGGTCTTCTGGGGAACTGCCCTTGCAACCCTTTCCCCTACTAGTGGGTACGCCAAAGTTTCTGAGCTTGTTATCCTTTCAATAAGGAGACAGTGCCCACAGGACCATCGGTATAGCCATAATGACTTAATCTATTACTTTGTGTAGTGAGAAAGTTTATTCTTTGTTTTTGCTTAAATATCAACCTATCCTAGCCAAATGGAATTAAACTTTTGGATAAAGTATACCTAGGTAGTC
This sequence comes from Homo sapiens, assembly GCF_000001405.40. Classification (NCBI taxonomy): domain Eukaryota; kingdom Metazoa; phylum Chordata; class Mammalia; order Primates; family Hominidae; genus Homo; species Homo sapiens. Next base: position 24,867,746 of record NC_000006.12, read on the forward strand.
ACCTTAGCAGAAGGCCATTTGTAGGCAAGCATTTATCTTACCTATCAGTCAGCAGTGGCTCATTAAATAAACTGATTAATTGAATCATTCAATTACATATAATTTGTTAGGCGTCTGAATATAAGATATTGCAAACAGAAAGAGTACCACTGACCTTTGAAAACCATTGGGATTGTTGTATCTAACAACCATGGATGCAAGATTGATAAATATACCCTTACCTAATACTGATTGTTTTCTTGCTGTTTTTTGAATTAAACAATAATATGTCAAAGCTTGCCTGCCACATAAATACCTTCTGATGGATGTCATTGTTTTATTTATTGAGTTTAGCAGAAATAGGAGCAATTTCAGATTTGCCTAGGTAGTAAATATCTTTCAAAGCAAGAATGTACGAAGGCAGTAGCATATACATGTATATCCATACATACAAATCATCCTAGAATTTTAAACCAGAAAGGATTCTTAGGATCATGTAGATCAAATCTGTGTACCTCCCCAGCTCCACTTCACAGAGTAGAAAGCCAAGATTCACATAGATGACATAGCAAGTGAGTAGGTGGCAGAGCTGGGAATAGAACCTAGGGCTTCTGACTCTTAGAGAGATCTGCTAAAACTCCCAGGCTCCCCACTTGGAAGAGAGGCTGATAGATATAGACAAACAGGAATTGATAATGGTGTGATTTAGCTGCCTCTAAAGGTAAATATTTTCTAGGTGGCACCAATAACTCCTGATAGTGCCCAGAACAAGGGGGTGATAGTCAGCCTCATTGGACCACCAGTGAACTATGGGGTTCAGGGCTGGGTGTCAGGGACACTGACAAAGTAGTGCACATCTAGGGGAGAGAGGATAAAATGGCACCCGAAAACCATGCCATATGAGGGAGAGTGGAAAGAGCCAAGGGCTTGAGAGAGATTGAGGGAGGCGCTGAGACAGTGGTCTTTTGGTAGTTATAAGGCCTTCATGAAGAAGTTTACGGGGCACCAAGTGTTATGTGGAACCAGAGTGTAAAGTTAGACAAACATGAAGTTTTTTGTAGGGCTAGTTTGATTGATAGTTTATCTCTAAGCACTCTACACTGAGGCTGGAAGTAACTGTGCCTGTTACTTAGCACTTAATAAATGTTTGTGGAACTGAGGTAGAGTCAAAACTGTGCTGGGCCATCAGGCCTTCCATTCTTATTGTTCCTCCATCTTTAGTGCCCACTTGATGACGTAATTGCTAGTCAGCTTAGGAGTCAATTGGATAGGAAGTTCTCCACGCACTAGATACTACGCTCAGCCCAAAGGTGTATTTGATTAGCAACAGAACTGAAAAACAGGCAATGAGAACAGGAATTTCAGTTACCTTACTTATATGAAACTCCAGGCGTCTCATGTATCTTTCAATTGTTTTAATTTGCTGGAATTAAAAGAAGTTTGAAAAAGTACAGTCATTTATAGTTCAATTGACTTAGGCTTGTGAGAATATCTTGATTATATCATACTCAAAAGTATTAGAAAATCCAATATATTTCCCCTTTCCTTCTATCTTTGAAGCTATTTTAGAGATTCTCTAATACCAATTTGGATTTTTTTTTTTTTTTTTTGAGATGAAGTTTCGCTCTTGTTGCCCAGGCTAGAGCACAATGGCACAATCTGAGCTCACTGCAACCTTTGCCTCCTGGGTTCAAGCGATTCTCCTGCCTCAGCCTCCCAAGTAGCTGGGATTACAGGTGCCCGCCACCATGCCTGGCTAATTTTTGTATATTTAGTAGAGACGGGGTTTCTCCATGTTGACCAGGCTGGTCTTGAACTTCTGAGCTCAGGTGATCCACCTGCCTTGGCCTCCCAAAGTGCTGGGATTACAGATATGAGCCACCATGCCCGGCCCTGGAAATTTATTTTTTTAATATTGAATAAATATTTTGAGAAGTGAACTTGAATTAGTTATCGGAATCCTTGTGTTTAACATGAAGAAAGGCCAATCCAATGGAAGTCATTAGATTCTGACAGAACAGTATCATATTGGAGTATATTTAAATTTCTCCATAATAATATATTTTGTCTTCTAAGATTGGTTTTTTTTCCCATTCACATTTTAGTGTCTTTGAAATTGGGGTGCATTTTACAATTGCTACCGGCAGACAGCTGCCTGTACAAGCTCAAAGATAATCATAGTTGTTCATGTGTCATCTCTTTGAGTTGTAATTATTATTATATGCATTTATTTGCCTTTTAAAATGTCTTCAAAAAGAACACACTATGATTCAGCATTGAAATAAAATTATTGTGCACATAGAAAGGCATGGAGCAGCACCGTATATAAATTTTTTTAAAAAGAAAGAGAAAAAAAATCTGTGTCTAAACAGACCTAACAGTTTTCTTGATAACTATAAAATGCAAATTTTAGGTAAAATGAAACAACTGTCAGATTTTAACTGGAATCCTTTTTTTCTCTTCATGGCACATGAAATAATGGTGCATTTTCTAATCAACAATGACTCAGATTTGATGAAGTATAGTAATTTATATTCAGAGACAACACAGGTAAAGGCCTCCAAACGCCTGGGAAGTTCTTAAACTTATAAAAACACTACAACCCAGTGGCATTTTAATGGAAGTGACCTTAAACACTTTATTTAATCTATAGATCACAGTACTTGTTCATTATCCTCATCAGACAAAAGTATGCATTTTTCCAGGATTCAAAAAACTATTAGTTCTCTAGGATTTTACTGTCTCTAAGAGGGTCTCCCATTGACTTCTCAAAGATGCAGAGTTTTGTTTTATTTTTTGAGACAGGGTTTTGCTCTCTCAACCCAGGCTGGAGTGCAGTGGGTGCAATCACGGCTCACTGCTGCCTCGACCTCCTGGCTTCAGGTGATCCTCCCACCTCAGCCTCCTGGGTAGCTGGGACCACAGGCACACACTACCATGCCTGGATAATGTTTTGTATTTCATTTTTTGGTAGAGATGGGATTTTGCCACATTGCCCAGGCAGGTCTCAAACTCCTAAGCTCAAGTGATCCACCCACCTCGGCCTCCCAAAGTGCTGGGATGACAGGCGTGAGCCACCGTGCCCAGCAAGGATGCAGAATTTTTTTCTTATTAGCACCCCAACACGGAATGGCAACTTACCTTGTCTAGGTCATACAGTACACCCTACAATAAAAAAAGGAATATCTGCATTTAAACATTATCCTTCAAAAGGTTACCCATCTTAACAGAATGATTTAGCCCACATTTGCACATTATCTGTGGAAATAATGATCATCCCTACAAAATTCTACTGGATGTTTTACTTTAAAAGAATAAAAACTTGGGTTATTTTGCTTTAAAAGAATAAAAACTTGGGTTATTTTAAATACCAGTAAGAGTACATTTAAGAGCTGACATTTATTTACAGTCTGTTTCTAGCATTGCATGCAGTCCTCCCTGCCCCTTGGGATCTCTAAAGTTTTCACTTGCTTTGAGCTCTCCCGTCCTACCTATTGAAGGGCATGTAAATTCATGGTCATTAAAAAAAATTTAAAATAAATGGTACGAATATAAAACATAGCAGTGGCATATGTGTTAAAAAATACCTGCCTCGCTGTCTAAACAAATAAAATTGATATTTAAGAAGAGTTTTGTTTTGTTTTTGAGACAGAGTTTCGCTCTTTTGCCCAGGCTGGAGTGCAGTGGCACGATCTCGGCTCACCGCAACTTCCTCCTCCCTGGTTCAAGCGATTCTCCTGCCTCAGCCTCCTGAGTAGCTGGGATTACAGGCACCCACCACCACGCCCAGCTAATTTTTGTATTTTTAGTAGAGACAGGGTCTCGCCACGTTGGCCAAGCTGGTCTTGAACTCCTGACCTTGGGTGATCCACCCGCCTCAGCCTCCCAAAGTGCTGGGGATTACAGGTGTGAGCCACCACGCCCGGCCTTAAGAAGAGTTCTTGAGGCTGTGATAAGCTTTTCTCAAATTGTTTTTAAAGCCAGCTCATTTCCTGTGTGCTCATAGTATCATAGTATAATCAGTGCACTATCCTCATATCCTCTAATTGAAGGATTTTTACGGAACATGAGGTCTTGGCAGAAGCCCCTGCATTTGTTCACTGTTGTTTTCCAGGAGAGATATTTGCAGCCACTGAGGATGGTCAAGCGCATTCACCAGCTCTGAAAGCCCTGACACAGGGGTTCCACATAGATGCAGGCAATTTATATCCTAACATCAGTAGAACATAAAAATTTTTAACATTGATAAAGCCTTGAATCTCTAAGCCTTTGAAAAGGACAACAGTATACATTTGAGCACATTTCCTACAAAAGAAAAAGACAGCAGCTATGAATGTCTAGCTGCACCTCCTAGGACTATGTTGAGTTTTCTTGGGCTGATTTCTTGAAACAGTGAGGTATAATATGTAGAGTTGAACAAAATCATTTAAAATAGTGTAGACATTAGAACCACCTCTTCAATCACACAAGTCCTCACAGATTCATGAGAATAGAAGAAATTTGCAACATAATATGTACTTGATCTGGTCTAAGAACTCTTAACTTCTCATGGTGGTTACTCCTTTGAGCCTCTTTTCCCTCCCTGATTTTACTGATTATATTTTTTAAAAATTGGAGTAAAAGTTCTAGATTCCAAATTATTTATATTAATTTTTTATATTTTTTAAAAACACAGACGGGGGGTGGGTCTCACTTTGTTGCTCAGGCTGGTCTCGAACTCCTGGCCTCAAGCGTTCCTCCCGCCTTGGCTTCCCAAAGTGTTGGGATAACAAGCATGAGCTACCGTGCCTGGACCCAAATTCTGTATGTACTAACAATATGCTAGGAAAACTTCAACTTTTCATTTCCTTGTATTATTTAGGAGGGTGGTAGAGGACATTAAAAATTTTTTTCCTGATTATAAAGTTTCATGAAGATATACATTTAAAAAATGATCTCATAAACATGCTTGGAAAATATTGAAAAGTATTAACTAGAATGCATTAAGAAGAAAACATACCCTTCTTTTTCCTTCTAAGACATACTGGGGGATGCAGATAGTACTCTGCCCCTTGGATCTGCTTTTCTCAAACATTCCTCCCCAGCCCCATCCAGTAAAAGAAGCTATTTGGCTAAAAAGAACAGTGTTAACATCATAATGACTGCATAGTACCTACCAGGCGAGAGTTTCTTTTCATATCTTTTAACTGAGCTGTCAACTTGTCCAGCTCCGTCTGGTGAACCTCCAGATATTCACTGCAAAGATAAGACAAGATGTAATCGTAATCTCTGCGCCTGTTAAGTGGAATCTGGTGCTGTTGCTGACTTTTCCTTCTCAAAGGGGATTAAGAATTGAACCTTGCTCTGTAGTTGGGCAGGAGGCTTTGTATTTTCCCAGTCTTTCAACATTTTGAAAGGTCTAGCAGTGGCACTGGATACTATCCAGCTGGGAAAGTAGAAAAGGAGAAAAAAGCTGAAAGTCGAGAAAAGAAAAACCAGTGGGGAGGCAAGGGGCAAGAGGTCTGTAGAGTCAGCCCTGGCTCTGGCCTGACAGAATTCTATCTAGTCAAATAGAACAAATAGTGAATGTCCCATTGCACACTAGGAAAGTCTTATTCTGGGTTCACAATCCCTGTAAGATATCAGGGAGGTTTCAGAACCCTCCTTCAGCAATGTCTAGAATGGATATGTCTGTCCATCATTGTTTAAGTGAAACTCAATACTGCACAGGGTTCCAGGTCTCCATCAATGTTATGAATATGATGTGGAATACCAATATATTTCCCATCTCTGGGACTTATGTCAGGCTTCCCTAATTGTGGTACAAGAATAAAATACCTCCTACAGAAATAGACATCTGAAAAATGATCTCATAAGACCAGCTTTTCTCTGACCCCTTGGGTCTTTCCTTAAAGTACATTATCAGGTTCAAGTTCTTACTCAAGTCCATTTTTCAAGGCCCTGTAGACTTCTTCCACCCTTTTAGGCTGAGGCTCTTTGGGGGGATTGTTGTTTTTGTGGCCTAAATTGTGCATTTTCTTCAGTTTGGCCTGAGGCTTCTTGAGAGCGGAGGAATTTTCAATGAAGGAGTTACACCTATGGAAAGAACAGAAGAAATTGTGAGGATTGGGCATCCAAAAGGATTTGACCAAAGAAAAATGTCTTCTATTATTTACTTGTTTGTTTTAGAGACAAAGTCTTCTTCTGTCATCCAGGCTGGAGTATGGTGGTGTGATCATAGCTCACTGCAGCCTTGAACTCCTGGACTCATGAGCTCAAGTGATCCTCAGCCTCCCAAGTAGCATGTGCCACCACACCCAGCTAAATAGTTTGTTGTTGTTTAAAGAGAGGGGGTCTCAGTTTGGTGCCCAGGGCAAAGTGCAGTGGTCCAATCATAGCTCACTGCAGCCTTGAACTCCTGGGCTCAAGTGGTCCTCCTGCCTCAGCCTCCCGAGGTACTGGGACCACAGGCATGCACCACCACACCTGGCTAATTTTTTTTTTCTTTGTAGAGATAGGGTCTAGCTTCAGGCAATCCTCCTGCTGTGGCCTCTCAAAGTGCTGGGATAATTTTTTAAAACATTTTTTGTAGAGATGGGGTCTTGCTATGTTGCCCAGGCTGGTCTTGATCTCTTGGCTTCAAGCAATCCTCCAGCCTTAGACTCTCAAAGTGCTGGGATTACAGGCATGAGCCACTGTGCCTGACCAAGAAATGTCTTTGTAATCATCTTGTGTTCACACTAGTGTCCTTTGCAGAAGGTAATGTTCCCAGATCTGAGCCATCCTGCATTTAGTTTCTTAGTATTAGATTTGTTAACTGCTGAAACCTGAAAGCTCTGTTGGGCAGAGGCTACCTAGAGTCAAAGTCTGGCTTCAGGGAATGTGTATTCTGAGTGGAAATGTATTGCTTTTCTAAAACATCATAGGAAGCTAAGGGCAAAGAGTTCCAGGTGGACATAATAAACAGGCAGAAGGATATAATCCAACTAAAAAGATACATGCACTATGCAATTTTAGGTACAAGTGTCTATGAAATTCAACGAGGATGTGAATAAATTCTTTTCGATAAGGGACCATAAGCATGACAAATAGCTAATTCTATATGACATTAAAATACACGTAGCTTTTTTAAAAGCTTTATTTTTAGGAAGCAAATTACTGATTAGGTATAACTTATAAAATTTCAACATCTCTAGTAGTGCCAGGGATACAGCTTGCAGCGGTAAGATGGATATCTGATAACTTAAAACCAGAGTACTGATCTAATTAGGAGATGCAGAGGCTAGGCCACTCACTGACCCAGCTATCAGTAGGAAAGCCGAGACCTCCGAGGCCGGAAGGTGCCTACTGCACCCCTCCCAGGTTAGTTATTCGTTATACTCTCTGCCATCACCGTGTGCACAAATGGGACAATACAGGTTAAAGCACATAGGGCCCCTCAGAGGGCAAAGACCTTTATGATAACAGAAAAACTGAAGATAAACTTGGTTACATGTTGCTTATTCACTGTCTGTTCTTTCTTTCTTAAGTTCCCCTAAGTCCTGTTTCAGATGAGAGGAGATTCAGGAAACTAGAAAAACTAACTTTGGCAACCTCTGTCTGAATTACATCTGCTCCCCAGAGTCAATCTGCAGAGGCAGAATCATTATCCACTGCATGATTTCATAGCAAACATAGTCTCCAAAGTCTGAATGCAATGGAAAATGTGCTTCAAAAAGGGGTGGAAGGAGGGGTAGTGAGAGGTCTATGCATATATCACTAGTTTGTCCTAAATCCTCAGCCATCATCCTTGCAGGAGGAATTCTAAATGATAGAAAATAAACTATAGCACTTAATTTTTAGTACATCCTTTCCATGAAAAAGATTAAAATGGGGAGGAGGCCGGGGGGCGGTTTGACAAGGCTGAATGCACACAGACCCTCTTCACAACATCAAAGTTCACTTCCTTGGCAAGCTGCATCCCGGGAGAGAACCACACAGTACTTGCCTGGATCGCCTTTCCTGGAGGCCGCTGAAACCCGCAAAGGACTGGCTTCTAATGATCCCATTGGGCCCTCCAGGCGAAAAAGACTGGGATCCTACCAACATGATTTCCGGGAGTCTGGTCGGTAGTCCTAGAAGACAGTGGAAAGATCATGACAATTTATAGGCAGGTTCAGACAGAAGATGCACTAAGCTTGTCAACAATGATAAAGGATGTAAAGTAAGCCATGAGACTGTTAAGTGCTTGTGAGGTTCTTTATTATGGAGTGTCCTGAAGACGAAGGGTTCAACTCTCAAAAGAATAAAAAAGATACCCATCTATGGCCAGGTGCGGTGGCTCACACCTGTAATCCCAGCACTTTGGGAGGCCGAGGCAGGTGGATCACCTGAAGTCAGGAGTTCAAGACCAGCCTGGGCAACCTGGTGAAACCCCATCTCTACTAAAAATACAAAATTAGCTGGGCGTGGTGGCGCATGTCTGTAATCCTAACCACTCGGGAGGCTGAGGCAGGAGAATTGCTTGAACCCAGAAGGCGAAGGTTGCAGTGAGCCGAGATCGCCCCACTACACTCCAGCCTGGGCAATAAGAGCAAAACTCTGTCTAAAAAAAAAGAAAAGAAGAAAGAAAAGAAAATAAATATAAATTACACAAAATTGTCCATCACTTTAGGTTTCCTTCAAGAATTTTTTTTTTTAAAACAAGGTTCAACCACACCCTCAAAAACATGAAAACTGTTGTAACATTTATCTCCATTCAACAACAATAAAAACACACAAATAGGCCAAGTCAAAGCTTCAGATAAGTCATGCGTCAAACTGAAAACACAGTCAAGTCTTAAGGCGGAATTCTACACCTAGGGGTCATAAAGCTAAAACACTAGGTTACTTTAGAGATGAACTTACTTGAACTAGTTCTCCCTTTCTATCTTTAAGAATATTCTGAAAGCTAAGATTGTGCCACTACTGTGACAGTGCAAAATAAGAAGGGTAAAGGGAGTGCTCACAAAAGATGTGATAATCTAGGTTAGATAAGAACACAAGGGCGGTCGGGGGGAAGGTAAGAGGAAAATACAGCAGAAAGCGCACAACTTGTATTTCAGTCTTTTGCTTGGCTTTTGTAAGGACTTACCACAACAGACCAAGAAGCATTGTCAAAACACAACTTCAGCTGAGCAGAAGCCCAGGGCTAGTTCCCCCAAAGGATGACCCTGCAACTGTTAGGTAATTCTATTCCTTTTAGATCAGGAGGAGTCAAAGCACATACCATTGTCTTAGCAGGTGACTTCAATCCAGAGAGGGGGACAGGCTAGCAGGAAAAAGGGTAAATAGTTACTGCCCAGATTGAAGACTCCAAAGTGGGCAGACAACAAATCGGTATGTTTGCAGAGTGTCGACAATTGCCCTTTAAAGACTCAAAGAAAGAAAAGCTAAAAAAAACAACAGCAGCAGAACTCTCTGGTAGTACATCCAGATGTAATGGAAAGACCAATTTCACTAGACCTTCCTCAAAGCTACGCGAAGCAGCTCAGCAAGGAAGGCAGTTTGAGCGAGTTACTTCCCCAGAGAGAGAAGGACAAACAGCCTCCTCCCCCATGTTGCTGCAGGTTTTTAAATCCCCTCCCTCCCTCTCCAGGAGAGAGCAGCCCTGGAGTTTGTATGCATTCTTGCGAGGTACAGGTGCTGACTCACTTGGCTACAGGTATGGCAATCGGCTTGCTCTTTCATCTGGGTGAGATGCAAATCCCATACTAGCTGGGGAGGAGCAGCTTACATTTTAGGGCATTCTCCAGAATTTTAGAAGTAATGAAGAAGTACGTATGAGCAGTAAAAGTAATATGTAGGGCACAAATGGTTAGACAAAATGCAAGTGCAGATAAGGTTCTCTCTGGTTACTTCTCCCCAGCCTCAAGGCTCAAAAAACTCCTAATTCTGTTATAAATAAATTTTTGATGCCACAAGGAAATAGCACTCAAACATAAATTTAATTTTCTCAGCAAGGCAATTTTTACTTCTATATAAGGGTGCAACTTATGAATGGAGTAATGGTGAGACCACACTTGGACAGGGGAGGGGCAGGAGTTCTTATTCCTGAAGCATGGCCCTACTGCTGTGTCGTTCCCCTATTGGCTAGGGTTGGACCGCACAGTCTAAGCTAATTCTGATTGGCTATTTTAAAGAGAGTAGGGGTATGAGCCACAGTGGTGGGGTGGGTAGTTTGGCAGGAAGGACGGTTAGGAACAGGTAACTAAAGGTGACTTAGGTCAGAGCAGGTGACCAGGGGTGACTCAGGTCCAACAGGTGACTGGGATGAGTCAGGATGAAGCAGGTGACCAGGGGAACAAATGTGAACTACTGATTAGGACTGGTGGGAATGCTGTTTACTGAAACTAGGAGCAAGGAGACGAAGAGAACCAGAAAGTTAAACTTTAAAATGGAGAATCAAAGAATAGGAGACCTGAACGTACTGACATACTGATTCTTTGAAGAGAAACTTGGGGTTCACTATATTTAACAATTCCTTTAATCCTTAATGAGGTTCTCCTCTGTGCTCTCTGCTGGTTACTGAGAAATCTGTCTACATTTCTTTAAGGGGATCTTTCTTAGGTTCATAAAGCATGCCTGTGGTATCACTGTATGCCATGCAAACTTGTAATAAACTATCATGCTTTCTTAATATTTCTGTTCTTTCTGTACTCAATTTGACAACCAAGCACCCACCTTAATGTCTCAATTTGGCAAATTTTAGTATTCTATCTTATTTTGTAAATTATTATTCATTATATCTATTGTATCACAGACACTCTTTGATCAAAGGAAAAAACTTAGAGTATTCGAAATATTTAACTATATCATTATCTCATACCTCTTAGAAATTATATTTTTCAAGCCAATTTTCCCCCCTTATCCATTGGATCACGGTAGTTTAAACTACTGATGCCTGGCTCCTATCCCCAGGCACTGTTTAATTAATATGGGATATCACCTGGGTATGGGGAGGGTTGTAAAGTCCCCAGGTGATTCTGATGTTCACCAATGTTTGAGAGCCACTGACTTAGGAGTTTTGATTGAACAATCAGTTGCACTAGTGATAGGCAGAAAAAAAAAGAAAAGATACCAAGTTCATTGCAAATTTAAGACTTCTGTTAAAATAATCTGCTACAATTAATTAACTCCAACTCTTTCATTAAATGAATTAAACGCTGGAGAGTAAAACATATGTACCAGATTGTAAAATAATTTTCCTTCTTCCTCATTTTCTGTAACAGGTAAACAAGGTTCTCAAAATCAGAACAAATGTCTGTCCAGGATCCTAAGATTGTCAAATACTTTGGGAGGGGGAATAATGCTCAGAAACTTTTCATTAAATGTATGGTTGGGTGCAGTGGCTCATGCCTGTAATCCCAGCACTTTGGGAGGCCGAGGCAGGTGGATCACCTGAGATCAGGAGTTTGAGACCAGCCTGGCCAACATGGTGAAACCCCATCTCTACTGAAAATACAAAAATTAGCCAGGCATGGTGGCTGGCGCCTGTAATCCCAGCTACTGGGATTACAGAGGCTGAGGCAGCAGAATCGCTTGAACCTGGGAGGTGGCGGCTGCCGTGAGAGGAGATCGCGCCACTGTACTCCAGCCTGGCGAGAGTGGGGGACTCTGTCTCAAAAAAAAGAACCGAGAAACTTTTCACTAAATTTACATATGGAACTGATGGCCACTAGGAATGTGACTAGAGTGAGCAGTTTTGTTTTGTTTTGCTTTTGTAGTCTTAGAAATGATCATTATCTATCAAGAAAGAATTTGGCCAGAGCTGATTTAGGCTGAGATCTCTCTATCTTGCCATCATTTCCCCTAAAAGGTGACACATGGCCTAAGGAGAGTCATAAAACAAGCACGCACACACACAAAGTCTGGCTCTGGAAGAAATAAAAGGAGGAGGTTGGGGCAGGGTAGTGTAGAGGTATTAGGGACAAAAGTATACAAAACACTCCCTTCCCCATAGCTCCCAAGTCTGATGGAGGGGTGGTAGTTCTTCGCTACTATTCTTCCAGCTTCCCCAGCTCTTCTCCAGTTGTAACTGATCATGCACCTCTTCGTTATCAACTGTCATTCTATTGACCACTCCACTCCTACCTCTTAGCATCTTATATCTTTAGATTGTTCCCTGGCTTCCTAGAAGTCCCAAAGACCTGGTCTGTCCCCAGCTTTCAGAAAAACTACCTCTAAAATTTTTGGGTTTTAAAGGCTTAATTGCCTCTGCCAGAGTAATCTGCATTTTAATAGCAGGTGCTCCATTGAACCAAAAGCCTTAACCTAAAGAAAGGACTACAGTAGAATTGCAGTATTACTGCTGGTAGGGATGTAAAATGGAATTAAAATTTTGGAGAACAATTTGGCAGTATCTGTTTAAGCTGCAAAACATACTAATCCTTTAACAGGGCACTTCTTTGATAGCTCCTCTAGGGAAATACCCAAATGCATGAAGAGGCATATACAGGGATATTCATCACAGGCAATGTTAATAGTAATGGAAAAATGGGAAATGATATAAATGTTAGTCATTACAGGAATGGTTAACACTCAAAATTATGTTATAATTTTGACAATAACATTATGTGGCAGTTAAAAACAACATGGCCACATGGAAAGATCCCCAGGATAAACTACAGAATGAAACAGAGTATGATAGTAGGAATGCCAAAAACAAAACTATATAAAACCACGAACACAAATAGAAAAGTTCTGAAACTACACACAGTCTATGGAGAGGTGGGATTGAGTGGTAGTCAGAAACATTTTAATCTTTTCTGTATTATATTTTTATACAGAAAAGGTATTTGTGTATTTTTCATATAATGTAAAATTCTGTTTTGAAATTGCAGACATTTGGAGTTGCCTAGAAATAGAAGTGAAAAGGAGACAGCTCATAAACAAGATCATATAACTCTGTTGAGTAATAACTGTATTTATAAAATTGTTTATATTTATCAGCCTTGCAGAGGAGAAATATGATTGCCAAGAAATATTGTATTAGGCTTTATAAATTCTGATTACATCAGAACTATTTAGATTTCCTGATGAAGTCCTTATTATGAGTTCTGAGCTATGTAACAAGTTCATTACTTTTGTCTGCAAAACATTTAGAGCTGGGATTGTACTCCTGGTAACATGCACTATACCTGATATATACTCATATATACCCGATATATACTCTAGGTTCACCAGTTCACCAGATGCCATATCTATTAAGCAAGAAATCCCACATAAAACAACAAACTCAGGCCAGGTGCAGTGGCTCACGCCTGTAATCCCAGCACTTTGGGAGGCCGAGGCGGGTGGATCACGAGGTCAGGAGTTTGAGACCAGCTTGGCCACATAGTGAAACCCTGTCTCTACTAAAAATACAAAAAAAATTAGCTGGGCGTGGTGGCGGGTGCCTGTAATCCCAGCTACTCGGGAGGCTGAGGCAGGAGCATTGCTTGAACCCGGGAGGCAGAGGTTGCAGTGAGCCGAGATCACGCCATTGTACTCCAGCCTGGGTGGCTGGGGCTTTGAAAAATGTTTCCAGTCTCTAAGTTATTGACGTCTCACCTGGTCTTTTGGAAAATTCCAGCATAACTAATATTCATTTTTGTGTGTTAAATCCCAGAAAGGACTCAAATCCTAGGCAAACAGTGTGGCTGCTATGGTTTGCTCTTCACTTGACTTTGTTGCAGGAGGCCCTGGCTGTCATACCAGGTTGCCACCCGTGCCCTGCCACTCCTATAACCAATGGGAACAACACAACAGGGTCTTTCTGGAAGGAATCCCAAGCACCTTGACTAAGAGTTGAACAAATCCTGCCATTCTGAGCTGAGCCTCTAGGCACAGAACCCTGAAAGCCACAGCTGTTTCTCGTCCCAGTTTCTTCATACAATGAAAATCACTGCCTTTTCTCTGACTATGCAGTGTTAAGTTCCAATTAAACACATATCAGGGTCTTTTGAAATTATAATAAGTATAAGATTTTACATGTTCTTGTATGAATGCTGTGATACAGGTACACTGGACTTTGGTGGATGCTATGAGCGACCACCTGACCCAAACACCTGGTGTCTGTTTAAATTAGAAGGTAGCTCATCAAATCAGCAGGCGGTTTTTGGACAAGAACACTGAATCTGAAGATAGAAGGGGGCTGAAGCAGATAAAAAGAGAACAAGGGATTTCCCCTCACCCATCAGGTCTCAGGCTCTGATTGGACCAGAAATAAAGGGTGGAATATGATTGCAGTTTGGGGGAAGAATTTGCACCTCCTTGGAGAACTTGGAGATAACCTGTCTCTTAAGAATAAAGGACAGGAATCAATCTTGGAGGGCTGTTTGGAAGATGGGTGATGAAGGACATCTGTCATGTGGCAGGCCCATGCAGCAGGCCCTAAAGTGCAGCTCATGGTAGTGCCACCAGTAGAAGTAGTAAAAGTGACGGGGAAATGTTTGGAATGTCCAGTCTAGGTGATGGTTCTACTTCTCCCTATATTTTTATGAACTGGCATTCTGGCTCATGTTTTCATGTGTGTTTGATTAGCTTGAGTTAGCAAGCCTCTCTTCAAATTTCAGCAATTTCACTACGAGACAGGTAAGGCTAGATATATATATTAAAGTAAGAATCCTGGTTGTCAGGCCAGTGGCCGACCTCCTTTCAACATCTGCCAGGTGTGAATCTTCAAACTCACTTGTTCAGAGTAGAAGTGCTGGAGGCATTGATTAACCTGTAAGGCAACTGGGCAAATTGACTACTCAGCTAGAAGGAATGCTAATATTTATTGTTAGAGTTAAGAATACTGAGACTCATTAAAGGAAATATGATTCAGTACATTATTTTTAGTTTTTACAAGCACAAAAGCCCTCTCCTGTATTAGGAAAACACAGAAAGTAGAAAGGAGGCAGTGTAGGGAGAAGGAGAGAAGAACCATACCGTTTGTATCATCCAAAGACAACCACCGGGGGAATTTTGTTCTGTTAAATTTTCTCTAGCTCTTCCCTTCTCATATAAAGCATAATAATTTGAGCATATTGCATGCAAAATTTTGTATCCTGCTTTTTCTATCGGATTCTTTTTTTAAAGCTATGCCGAGGGGGCTATCAATTAGCTTTTTAACAAAGCTATCTTTAAAAGGATACTCAAGTCTACCCCATATTCCATGTGCTCCTTTGAATAATAAGAGGAAAACTAATGAGTCCGCATTACATGTGCCTTTTATTTCTGATTTTTCAGATATGGCAGTTTGGCCAGAGGCTAAAGGAAACCCCTGCAAGGATGAGACCAGGGCTTTTCTATGGGAAACAAGAGACCACGTGATCATTTGTGCATGCTTGAGTTGCAGGACATCAAACATCATGAAATTAAAACGAAAATACAATAGCTAGATGCTACTGTCTTAACCCTTATGGTGTTTTCCTTTTTTAAAAATTTAACCAAACCTTCTATCGAATTAAGAATACAAACAGGCAATTCTGAGAGAGCCTTACTGATAGAAAATATGAGACACATCTGTGATTTCTGAATGACATGAGTAAGGATATCTCAGTTCTCGCCAAGGCATTTCTCATGGGGGCCAAACGTCAACTTGGAAACCAATAGTTGTCACACTTACAAAGCTATGCCATCTCCATAAGCTAGACTGAGACCAACCCCTCTGAGACAAGACAATTGACCCATAGATCAGTTGGCTGTAGCTGGGGTGACATGCTGGCAAAAGTAAAAAAATTCCACAATCAATTCAAGTGTTTGCCTGAGGCCAGGGACGGGAGCAGGCAAGGAAGCAGAGAGAGGTTTTGGGGGTGGTGGAAGTGTTCTAAAAGCAAATCATGGATGATGGTAGCACAAATGTATAAATTTACTAAAACTCAAACTGTCCACTTAAGATGAGTAAATTTTATGGTATGTGAATTGTACATCAATAAAGCTGTTTAAAAAAAATCACTACCAATTTCTAGAAAAAGTCATCATTCCTTCTGCAAGAGGAAGTGCCAAGAAATCAGGACTTGGAAAAGCTGAATCAGTAAGCAACCAGCTGAGAGTTGCTTTCGTGATTTGATCCTGTCTCCCAGCGAGGCTTCATAAGATGTAACACCTGCCCTCACTGCACTTTCTGAGTCATTTCTTCATGCCCGATTTGGGTTCTTCCTTTCTTTTTCCCCTAACAATGCCATCCTGTTTATGCTCCCCCACATCGTGGTCAAAAGCAGATGTATAATTGACTTGTCTGAAAGAGGCATGTGGGCCAGATGTAAATAGCCTGCTATGCAAAATAATTATTTAAGATGAAAACTAAAGATACACGTCTGCTTATTATATGGTTACAAGGTACCTATTACAGAGCAGTTGACTAATCTTTTTTAAAAAGTAAATATATTTATGTCATTGGCCTTTAAAAAATATGGCTGCTTTAAAGTAAATCAAAGCAGGCCCGGCACGGTGGCTCACGCCTGTAATCCCAGCACTTTGGGAGGCTGAGGCGGGCGGATCATGAGGTCAGGAGATCGAGACCATCCTGGCTAACATGGTGAAACCCCCGCCTCTACTAAAAATACAAAAAATTAGCCAGGCGTGGTGGTGGGTGCCTGTAGTCCCAGCTACTCGGGAGGCTGAGGCAGGAGAATGGCGTGAATCCGGGAGGTGGGGGTTGCAGTGAGCCGAGATCGTGCCACTGCACTCCAGCCTGGGCGACAGAGCGAGACTCCATCTCAAAAATAAAATAAAATAAAAATAAATAAATTAAGAAATCAAAGTAATGCTAATATTTGCTTCTCAGTTGTCAACATTGTTTGCTAACCCAGTGATGAATGCATGTGTGATACACTGCTTGACTAAGACAACTGACGTGAACGGATGAAAAAAAAGTGTAGAACAACTCAACAGAGCCTCACTCCTCAGCAAGGGGATGGAAGAACCAGGGCCAGATGTTCTAACTGGCCTTTTGGGCAAGTCCTAAACTCAGTGAACCTCACACTGTATCTGTAGAGTAAAGGAAGTAATTCCTCCCCATTTTAACAGGCAAGCATTGTAAGGTTCAATTGAAATCAAAGCTTCATCCAATCTAACAATCAGGAGACTACTTGGACATGTAGACTGACTTTCCACCATCTCTGTAGATGGCTGGATTTCTGCTTTAAAACACAGAGAAAACGACGAAGTGCTTTACAAAAGGCAAAGTGCTTGAGAAACCACAGATTATTATAATGAATACTTAGTTTTAACTCACTTGAAAAAAAGAAACTTAATTTTCAGAATCTCTGGAAAGTGATATGATAATTTTCTTTCCGTGTTTTCTAAGACTCCATCAATCAATATAATTATTAAGTATATATTATATGCTCAGCGCTGGCAGGATGCTATGTGTTGTCCAAGATCCAAAGACAACCTAAGACTGAGCTCTGCTTTTAAAAATTTTAACAATTTAATTGAAGATAACATGAGTATACATAAAGCGGATTGGAGACAATTTTTCATGTAAGAAATAACAGCGTAAAATTTGAAGTGGTACCTATTTCTGGGTTTTTTTGTTTTTTTGAGACAGAGTCTTGCTCTGTTGCCTAGGCTGGAGGGATGGATTGCAATGACTCAGTCATAGCTCACTGCAGCCTCAATCTCCTGGGCTCAAGCGATCCTCCTGCCTCAGCCTCCCGAGTAGCTGGGACTACTGGCATGTGCCTCCACACCCAGCTAATCCTTCTGATTTTTAGTAAAGACGAGATGTTGCTATGCTGGCCAGGCTGGTCTTAAACTCCTGGGCTCAAGCAATCCTCCTGCCTCGGCCTCCCAAAGTGCTGGAATTACAGGTGTGAGCCACCATGTCCGGCCAAAGTGGTACCTATTTCTTAATCTTCCAAGGAAAGCAACACAGCAGAGACAATAAGAACGTGGAATCCAGAGTCAGACAAATCTGCACTCAGTTTGGGTTCTACAGCTACAGCTGTTTGAACTTTTGCACATTATTTAACTTCCCTGAATCCCAGTTTTCTCATTTATATAAAAGGATTAACATTTCAGAGGATTTTTGTAAGGTGCAAATGAGATAATATACATAAGACCTGGTATGTAGTAGGTGTTTAATAAGCCTAGCTGTTAATAATAATTTAAATAATAAGGAATTTTCTCAAAAGAGAGGGAGATACATAAGACAGGAATAGCCAGGCAAGTTTAGGTAATGCTAAGGAAGCTAGAAACTAGCATCTTTTTGAAGATAGCAATTTTTAGGTAATTGAAAAGCATGGATTCATAAGGACTATAAATATGAGTACCTGGGATGTGCAGTTCAAAAGTCAATTTTACAAAAAAGATTTTGATTTTGAAATAATTTGAAGCTTACAGAAAAGTTGCAGGAAAAGTACAGAAAGTTCTCATCTACCCTTCACCCAGATTCATTCGTCGACATCTGCCACATTTTACTTTGTCATTCCTCCTCCAAATACACACACACACACACATTATTTTTTCCCAAATCCTATGAGACTAATTTGCACATATGTATTTATATACATTTCCTCCCCCACACTGAGTAATTTGCAGATGTGATGCAAATTTACTCTTAAATACTTCAATGTGTATTTCCTAAAATCACGGACATTTGCAGACATTTGCTGACATTCACTGACTATCGTAGTCTAATTATCAGTATCAGGAAATGTAACATCAATACAATACTATTATCTAAGGTACAGACCTTATTCCAATTTCACCAATTGTCCCAATAATGTTCCATGTATTGTCCCTCCTCCCCACATTCCAGGAGCCAAACCAGGATCAGATGCTCCCTGTTTTGTCATGAGTCTGTCCTTTAATCTGGGACAGTTTCTTGGCAATTCTTTGGCTTTGACATTGACATTTTAATGGAATTCAGGCCACTTGTTTTGTACACTGGCCCTTACTTTGGGTTTGTTTGCTGTTTTCTTGTGATAAAGAGTCAGACTATGCATTTTTAGCAGTGATACCACGTAAGTGACATTGTCCTTCTCAAGGCATTGCATCAGAGGCTCAAGGAGTTGCTTGGTGCCATTACCGGTGATGTTAACTTTGATCAGTTGGTTAAAGTGTTGTTGGCCAGTTTCTCCTACGGAAAGTTACTATCTTTGCCTTTCTAGTTGATACATAGTTGGTAAGGAGGTACCTTGAGGCTATGCAAATATCTTGCTTCTTTAACCCAGGAGTTTTAGCATCCATTGATGTCTCCTGCCCAAATCAATTATTCCTATAATGATGGCAAAATGGTACTCTTTAAACTCTATCATTCCTTCTACTGTAAAGAAAGAGCTTTTCTAATCCTTTCATTCATTCATTTCTTTCTTTATTGTCACTGTATGGACTCACGGATTCTTGTTTTACTCAATGGGTTATAATCCACTACTATAATTTGATGCAAAAGCCAACTGTTGTCTACAAGCATTTTCTGAGCAGCACAGCCAGAGGGCTCTCACATTGCGAACCTCAAAACTTTGAATTACTGATGGGGTACTAACATCTTCAGGGCCTTGCTTGTATTTTAGTTATTTTCCCAAATGTCTTATCTCTTTAACCAAGCTACACCCACCGTGAGAGGGGGTACCAGCTGTCTTTTGAAACTTCTCTGATGCTCGGTACAGGGTAAGATACCAAAATCATTGGCTCTGCAGCCAGGGTGATCCAGGCTTCACCCAAGTCACCTGCTCTCTCTAAGCCCTAATTTTTTTTATGAATAAAATGATGATCATACCTAAGTCACCAAGGGTGTTTTGAAGAGAAAATGAGATAACATATGTAAAAGACTTCATGTGGAAAAATGGTCTTTCCTACTAATTAGGACTTGCAATTTGAGAGATATCTGACTTTTATCAAATGGAATGTGCTAATAATAAACCTATACACATTTTACAGGTGAAGAAACACATAGAGATGAAGTAATTTGACATTACTGCTCTCCCTTTTCCCTCTCTTTTATTCCTCTTCAAAGCAATGACAGCAGAGTACGTTGAAGCTATTTTAAGGGTCTGGCTGAGTCATTTGAAGAGTAAAGAAGAAATGTTAATAGCATTTCTATTCATTGGGACAGTCAATTGTAGGAACTTCTAGATAATTGACACCATTTTAGCCCTGGGGAAAAATGAAAACTATTTCTTCTCCTTTTCTGGTGGATTAAATAAATGCAGGGAGTAGCAGCTGGCCTCACGATAATTAGAAGAGAAATGATTCAGGGCATAAAACTCGCCTAAGTCTAATGAGGGATTGGGTTGATTTTGACTAATGTTGTCATAACTCATTTTAAAATGCACAGTCTAGAACACTTGTAGACCCTCATTTGGTGTACACTACATGGCAAACCAGGACCAACTGTTTCCTTATTAGAAGGAAAAAGCATTTTGCACTTAAATGAAGCCTGAGCCTGTTTGTAATAATAAGTACATTTACCTATTTTAAAAAAACCCAGCAAAACCCATGTATATCAAAAAAGGAACATCTCTTGGGACTATGATCTTCAGAGACAGCTTGGCTGATCCAGCTGAGAGAAAAATACACCGACCAGGGATCCTCAATTTTTGATCACCAGGTTAAAAAAACATTGCCATATAGAAGAAAATGGCCCCATTCCTGGTATTATCAGCTCCTTCAGGCATATTTGCATGCAGCCTGTTTTCCCTAGAGCTTGGCAACTCATTTCTAGCTATTAGTGATTATTGCTTCTTTACTTCAGAACAGCATCAAAATGATACTGACATCCTCACTTCTACTGGTATTTGACTTTACTGAAATTACCATTTTTATAAGCTAATATTTTTTATTGTTCTCATTACAACCAAGCTACATCTTTGGAAATCCTAAACAGAAAAAGCCACTAGGTTCTAGGAGAATGTACCCAACAGTGTGCTGGGAAGTATAATTACACACCATGTGCTTGTTTCCTTTGCCCAACATGTGCAATTAATGCTGGTGTTTATTAATGGGCATGAGGGTCCAGTAGGAAATTGAATTGAGCCTTATAAATAAAGCTACATGCTGTATTTCATCTCAGAGAAAGGATAAGAAATAATCTTAAATGAAAGCTTTTCAGATATGGCCTACATAATCACACTAATAGATTTTTCATATGGCCAATTAATTTCTTTCTGTCCATCCTAACAAGTAAATTGAATTGATGGAGAATTGACTGGCAATTATGTGATGGTAAAAATAGCTGACAACATTACTCAAATATGGTAATGTTCTATGATCACGGCCTTTGTTTGAGCTAGGTTAGAGTTAAACCCTTGCAACATGAAGGTAAAGCAACGGACTTAAAACTAATTCAGCCCTTTCAAACTCCAGTTACATTCGTCATTTTATTCCTGTTGTTATGACAACACTTTAAAAAGCAGCACTTTAAATGCTTAACATTTAGGCATCTTATTATAGACTGGAAAATAATACATGAGGTATAAAGTGCTGCTCCTAGGGGCTTAAAAGGGAGCCTGGGGATCATCAAGAGATGCAGTTGGAACACCTGGACTGCTTTCTCTGCTGTGGCCTCTAGAGCTCAGTAACTTTGCTTTTTTCTACCCTCAAGGCAGTGAGAGCTCATCCAAGGGAGGGAAGGTTAAAGAATTTATGTGGGAAGATACAAATTATTATTCACAGCCTCTATTCTGTGGTTGCATTTTTGAATAAGAAATTCACCCGCGACCTGAAGTATTTTATTTTCTTGATTATAGCCTGTGTCATGCAGTTTTTAAAAGGCTATAAGTGACGATGTGTTCTGATTGATTTTAGTTGCTTATTGTTAGCTATTGGAATGACCTGTTTATGTGAATATAACTTTATAAAGGAAATTCATAACACATAACTATTATGAAAATTAATTATTGATAAAGAGATAATGTGTTGGAGTGAACCTCTTACATGGATCTGTGACCTATTGTGTTTGTACTATCATCTGATAAAAGCACAGAAATGCTTGTTAAATTTAAAATATATATATTTTAAAGCAACTATGTTGCTTTAAAACAACGTATGTCCCTATACATAGGGAGATGTTTTTATTAAGGAAACAAGCTAGCTGAATGTTGGCATTTTCCAGTTATTATGTATTAGTAGATTGAAAATTATCTGTCATGTTTAATTCTCTCTGCCTTGAAATAAATTTCTCTGATAATTTTACCTTGGTAGAAAAGAAATAATTGCATCAAAAAGATACCTGCACCTGTATGTTCATTTTTTTATTTTATTTTATTTTATTTTTTTGAGACAGAGTTTCACTCTGTTGCCCAAGCTGGAGTGCAATGGTGTGATCTTGGCTCACTGCAACCTCTGCCTCCCGGGTTCAAGCGATTCTCCTGCCTCAACCTCCCGAGTAGCTGGGGGATTACAGGTATGCGCCACCACGCCTGGCTAATTTTTTGTATTTTTAGTAGAGACAGGGTTTCACCATGTTAGACAGGCTGGTCTCGAACTCCTGATCTCAGGAGATCCACCCGCCTCAGCCTCCCAAAGTACTGGGATTATGGGCGTGAGCCACTGTGCCCGGCCTGCACCTGTATGTTTAATGTAGCACTATTCACAATAGCAAAACTATGAGATCAACCTAAGTTTCCATCAGGGGTTGATTTGATAAAGAAAATGTGGTATATATACACAATACAATACTATTCAACCATAAAAAATAAAATCATGTCTTTTGCAGCAACATGGGTGGAACTGGAGGCCATTATCTTAAGTGAAACAACTCAGACACAGAAAGACAAATACTGCATGTTCTCACTCAGGAGTGGAAACTAAATAATGTGTACAAATGGACATAGAGTATGGAATGATAGACCATGGAGACTTGGGACAGTGGGGAGAGGGGAGGGGAGTGGATAACAAATTACTTCATGGATACCATGTATGTTATTTGGGTGATGTATATTCTAAAAGCCTGGACTTCACCACTATGCAAACTATGCATGTAACAAAATTACACTTGGACCTTTGTACCCAATAGATTTTTTTCTTTTTTTTTTTTTAAGAGACAAGGTCTTACTGTGTTGCCCAGGCTGGAGTATAGTGGTGCAATCATGGCTCACTAAAGCCTGGAACTCCTGGGCACAAGTGATTCTCTCCCCTTAGCCTCCTGAGTAGCTAGGACTACAGGCACATGCCACCACTCCCAGCGAATTTTTAAAATTGTTTGTAGAAATAGGGTCTTGCTATTTTGCCAGGCTGGTCTCAAACTCCTGGGCTCAAGAGACCCTACTGCCCCAGCCTAGGATTACTGGGGTGGGCCACTGCACCTGGCTCCCATAAATTTATACAAAAAAAAAATTACCTTGGTCTTTCTAAATCTGTGCTGTTTTGTATAAAGTCATGTGAATTATTACTGAACAAAGTATAGCTGATGAAAAAAAGTAGAGGAAGAAAACTATAACAAACTGACTCCCTGCAGAACAACCCAGTGTCAAAGAGTTATTCCAGGATCTTAACAAAGTAAGGCAGTGCTGTGTACGTGTGTGCCGTCATATGCCAGCAGTTGCAAAGTTGAGTGGCTTCCCAGAGGCCTGTACACATGTCCTCTGCATGGTAATTTTAGCAAATTAAACTGCCATAAAAGGAATAGTGGTTTCATTGCTGGTTCTAACTGCTGCATACCAAAAGGTAGCCACATGTATAACATCTGCTGAGTTATTTTTGGTTGCTAAAGACAAATAATTTGTCATTAGAATGCAAAGCAGTTAGGTATAGCTACGTGCAAATATCTAGATTATTAACAAAACAGAATTATGTTCCTCTTTATTGTATATCAAGAGTGTTTAATAATTTCTTACTGTTCTTTGTCTAAAGGATTTGAAGCTGTAATGACAGTAACGAGATAAAAAAAAAAGGCCACCTAATTCTTATCTTTAAGTACAATATAGCATAAAGAAAGAACAAATGCTTATGTATCCGAGACTGGATCCATCAACGTATGGCAAATTCCCAACACCAAAGACAAAAGAATACATTAGAGGCATATTTGTACATGTGTGAAATGCTGTATTACTTGTATTCTGAGCCCAAAAGGCACTATCCCATTGGTTCCCCTCTCAGAGGCCCACGTAACTCCTGTAATCACACCAAGCTCTCACTTAGGTTAGTAAGTTAGCTTCCACAATCCTCTTGCCAATTTATGGTCCTTAGCCAATTTACCTAGAGTGGAGTTACATCCATTCTTATTTATTTTATTTTATTTTTTTGAGACAGGGTTTTGCTTTGTTGTCCAGGCTGAAGTGCAGTGATGTGATCTCAGCTCACTGCAACATCCACCTCCCAGGTTCAAGTGATTCTCGTGCCTCAGCCTCTCAAATAGCTGGGACTATAGGTGCGTGCCGCCACCCCCAGCTAATTTTTGTATTTTTAGTAGAGACAGGGTTTCACTATGTTGGCCAGGCTGGTCTTGAACTCCTGACCTCAAGTGATCCACCTGCCTCAGCCTCACAAAGTGCTGGGATTACAGGCGTAAGCCACATCCATTCTTACAGAGCAAGAAAATGAGGGTTGGAGACTTTTCCCAAGACTCCCGTCTCCCCTAATGCACCCTCCATCACCTCACACTCACCAGTTTTAAATCTTGTTTGTACCCGATAGATTTTTTTCTTTTTTTTAAGAGACAAGGTCTTACTGTGTTGCCCAGGCTGGATAGTATAATGGCGCAATCATAGCTCACTAAAGCCTGGAACTCCTGGGCTCAAGTGATTCTCTCCCCTTAGCCTTGTTTCTCCTGCATCATTCCGTATGCTCACACCCAGGACGTACTCTATCCTCTGGGTCACACAAGAACTGTTTGAAGGCCACTTTTTATTTTCTGGGACTCAAATCTCACTCTATTGCCTGGCTTCTTTTGGCCCTTGCCTTTTCCATTTTTTTTCTAGTTCACTGGGGAGAAAGTAGTTTTCATTCATTTTCTTGTGTCCTCATCTCATCAGCCTGGGTGAAGTTATAAACAGTGGAGTAAGAGGTGCTGAATCTTTGGACAGCCTGGGAGAAATAAAGCAGGCAACAGATCTTCTCTGGAAAGATTTTCACAGGGCCTCAGACTTCTTACTGATTAATGAATTTATTCGTGGGAAAAAATGGTGGGAGAAGGACAAGAAGAGACGCAGGAGACATAGCAAGAGAGGCAATGTGTGGATTCTGTTTGGACTATAATGGCAAACCAACTGAAAAGTCATTTTAAGATACTTGGGATGTTTTAATATGTACTAGATATTAGATGATAATTTGCTAATTTTGTCAGGTGTAAAATGGCCCTAGAGTTATGCAAGGAAATGTCCATACTTAGTTTGAGGCTACAGTGAGTTATGATCTTGCCACTGACTCCAGCGTGGGCAACAGAGTGAGACCCTGTCTCTAAAAAAACCAAAACAAAACAAAAGTGTGCATACTCTTGAGATGCAGTGGAAGCAGGTACAAGTGAAATCCAGAGGTCTGAATTTGCTTTAAGATACTTCAACAGCAACAATCACCAAAGGGATCGATCAAGCATGGAATAATCTTGCCAATTTTTGTAACTGGGTGATGGATATTCAGGAATTTGTTACCTCATTTACTCTATTCCTGTGTATGTTTGAAAAGTTTATTTACTGGGTGTCTACCAGCCCACTGCTGATACAAAAAGACAATCCCAAATAGCTTAAGGGTATCAGGACACTCGTCTAGCATAAAGTAGGTGAGGGCAGTCTCAGAGACAGTAATTCTTAACCTTTACCCCCTTTATGGAGCACTTTAGGACACAGTGAATGTAAGAATGGGGGACATAGACTGTAGGCAATATATGAAAACCCTTGTCCTCCTCAGGTCTCTGTGCAGATAAAGATGAGGCCATGAGAAGGGGAATGTGTCTATTTTCTCTAGAAGATGATTTGGTTTGGCCTTTTAGCCTGGTGCATTTACCCTATCCCACTTCAAAGCAAACAAGAAGGTTATAATCTGACCACACTGGTGCTCAAATTAACTGGCTTCAATAAATTCCAGATCTACCTAATTTTCCACTCCACTCAGGCCAACATCTGTGTAAATACAGAAGCCCCAACCAAACTGGGGAGCATCCTTCTTGGATATGACCCAGATCAACAGGGGAAGAGAATCGTGTTGTCAGGGAACCTTAGATTTTGCCTCTATCATCTGGTTTATAGGGAGAAGCTTGTGGGAATATTCTGGGACTTTCACCATAAACAAGAGAACAGAGAGGTCCTAGGCTGTCAGGATCCAAAGAAACAAATGCGCAATTTGAGCCAACTGGAAGCATTGAACTGGATCACATCAGCCACGCAAAAATGAAAAGATTAAATGATCTCCATGTAGGGAAGTTAGGTGTTCGAACCAACTGCCAGAGGACTTCTCCACCATAGCGAGCTACCAAAGAATTTAGTAGTCCAGGTGCTATGAGGAGCAGGTGACCCATTAGAGGTCAAAGTCAACAGAAAGAAAGGTTCATCTCCTGGTGGCTACACAGCTGTTTGTATCTCAAATATTACTTGGAACTTCAAAGAAACACCTTGATTGACGAAGGTGATTCAGGACAATATTTCATGTTTGCAGACTGCACTTTTCCAAATGCTTTGGCACCTACTCTACATGCTAACAGCAACCTGTGAGTTAGGTAGGACAGTGATTATTATTCCTGTTTTACAGGAATAAGAAGAGGTTGTATAGAAGGGAAATTCATCTGTATTCTGAGACTGACCTGTAGGCAACTGTTCCAACAAGATTGTTAGCAGAACTGGAACTGGAATGAGGGTTTCTACCACCCAGATGGGGTCTTGTTACTACTTATCTCCATTCTCCTTTAGCTAAGAGTGCAGAATTCCCTTACTATTAACAATTTCCTTTTCCGTTTCTTAATTTTCTGTCAACCGGGAGGGGAGGATCATCAGTTCTCAGAATGCCTTGTGGCCCCACAAACATCATCAATCAGTACAAATCCAATTCAGTGCTCACATGGTTTAAGAACAGTAACTGGTGTCTCACTACGACCTCCTGTTCCCCGTCCCCAGGCGTTTTACTTTCATATCCCATAACCATTCCCAACCACTAGGCGCTCATTGAGGGTCAACAACACAGTATAACAATAATAACAGCATTTCAGTTTCAACAAGAATAAATGGATAAATGGGTCATCTTTGCTATTCAGAGAGTAACATCCCACACCTATACTCTTAGGGTTAAATCCACAGTCATGTCGACTGTTAGAGATGGATTTAATGGGTTTATTTGAAGACATCTGCTACATTAAAATATTTACCCTTGTCCCAACCTCTGCATCCTCCTATTGATATAACTATCAATAACTTCTAGAAAGAGCCTAATATAATGCACTAATTTAGAGGTTCTCAAACCAGGCCGTATCTTAGAATTACCTGGGCAGTTTTTTTGTTTTGTTTTGTTTTTTGAGACAGAGTCTCACTCTGTCGCCTAGGCTGGTGTGCAGTGGCACCATCTCGGGTCACTGCAACCTCCGCCTTCCAGGTTCAAGCTATTCTCCTGCCTCAGCCTCCCAAGCAGCTGGGATTACAGGCACACCCCACCATGCCCGGCTAATTTTTTTATTTAGTAGAGATGGGGTTTCACTATGTTGGTCAGGCTGGTCTCGAACTCCTGACCTCATGATCCGCCCGCCTTGGCCTCCCAAAGTGCTGGGATTATTGGCGTGAGCCACCGCACCCGGCACCTGGGGAGCTTTTTAAAAATGTCATTGCCCAAGCCTCATTCCCAGAGATTCTGACTTAGTCTGGGGTGGGGCCTGGGCATACGTACTTTAAAAAAAAAAAAAATCTTCTAGGGTTTAATTTTTCTCCATACACACAGCATGCAGTGATCATGTCACATTTGCCTCCCATCCTTTTAACATGTAAAGAAAAAAAAGGAGTCATTCATGTTCTTTAGTCGCTTGGCTTCAACTTCACTGCACAAAATATTTGAAAAAGGCATTACAAATATTTACCAGAAAAACAGGATAAAATTGTGTCACTCGTTCAGTTGCATACAAGGAATGGTTCTGGGAATCTTAGGATTTAAAAGAACTTCTTCGGCCGGGCGCTGTGGCTCACGCTTGTAATCCCAGCACTTTGGGAGGCCAAGGCAGGTGGATCACGAGGTCAGGAGATCAAGACCATCCTGGCCAACACGGTGAAACCCTGTCTCTACTAAAAAATACAAAACATTAGCTGGGCGTGGTGGCGGGCACCTGTAGTCCCAGCTACTAGGGAGGCTGAGGCGGAAGAATGGCGTGAACCCGGGAGGCGGAGCTTGTAGTGAGCCGAGATCGCACCACTGCACTCCAGCCTGGGGAACAGAGCGAGACTCCGTCTCAAAAATAAATAAATAAATAAATAATAAAAAAATAAAAAAGAACTTCTTCATTGCACTGTTGTGAAGACTTAAAAGGAGCCCCGTGTCAGGATTGGAACTTGTTGTCATCTGTTCCTGTGTTTTCCAATAGTTTCACTAACAAAACAAATGCCTTCTACTTCAGCAGTGCTGAGACCAAAGAATCCAGCCTGCCTGGGTTTGCGGCATGGCAGCACCACTTTATACTGTGTGGCTTTCACGGGTTGCTTAAGTTTTCCAGAACTAATTGTATAATAGGGATAATAAAAGAACCAAACTCATAGGTCGCTATGAAAATTATATAGGTCAATTAATGGAAAGTGCTTAAACAGCGAAAGGGTTCATTGCTGTTCTTGTTACAGCGATGAGGATATATTATCAAGTCAATTCCAGTTTACTAAAGTCTAGATTGAGAATTCCTGTACATCTCCTAGAGGAAAAAAAACTTCAAAGGAGGTTGATTTCATGAATTTTATCATGTACCTGGGCTGTCATTTTTAACTACTGTGCATTCTCAACTCTCTTGAAAGTTGAATTAATAAGATGAGATTCAGTTATAGAGACTACATAATATCAGGAGGTCAAAAATAGTTGGCTCTTCCTATTAAAAAATAGGCTGGGCACGGTGGCTCACGCCTGTAATCCCAGCACTTTGGGAGGCCAAGGTAGGTGAATCACGAGGTCAGGAGATCAAGACCATCCTGGCAAACATGGTGAAACCCCATCTCTACTAAAAACACAAAAATTAGCTGGGTGTGGTGGCACGTGCCTGTAATCCCAGCTACTCGGGAGGCTGAGGCACAAGAATCACTTGAACCCGGGAGGCAGAGGTTGCAGTGAGCTGAGATTGTACCACTGCACTCTAGCCTGGTGACAGAGCAAGACTCCATCTCAAAATAAATAGATAAATAAATAAATAAAGTTGGTATTAAATGTGGCACAGGATCCCAGGGTATTTTACCACCAGAAGGAATGATTTTTAAGAGCAATTTTCTATGATATGATTGTGAGCTTTTCAGTGAAACCCTCCAGACAATCAGCCGCTCTGAACATTTTCTTTTTGAAGAACGCCATTCACACTGTATATTTCTCAAACCTCATCCCAATACATTGGAAGTGAAAACACAGGGAGCAATGAATGTGGGTGTTGAGTCTAATCAAATGGGATGAGCAGAGTTCAGAATGTGAACTAGGCAATGTCTTTCACAAATGACAGGCATTCACTTAAGAGTGTATTTCGATTCCTAGGAGGGCCAGAATTTTTTTCTGTACCAAAAATACATCATTTGGCAGGATGAGTTTATTGTTTGAGTCAGCAGTGCGGGTGTTCCAGCCCCAGGAGCAGATGCCCTCCAACTGTTCAGACTGGGGTATTCAGGGTGAAGAGAGAAGGGGGCCACAGCGTGGACAGGTGGCTGCACACAGCCAGTCATAGCACCCCTCCCCCTCCGCCATCCTCCAGATTTGGATTCCGGATTACACTGTGTGCCACAATTAATATTCGCAGCAGGAAATGGCAAGTATCAAATTTACCAGTTATGTTTCTGTTAGCACTTCCAGAGTCAAGGAAAATTGTTTAATAAGGGCATTTGTCTTAGTAAATGAAAGTTCGTCTAAACTTTACATGTGTATGTATTACATATTTCCTGAGAGTTGGCTCCGAGGCAATTTCATGCCATCATACCTCTCATTACCAGAGGGCCTTAAGTTACAGAGAATCTTAAAGATGGTCACAGTTAGTGTTTTTATTTTTATTTACTTGTTTATTTATTTTTTGAGATGATGTCTGGTTCTATTGCCCAGGCTGGAGTGCAGCAGCGGGATCTCGGCTCACTGCAACCTCCACCTCCAAGGCTCAAGGGATTCACAGCCTCCCAAGTAGCTGGGACTACAGGCACGCACCACCATGCCTGGCTGAGGCAGGAGAATTGCTTGAACCCGGGAGGCGGAGGTTGCAGAGAGCAGAGATTGAGCCATTGCACTCCAGCCTGGGTGACAGAGCCAGACCCTGAAGAAAGAAAGAAAGAAGGAAGGAAGGAAGGAAGGAAAGAAGGAAGGAAGGAAGGAAGCAAGGAAGGAAGGAAACATCAAGCCAAAGTGTAATGCTAGGCACAAAATATGCACTCAGTTAAATGACACCTATTATCCTATTATTATCATCATCATCACTAAGGTCAAAGGTAAAAAGACAAATGGCCTTACCTAAACAAAGCTTTGTGTTTTTATACTTTGCTGTGTTTTCCTACTTAAGTTGGTCTTACTAGAACCTATAATCTGAAGCGATAAGTTCTGGCACAGTAATATGATTATTATGAAGTTGTAACTCCATTGTCTAAGCTGGGGTCCTCTGTGAGGGGGTGTGGGGCAAGGAGGTAAGTCATCTTCAACTCACCCTGCTAATATTTTCTGCAGACAAAATCTGATTATGGCAAGTAAAGTTGCCTTAGATAAGTTGTATCACTTTTTCTCAAAAAAGGGCAATTGAGAGCCAAATAGAGATCTTCCTTTTTCTCTTTGTGAAATTTCCTTTGGTTGTCCTTTTTTGGATCTTTAGAGAGCTTGATGGAGGGATAAGAAAATAAGAATGAAGATCAATATGCAAGGTGTTGCCTCTTGAACTTCACTGCAATGAACTAGCTCAATTTAACCTCCCGTGTATACGTTCCCATATAAGACATTACTTTTACAATTCATCACTAAGGGAATGTGTCCTTTAAGGAACTGCTGTATTTTGTATGCCCATCTTTCTGCTAGCAGGAACTTAGGTGATAACTTCCTTTGTTCCCCTTTCTGCCTGGTTACAAGGAAGCTCAGAGTAAAATTTACTGCTCCGTCATAACAAAAACATATTTACTTTCTCTGGCTCCTCCTTTTGATACTGGTATTCTCCTTTCAAAATTGTTCATTATTGTAACCTGTCTCAACTCAACATCAGGGAGTAGTTTTTTTTTTTTTTTTTTTCAGTAAACTTGAACCACCTCTTAGCCTTCTCTCAATTACTAGGTGTGAGTTCAAAGAGGCCTTAGCAGCTATCTATTGCTTGACAAAAGTCACAAGGAAATTTCCACTGATGTCCATTCATTGCCCCATAATTTGTTCCAGCTGTTTGTTTCAGTTTTTGGAAGCCACTGGATCATGAAGGTTCAGGGACAATGTGGGAACAAGTAGTGTGATCATTACCGTAAATCTCCCACAAATCTTGATATAGGAAATAATTATCATTCTCATTGAATTATCCTCATAAAGGAAACTATACTCAGGCTAACATGGGGCCCATGAAGATAGCTTCTTTTGCACTGATTTGAAAAATGGGCACTTCTGGAAGAGATAACATATGAGTTAAGTCAGTGAATCACAGCTATTGTTCTGGAAATTATATTCAAATCTAGTCAGTCCAAATCTGAGAACTCTATTTGTGATGCAAATAAAAAAAATACTTCTACTTAGCAAACCAATGCAATTTTGCATATCATTCAGATTGGTTACCACTTTAAATCTTTTCTGATAGAGAGATAGAAGGGTAAACCATGCGTGAATTAACCACATCTGACGCTATTCATTTTCCTTCAACTGCAGGTAATTATCCTGCATAATTCTCCTATGCATAAATTAAAACTGCATGAATTAACAATGAGCTTGTTTTCCTACATTCAGTAATTAAGACAAAATTGATCAAGGGATACTTTACATGTGGGCACGGATCAGACAAAAGTCCTCACAAAAGAAAAGGAATGATTCCTTTTTTCTCTCAAGTTTGTTTTTTCTCCATTTTCCTCCCCTTTTGTGGGGTTGTTCAGATCTCTGAGGCGTCAATCGTTTGCAAGAGGAAGGAGAAGGCACGCCACTGATATGGCGTTATTTATCAGCATGCATTGCTTACTTGGAGAAAAAGTGCCCATTTCATTTCCTGATGATAGGGCATCTTTGCAGACACACAGCTTACCCAGCTGGAATAATGAACCTTTCAGATGGAGGATGTGAAAAATCTTCTTCTTGATTATAATAGAAGCCTGAAGAGTCTCATCAACGCCTTGGTATCAACTGAGAACCTCAGCCTACGTGGACAGTCTCTGTTTCGAGTTGCTAAGCCAAAAGATCTGGCAGCCACAACTCAGCTAAGTTATGTGGGAGAACTCGGGCTTTTTGAACATGCTACAAACTGGCAGTTGCTGTGGGAACTGTGGCTCTGAATTTGGAGTCTGTGTATTTACATCCACAGCCGCAGCACAGCCCAGACTCTGATGCCAGACGGCCTAGGTTTAAAACCAAGCTCTGCCTCTTAGTAATTTTTCAGAGCCTCCATTCTCTCATCTATAAAATGGAGTAATTACCTCAGGGTGTTGTGAGCACTCAATGAATTAGTACATGTGCCTGGCACATTAGAAATGCTATTTAGTGATAGCTATTACTTTTATAATAATATAAAACATGTTTATTTAGATTGGATGTTTCATTGTATGAGAAGCTTGGCCAGGCGTGGTGGCTCCCACCTGTAATCCCAGCACTTTGGGAGACCGATGCAGGGAGATGCTTGAGCCCAGGAGTTCGAGACCAGCCTGGCCAACATGGTGAAACCCCATCTCTACAAAAAATACAAAAATTAGCTGGGTGTGGTGGCATGAGCCTGTGGTCCCAGCTACTCAGGAGGCTGAAATGGGAGGATCGTCTGAGCCCAGGAGATCGAGGCTGCACTGAGCTGTGATCTGGCCGCCGCACTCCAGTCTGGGTGACAGAGTGAGACTCTGTAGTTTTCTGTCAATATGCAATATGAAATATGTGTACACATATCTGTGATTCAGAATTTGCATTTATGTGTTGTTGTTGTTGTTTTGTCTTGCTTTTTGTTGTGGTAGTTGTTGTTTTAAGAGACGGGGTTGTCAAAGCTGGACTTGAACTCCTGGGCTCAAATGATCTTCCCACCTCAGCCTCTGGAGTAGCTGGGACTACAGGCACAGACCACCACACCTGCCTTAGACTTCGTATTTATTTTTTGAAAATTTCGATGGCTTCAAACTCCTCTTGTGCCCAGGAAGGCCTTGCCTGTGTACCTACACTCAAGATCTATGATTCACCTAAAGGGAGATGATAGAGGGAAGGTCATTTTTACCATATGCAGAATCTTATGTGCCAGGCTTGGCCAGGCTTATACTCCCCCAGCTGGATTATAAAGGAGTGAAACTAGTCCCCTACACGAAAAACTATGCATCCTTTCAATAGGGCTTTTTTCAGTACCTTTAGCCTGATTACTGTATATTCACATTTATGAAAACATCTTGAGTTAATGCAGCCCCTTAGTCCCTTCCTGCTTTGGTTATTTTCTTCCATCAGTGAGGGAAAGAGCCATTTTGTGACAACCAAAGAACAAAACCAAACCAAAACAAAAACTACATCTGGAAAACATCCTAATGTGAAGAAATACACATTGAGGATCTGGAAAGAAAAAATGACCCTTAAAAAAGAAACACCACGTGCCATTTCTATCCTATTTTAGGCCAAAGACCATTATGACAAAATTCAAAGGGCAAACTTTTTTTGGAATGTCATGGGAGCCTGAAAAGGGAGCAATTCCTGACCTTTATGTCATTACAGGGGCAGGTTTCCATTTGCAAAACCAAGTGTCCAACTGAGGACATTAGTCGTGTTGTAAGAGAAAACGGTCATACCTCAAATAGGCCATAGTTTGGTGATTGAAGGGGGAGGGCAGGAAGAACAAATCACCTCTCCTCCCTCCAGAGAAACACAGTTTTTGCTGCCTCCAGGCTGGCTAAGTGGACCTCCCGGGGTGGAGAGCGCCCAGTGAGGAGTCAGAACATCTCAGTGCTAACCAGCTAATCCATTCGTTTGGTTTCCTAATTTGTGAAATTAGAGACATTGATATTACATCACAGGGTTGTTCTGTGGTTTAAATGAGACCATGGTTGTAAAAGTTGTTCAAAACTGCAAAAATCCACAGAGATATAAGGCACTATCACTGGGACTAAAGTATCGTGATGACTATTCTCAACTGGACCTTGAACTTAAACTTGAGGAACAGCAGACTTTAGGTATCAAAGAAGGAGGCCTGTGCAGAAGAGAAGCGGTAGAAAAGGAAAGACCAGCAGTCAACTGGCTGGAGGAAGTAAGGGATCGCCAGTTGTGGCAGAATGTACTGCAGGTGTCAGAGCATAGTAGTCAATCCAATTACTTTTTCTTTTTCTTTCTTTCTTTTTCTTTTTTTTTTTTTGAGACAGAGTTTCAACCTTGTTGCCCAGGCTGGAGTACAGTGGCGCGATCTTGGCTCACTGCAACCTCCGCCTCCTGGGTTCAAGTGATTCTCCTGCCTTAGCCTCCTGAGTAGCTGGGATTACAGGCACCCGCCACCATGCCCGGCTAATTTGTTTGTATTTTTAGTAAAGCTGGAGTTTTACCATGTTGTCCAGGCTGGTCTCGAACTCCTGACCTCAGGCGATCCACTCGCCTCAGCCTCCCAAAGTGTAGGGATTACACGCGCAAGCCACCGCGACTGGCACTTTTCCTTCTCTTTTTCTCCATCTCCTAAGTGGGACCCCAATTTGAGGACACTTCCTGAAGTAAGGTTTGCACTACCTATACTTGCTACATTGAGACAGCTCTGCTTTGAAAACAAGTTATTTGGATTCCTGTTTGTTCACATGCTAGATTAGCCAGTTTGAAACTAAACTCCTTCTCAATGGTACCAACTCCACTTTCCCAAATCCTCCCCCGGCAAACAAACCAAAATGTGCAACAGTTTGCTTCTAATATACAATTTAAGAATGGGTTTCTTAGACCAATGTTCTGCAGGAGGAGAAGGTGAGCTTTAGATTTGGCTGTTCTGTGACTGCTACTATCATGTTATTTACCTCACAGGGAAGAAATTTGATAGGAATAACACAACACTGTGGTCATATTTGACCTTTTTCTGTGTCTGACCGTATAAACCAATCTAGTTATTTATTGCTGTGTGACAAATCATTCCAAAATGTAGTGGCCTGAAACAACAGCAGTGAGTCAGGAATTGGGAAGGCCTCTGCCAGACAGTTCTGGCTCAGGGTCTCTCCTCAGTCAGATGGTGGCTGGACATGGAACAGCAGGGTTTGGAGGAGCTGGGGGCTGGCCAGGCATCTTTCTCTTTCTTATCATCTCAGGTCTCTCTATGTGATCAGGTAGCTTGGGCTTCCTCCTAGCATGGTAGTCTCAGGATAGTCAGACTGCTTGCATGGTGGCTGATAGCTTCAAGAGTTAGTATTCCAGCCAATAAGGTAGAAGTTGAATGATCTTTTATGATCTAGCCTTAGAAATCACATTCTCTATTGATTGAGAAAGCCACAGTTTTGAGGGGAGAGAACATAAACCCCCATCTCTCCATGTATCAGAGTATCAGAGTCACTTTATTGAAAGATCATGCGGGGTGGGAGTTATTACTGAGGGCATCTTTGGAAAATATAATCTGCCAATCTGCCATATGGATGGACTGTAAGTAGTTAAAGGTTAAATTTTAGAAATTCAATATTTATCCCTGAAATGGATACTTACATAAAATCTCTCCTTAATCTCCAGATAGCAACTTCTTTTTTGTTTTTTTTTAACTTATTTATTTTTTAGTTTTTATGGGTACACAGTAGGTGTGTATATTTAGGGGTTACATGAGACATTTTGATACAGGCACACAATAAATAATAATTACATCAAGATAAATGGGGGTATCCTCCAGAGAGTAACTTCTAATGTGGTAAAACAGGCAACTATTCTGATGCCTCTCCCCTACCTCCCCTTTGTATCTTAATGACTTAACACTCGTTAAACTTCCTAAAAATCTCAGGCATCCACTTGTGTTCTGCCACATGCTACTGTCCCTCAGAGAAGGATCGTGCCATGCACATAGACCAGCAGCTCCCCGATTTCCTCATGACTTTCAGTGGCAGCTGCGTCAGATAGAGTGATCGGCACTCAGCATCGTCCCAACCCCTTCTTGCTGCCTTCCTTACTGGAGCTGGGAAGCTGAAAACTGCACTGCCCAGAATCCCCTGCAGCTAGGATTCCATGTGTGAGTTGGGGTCTCCGTCAAATGCACTTGCACAAGATTGAAG
This sequence comes from Homo sapiens, assembly GCF_000001405.40. Taxonomy (NCBI): domain Eukaryota; kingdom Metazoa; phylum Chordata; class Mammalia; order Primates; family Hominidae; genus Homo; species Homo sapiens. The sequence continues at coordinate 24,904,096 of NC_000006.12, forward strand.
GTAGAAGCGGGGGCAAGGCTGTGTGTATGAGTTTCAGATGGCTGTTGTAACAAATTGCCACAATTTTACTGGCTTAAAGTGAAAATGACATATATTTACAGTTCTGGAGGACAGAAGTCTAAAATGGGTCTCACTGGACTAAAATCAAGGTGTTGGCAGGGCTGTGTTACCTTCCGGCGGCTCGAGGAGAAAATCTGTTTCCTTGCCCTTTCTAGCTTCTAGAGGTCACCTGCATTCCTTCCCTTGTGGGTCCTTCCTCCATCTTCAAAGTCAGCTATGTTCCATCTCCCTGATCTTTCTATCTTTCTTCCATAGTCACATTCCCTCTGACATAGCAGGGGAAGGTTCTCTGCTTTTAAGGACAAATAGAATTAGATTGGGCCCAACTGGGTAATCCAGGATACTGTCAAGTCCTTGACTTAATCACATCTGCAAAGTCCCTTTTGCCATGTAGGGCGACATAGTCACAGGTTCCTGGCATTAGGACATGGACATCTTTGGGGTGGTGGATGTGCATTATTTTGCCTACCATAGCAGACTTCTGCTTCTTTTATTGTCACTGCTGGCAGCCACCTTCATGGAATATCTGCTTTTTCTGTAGTGGCTTCCTGGCTGGCTTTTTCCTGACCATGCTAGTGGTAGTCTCATTCTGGAGCCAGTAGCTTCTCAAATCAGTGCACAGCTTCTTTTATTTTTGGAGACGGAGTCTCGCTTTGTTGCCCAGGCTGGAGTGCAGTGGTGTGATCCCTGCTTACTGCAACCTCCGCCTCCCAGGTTCAAATGATTCTCCTACTTCAGCCTCCTGAGTAGCTGGGATTACAGGCGTATACCACCGTGCCCAGCTAATTTTTGTATTTTTAGTAGAGATGAATCTTCACCATGTTGGCCAGGCTGGTCTCAAACCCCTGACCTCCAATGATCCACCCGCCTCAGCCTCCCCAAGTGTTGGGATTACAGGTGTAAGCCACCGCGCCCGGCCAGTGTATAGCTTCTTGAGTATAGGTTAGGCAGTGGCTCCAGTAGCCCTGTTTTACAATGTACTTTTCTTAGGTGTTCCAAAAAGCTCAACCTAGAGTGTGTTTCCTTATCCTTCAACTTAGAGAGCATTTGGTTGGCCTTCCTGACCCAACAATCCTGTAACCCTTTTTATTTTATATCTTTTCTGCTGAGTAGATTCTATTCTCTGCAACTGAGCCCTGATGAAATGTTGGATCACCTGTGGGTGTCCATCACCTCAGCTTCATCTCTCTTTTTTTCTAAGCTCCACTTATTTCTGAGGATGACGCATCACCGAGACAACTCTAAATTAGATGAGAACTTGGGAGGATACAGATCAAATTGGCTAAAATGCTGCCAATAACTTTATAAACTAAAAATACGGCACTGCAATTCAAGGGTTACAGCTGGTAGTTATCTTGGAATCTTCATGTAGGATAGGTTAACCTTGAACCTCTGCATATCAGCAGGGCACCTAGTGTGAGTATACATTAATTGGAAGGTAGACTGTCACAGCTAAGGCCAAAGCCAAGTCATTCCAGGACTTCATATGTAGCAAAAAGTAGATAAATCAAGCGTCATACTGGAATTGACCTCTTGGGAGTTGCACTAGCTCCAGGAGCTCCAGGAAACTGTCACTTTGAATTTATTTCTCCTAGTAGGAGGAGGAAAATCACGTGTGCTTTTAGCGTTTCTCTGCCTTGCTTTTGTATTTCTCAGGTACTCTCCCCACTTTCCTGCCCTTGCCTTCCTTCCAAGAGCTCTCCTGGAAGCCAAGGTCAGAAGGAGACAAGCTTGAAGAGAATGGAGTCATTGTTTCTTCATTTAACATCCAAAACAATTTGTTTGAGAAGGAAGAGATCACTTCCAGGGGTAGAGGTAAAGGCCAATAGCATTAAACCCAAAAGTGAAGAGGCAAATACAAGAAAGAATTAAAAGACACTGTTGTTTTTCAGTACATAAGGTTGGTTTTCGGTATGGTCATTGGCCAACCTTGTTCTAGTATCATCATCATTAATAGTAGCCTTGTTTCACAATTGTTCTTATCTGACCTTCCTTGCAAGACATGCCTTTTGACTGTCCCTAACTTTCCTACCTTCAGTCTAGATCTTAAATCTAGGTTCACAGGCAGTTAGTTAATAGTTGATACCTACCATTGGGTAGGCAGCATGCAAGTCCCAAGGATATAGGAACAAGCAAAACAGACCCTCTGTGCCTTCAGGGAGCTCACAGTCTTCCTAGTCTTTTTGTCTGGTAAATAGTCCCTTTTCCTTTCCATTTACCTGTAATCTTAGAATAGGCACATGAATGAAATCTTCATTGACTACTCCAATCACAGCCTTCTTCCTTTGACCTCTCATAGTCCTTTTCTTTAGGGTGACTGTGTGATTGCAACACCTCTGAGTGAAAGGTGGTGCTATTAATAATTATGCTGCAACAACAGGTGTCTATGGGGCAAACCAGGACATCCAGTCACCTATCCAACTCAATTGTGCTCCTCCTACTTCTCCACCAGACTGTGCTCCCTAGAAGGTATAATCAATATCTTACACTTTTTCTTTTTCTTAAGGGTCTCACTCTGTCACCTAGGCTGGAGTACAGTGGCATTATCTCTGCTCACTGCAGCCTTGACCTTCCAGGCTCAAGCGATCCTCCCACCTCAGCTTCCAGAGTAGCTGAGACTACAAGCATGCACCACCATGTCTGGCTAATTTTTCTTTTTTTTTCATAGAGATGGGGTTTCACCATGTTGCCCAGGCTGGTCTCAAACTCCTGGGTTCAAGCGATCTTCCCACCTTAGCCTTCTAAAGTGCTAGGATTACAGGCATGAGCCACCGTGCCCAGCCAATATGTTATATTTTTATATTGAATGCGATGTCTAACTTTGACCAGACCTTAGAATAATTGCCCAGTAAACACATGCTTAAGTTGAAACAAAAGTGGGATTCTCCCAAATTATATAACATTACAGAGTTGAACTTAAAATCCACCTCAGAATTAAAAATGATTGTGAATCAGTTTTAGAATGCTAAATGGTGTACAAAATAACTTCCTCTGAGACTCCTCTCTCCTTGGTCTGGTAGAGAACTCATTTTGATCTAATGGAACACAACATAGAAATATTGCACCTCATTTGCTTTCACTGTTGAAAAAAATCTAATTTCCTATTTAATTAATGTAATGAACTTGTGAAAACATTCATCTCCTCCACACAGTACTCATCGGTGTCATGTAAACAATGCACAATAAAATAAATTGGAGCAGCTTCTTTTCTTCATAGTGTTCCCGGTTTCCTTAGAGGGAATTAAATCCAGCACAGGGCCATGTGTAAATGATCTTTTTTGTAGATAGCCTGCCGCACTCAGGAAAACATGTATTATTTTTAGGGAATGTTTCCAACCTAAGTGAGATGAGTTTACTGTGACCAAAAAACAAAACAAAACAAGACAAAAACCTGGACCATGAACCCAGAGAAGAAGTTGGTGGCTGCAGAGAGGAGACACAGAAGAGGGAAGAGGACATGTGAGGGTTTCATGCTTAATTCACTGGAGATACATGATGCATTGAGTGATTTTGTTCAGTTGAATCAACTTGAAGGTTTCCATATGCATAACAGTGAGGTTCTTGTTTTCAGGGGGAAAATGTTGTTTCAAGAAACTGCCTATAAGTAAATGAAATGAAGAAATGAAGCCAAAAGAAGGGCTCCTTCCAGATGAAAAGGCATATGCTCATGATCATTCTCCTTTTCTGAACAGATCTTTATAATAATCACATTGCAGGGTGTTTACATGACAACTGCTTTATGAGACCATTCTACACCTAGGTTTGCCTTTGGGGAGCCAATTATGAGTGACTGGGCTATCTGTACCTCCTCTCCCCACCCCCACCCCACCCCAATTCCCTTGCTCCATTGTCTGTTTTCAGCTGTTATTCTTTTCTGGTTGAATGGCCACAAACACAAGCTGTCTATCTCCCCCAGCTCATGGAGCTCAGCTTGGCAGATGAAAATAAGCCTGGTAAAGGAGCTGTTCACAAGCACGAGGCCCTACTCACAGGACCACCGGTGCAGGAAGCCCAAGTAGAAAGTCAAATCTGCCATTGCCCTGAGGGGCACCCATTGTGTAAATAAAACGGACTTTCACTTCTATCACCACTTCCTCCCAAGAAAAGCAAGGAACTGTTTTTAGACTTCTGACTTCTTTTCAGAATGAAAACAGATAATCCATTGAATGCAATAAATGATTAAATAAAACTCTGGTTTGCAAACCCTTCAACCCAAGGGACTATTGTATGTACAATTCAGCCATTTAATATAAAACCTGAAGTCTGTGCTATTCACCCTGCACAGTTGCCTTTGTCTATATTTTAGTCTCTTGACAGAGGGGTGAACCA